>NC_000003.12:160675270-160978301 GCF_000001405.40 Homo sapiens
TAAATCAGACTTCTGAGTTAAGATTTCTGAGTTCATCCTCTATATGTCTTATCTTTTCTTCTGTATTTTCTATCTTCGACTTTCTGAAAGACTCCTTCAATATTGTCTTCCAGCCTACAGGTATTACTGATCTTTAAAATTTTTTGAAATTTGTGTTTTTAATTTTTAGGAGTTTTGTTTTTATTCTCTGAGTGGTCTGTTTAATACCATCCATTTCTTGTCTTATGGATGTAATATCTTCTCAAGTCTGTATAAAAATAGTAATTAGAATTTAATGAAAATGTTCTTCTGTTCCCTTCATTAGCTCTGTTTAAGCTTTCTTAAAAGTTCTTATTTTTATCTTGGTCTCTCTCTTATTCATATTGAAGGCATGCTATCCATTAAGTATAGAAACTTCTGTGCACTGCAAAGCTGATTGGGAATTCTATGTATGTGAGCAAGTTTGCCAACTGCCAGGTTGGCTATAGGTTAATTACATGTTGACTTTGGCATTATGGTCAGAAACTCCCAACTGTCAAAACATGGAGATCTTTTTTCTGAGATCATTCAATTTCTTTAATAAAAAACTCTTCAGTATTTTGCCTGGGAATAAACATCTAGTTGCTGAAGACACCCAGCAGAGGGGTGTGTGTGTGTGTGTGTGTGTGTGTGTGTTCTGTTTATTTTGGCTTCTTGTTACCTTCTGCTGTTTTTAGTCCTTTATTTCACCCCTTCTGTCTGCCATACCTGTCACCTCTTGTCTATCTCCTCTGCATCAGCACTCCAAGCCTTGGCTTTATCCTGCTATATCAGTTATCACTCATTTTTCCATCTAGTTTCCATTTTCCAGAATTTTGTTAAAATTTCTGACCCTTTGATGAATTATCTTGCTGTTTTGTTATGGATTTATATGTTTTTTTTGTTTTTTTTTTTTTGAGACGGAGTGTCTCACTGTCACCAGGCTGGAGTGCAGTGGTGCGATCTCGGCTCACTGCAACCTCCGACTCCCTGGTTCAAGCGATTCTCCTGTCTCAGCCTCCCAAGTAGCTGAGATTATAGGCACGGGCCACCACGCCCAGCTAATTTTTTTGTATTTTTAGTAGAGATGGGGTTTTACCATGTTGACCAGGCTGGTCTTGATCTCCTGGCCTCATGATCCACCCACCTCGGCCTCCCAAAGTGTTGGGATTACAGGCGTGAGCCACCATGCCTGGCCTATATGTTCTTTTAATGCCTTTACCATTATTCTGTGGAGTCTTGGGAAGGAGAGGAAATAAATGCATGTTTTTATTTGCCATCTTTAATTGGACTGCTTAATGTAAAACTGTTCGTGTTATAAATTCCCCCTCATATATTTGGTTTTGTGACTGCAGTAGTGTAAATTCTCTGCCTAGAATTTTAAAGAAAGTGATTCTGTATGTGATTAGGGAGTAAGGTTCAGATAACCTTGAGTGGTTTAAAGTTTCCTACTGAGTAATCTGAACAAGGCGGATTTAAGATACTGCAGACAGAGTGTGAGAATAACTCTCTCTTCACAACTTAAGAAGCCTGGTTCCTTATTTACAACTGGGATAAGATAAATGGTTGAATACCTAGAGAAGTTCCACAAAAAGTTACACAAAAAGTTTAGTTAAATTTAAGTTAAAAGTTAGTTAAAATGAAAAGTTAAGTTTTTATTCTGCTACTAAACCATGCTCCTCTGCGTGTCTGAACCTTCAGGTTCCTCTAGATTTCTAGCACCTGAAAGAAAACAAAACTGCAGCATCAGCCAGGTAGGCCTCTCCTAATCTTACTCATTCACAGAGAATTTCCCCTTTGAGTCACCATGGCATTGGCTGGTTACTCATACCACAGATCCCTCAGGATTGGCTGGGACTGCAAATAAAATACTGTTTGCCCATAATCAAGTTGATAAGCTACAACATAAACACATCTAGGTTCTTGTTCTTAGAATACAGCATGAAGAATTTGCTTTCTTCTTTCTTCCTAACATTTTCATGTGAGATCCAGAAAGGACACATTGTCTCTGGCCATTCGAAGAAAGAAAGAAAGAAAAAAAAAAAAGGTATTTAGAGACAGAGAGAGAAAAAGGCTGAAATGGGTTCGCTGGGTTCTAAAAATCCGCAAACCAAACAAGCCCAAGTTCTTCTTTTGGGACTTGACTCAGCTGGGAAGTCTACTCTCCTTTATAAATTAAAGCTTGCTAAGGATATTACCACCATCCCTACAATAGGTTTCAATGTGGAAATGATCGAGTTGGAAAGGAATCTTTCACTCACAGTCTGGGATGTTGGAGGACAGGAAAAAATGAGAACTGTTTGGGGCTGTTACTGTGAGAACACCGATGGGCTGGTGTATGTTGTGGACAGTACAGACAAACAGCGACTGGAAGAGTCTCAGAGACAGTTTGAGCACATTTTGAAGAATGAACACATTAAAAATGTGCCTGTTGTTCTATTAGCCAACAAACAAGACATGCCTGGAGCTCTGACTGCTGAGGACATCACCAGAATGTTCAAAGTGAAGAAGCTTTGCAGTGACCGGAACTGGTATGTGCAACCCTGCTGTGCCCTCACAGGGGAGGGGCTGGCCCAGGGGTTCAGGAAATTAACTGGATTTGTGAAGAGCCACATGAAATCAAGAGGAGACACTTTGGCGTTCTTCAAGCAGAACTGAGGCTGCGAAAAATCCAAGTCTCTACAGAGACACTGATGAAGTTGAAAGGGTAATTGTTTTTCCATGCCAAATGAGGAAATCAAATTAATGAGTTGACAAACTTTTCCTGAGATGTTATTTCATCTACATTTAGTTAAACAACTTAGAATGATATCTAGAAAATATTTATTTTCAGCCAGGAACTTTAGCAAACTGTGGCAATGATCACTGGGAATGAAAACGTATAATGTTCTACAATTTTTGTTATCACATTGGATGACTTTGAATATAGTAGTGACACTTGGGACCAAATAAATTATTTTATATGACTACTAGAACAAAGTTTTAGTAAGCTGTCTGCTAATAGAGTCAGAATTCTTCCAGATTGTTTCCAGCTGTAACAGGTATTGAATTTCCACCGTGCTCCTATGTAACAGCTGGGTGGTGTAAAAAATGAACTTCAAATTATGGAGTGGAAAAAGCGTAATGTTAATATCTTGTAAATTCGTATTCCCTATTAAATAAAGCTTTCTTATTCCCTAAATAAAGCTGTTCTTCTGGATTCCTGCCAGCTTTTTGAAATCTATTGCTGGGAACTTCCTCCAATGAATCTTAAACAATGAACTTCAGGCTGCTAATTGCTCAGAGCCTGTGTTCTGCCATAGGGAGCAGAAGTGTATAAACTTAAAGGTCTGGTGATCGGGGTAGCACCTTGGAGTTTAGGGCAAGATCTGGGCTCAGGGCTTAGCTCTAGGCTACAGCCCCGAGTCTTGCTTCCTTGGAATTCAGCTTAACAGCCATTGCTTGGAAACATATGTGCAGCTCATTGTACTGATCAAACAGGAACCAGACCTAGACTTTGCTCTCAGAGACCTACAATTCACAGCAGGAAACAACATAAAGCTAGTAGCTAGAGTAGGGCAATAAGTGCTAAGTGCGATTGCAGGAGATACTCTTTTTAACCAGGGAAACAAGAAATGTTTCATGCAGGAGATGGTATTTTAGAGGGTCCCTCACTCCCAGTGACCCTACAAAGGTACAGGTTAGTCACTGGAAGTTACCATCACTAGGAAACTTTCCAGAGGCATTGGACAGGAGGGCAGGTGAGTGGGCAAAGAAGCTGGAGATTGGGATGGAATTCCCCTGAGAAGCTCAGAACTCCCAGGGAAGCCCTGGTACAAACAGACAACACTTTCCTCCTACCCCACTTCCAACAAGGCTCATTTGGGGCTGGAAGCAGAGCTCAAGCGTCCATAGCAGCCCCTAGGACTCCAAATCTTAAGGTCACAGAGGAAAAAAAGGGGTATAATAAACCAAGGGTGCCAGCCCTTGGATTCCTCTCATGATTTTCTTCTCTCATCTTAGCTATTTGTTCAGCAAAGATCTGAGCACTGCCTTCTGTGCTACATGGTAGAGATTCAAATAATAAACTAGACATACAAGTAATAATAGTTACTGTGGGATGAATACTTGTGGGTGCCAGGCACTGTGTGCTAAACACTTTCATACATCTTCCCATTTAATGTTCACAACTGCCCGAAGAGAAATAGGCATTATCTAAATTTTAAAGATGAGTGTACTGAGTCTAAACAAGATTACACAACAACCACCACAAAAAAACTACTTGGTATTTAACTGGGGAGTAGCAGCAGAGCCAAGATTCAAATTCAGGTGTGTCTGACTCCAGGGTCTGTGCTGTTAGGTGTCCTGACATTGTTTTACAAATAAGGTATAGTCTCTGTCTTCAGTGAACTTACCACATGCAATTAAGAATAAATCAGGTCAACATATATTACTTTTATAATAAAAAGGTTCTTAGAAAAATTAAACTAGGCAGAATAAATTAACTTCAATAACAGATATAAAAAACATGGAAGACTGGCAAAAAGTTTCTGATTTCAGGAAGATCTCAGGGGGTTGTCAATGTTAAACGTTTCATAGTAGAGCTTTTCCTGTTTCAGAACATAATTAAAATCTCAAGTACATATCTTCCCTTACAATTTCTCTGTGTGTGTTTTTATGGAATCTTCTTAGTAATCTTAAATTGGAAGTCACTAACTTACTTCAAAAAAAAAAATGCCCTCTGGTGCTCGTGTATCTTGGTAATCTGAATTAAGTCAAGCCCCTTATGGCCCAGTCTTGGCATGATGTTAAAAGTTGAAGAAAACAGCCTGTTAAAATACTGAAAGGAACTCAAATCTTCACTTCAGAAAGCCCCTGGGTGTATGTGTTGGGTGTGGTGGGCAAATACATTCTTCATGTAGAACAAAACTTATAAAGTAGCCTTTTCCTGTCATTTCAACATCTCCCCCCCATATAACAGCTATTCCTTAAAATCCCTGTTAATATTCTCCCCAGAACGTGTACCCTCCTCATGCTTTACTCCTTTCTTCCCTGGGATCCAGGGTTCCAGTCTATTTTCCTCCATCAGTCACTTGCTTTCTTTCTTTTTTTTTTTTGAGACGGAGTCTCACTCTGTCGCCCAAGCTGGAGTGCAGTGGCACGATCTCGGCTCACTGCAACCTCCACCTCCCAGGTTCAAGCAATTCTCCTGCCTCGGCCTCCCTAGTAGCTGGGACTACAGGTGCGCACCACCATGCCTGGCTAATTTTTGTATTTTTTAGTAGAGACAGGGTTTCACTGTGTTGGCCTAGCCGGGCTGGTCTCGAAGCTTTCTTTTTGAGTTAATTTTATCAGTCTTTATTTGGCAATTCCCTCCTGCTCTCTGCAGTATGATCTTGTCTGTCCTCCAACATGCACGCGCACGCACACACACACACACACACACACGCATGCACATGTGCACACACACAGCCGTGCACTCTTCACCCTGGTCTACTAATAAAGCCTGAGGGACGGGAAAAAACTAGGTGGACAATAGCAAAATATTTCTTGGCAGATGAGAGGAAAGAGGCTTGATATTTATTATTTTAATACATTTTATATTATTTTTATTTTGTGCATTCCTTCCAGGTGTTTATCTTTATATTTTTATTTTATTTTGTGTATTCGTTAAAATGAATTTTATTGTGTATATTTAAGGTTTATGTTATGATGTTTTGGGACACATATAGATGCTAAAATGATTACTATAGTAAAGCAAATTAACATATCTATCATCTCACATTGTGACTTTCTTGTGCGTGACAAGAGTAACTAAAATCTAATTACTAATTAACAAAAATCCCAAATCCCATGCGATTTTACTCTGTCATTTATCTGTAACAAGGTAAAACTTTTAACTTATCAAAATAGCATGCTGCCATGGATTTAATAGTAACAAAAGCATAACACTTCTGAAATATTCCTTGGCTAAAGATTTACAGAATAAATCTTAAATCTTTAACATTAAGGTAAATATCAGTTAAATTTTCTGAAAAGTGAATATCAGATAAATATTTCTATCTGATTTTCTAAGTATTGTAGATGAAAAAAATCTTGACAGGGCATAAGAATAAATAATGGTGAATAAATAAAACACACATAGTGACTGATGTGTGTGTGTGTGTATATATATACATATATATGCGCATATATACGTATATATGCGCACATATATACGTATATATATACATATATATTTTTAAGGCAGAGTCTCGCTCTGTCTCGCCCTGTCTCACCCAGGCTGGAGTGCAGTGGTGTGGTCTCAGCTCACTGCAGCCTCCATCTGTTGGGTTCAAGTGATTCTCCTGTCTCAGCCTCCCAAGTAGTTGACACTACAGGCGTGTGCCAGCGCACCTGGGTAATTTTGTATTTTTGGTAGAGAAGGGGTTTTCACCATGTCAGCCAGGTTGGTCTCAAACTCCTGACCTCAGGTGATCTGATCTCCTCAGCCTCCCAAAGTACTGGAATTACAGGCATGAGCCGCTGTGCCCAGCCATGACTGACATACATTAAAGTTAATTTGTCAGTTTAAAAAGCCGAACATGACTATGTTCTGATAATGAACAAACTGGGTTTTACGAAACTAAGGAAGACCAGGTATGGAAAGAGCCCTGCAGTTCTAGCTCCCGGTAGGTGGTACTGAGGGACAGTCTTGGAGGCCGACTGAATTCCTGCAGTGTGTTGACTATGTGGAGGAACTAACCTAAAAAGAGCGACCCTCTGCTGTGTTCTGCTTTGCAAACCTTGAGTTGGCCGGCTCTCGCTTGCATGAGCTCTCTCACAACAGAGATAGAGACAGACACAAAGGGACAGCCAGAAATAGAGAGACCTCCTTTGGCAGTGCCAATAAATATTTTTACGTAATAATATAACCTAATAATGTCACAGGGATTCCAGTCCACCAGATTTTTAGCGCAGTGTTGAATTACTTTAAGCATAAGATACCACACTTTACCTTGAAAGTACCACACAAATAGAAAAGATGGTTATTAGATGACTTAACCATATGAGCAGTATTTTCACAAATATTATCTCATTTTATTCGCTCAAAATCTTATGAGGGAGGCATAACAAATATCAACACTATTTTAAGGATATGAGGAAACTAATTAAGCAGTTACCAAACCTAGTCCTCTGATTTCCAAGATTAAACACACACACACACACACACACACACATAGGTCAGGCGCGGTGGCTCACGCCTGTAATCCTACACTTTGGGAGGCTGAGGCAGTCAGATCACGAGGTCAAGAGATCGAGACCATCCTGGCCAACATGGTGAAACCCCATCTCTACTAAAAATACAAAAATTAGCTGGGCCTGGTGGCACATGCCTGAAGTCCCAGCTACTCGGGAGGCTGAGGCAGGAGAATCACTTGAACCTGGGAGGCAGAGGTTGCAGTGAGCCGAGATCGTGCCACTGCACTCCAGCCTGGTGACAGAGCAAGACTCTGTTTCAAACAAACAAACAAACACACACACACAAGTAAATATTATGATACAATGAATTTAGCTATAATGTGGCACATATAGGTTTTACTATTAAATCTCTTTGTTTCTAGAAACTAAATGGGTCTAGGGGTTATGGTGTTTCTTAGGCCAAAAAACTAAAAGATATCTTCCTTTCCCCCTTGTATCCTACATCCACCAGTAAATCCTTTCAGTTCACCCTTCAAAATACCTCTCCCTTCTGACCACTTCTCAATCCCACTACCACGAGGCCACCACCAATTCTCACCTGGATGGCTGCATTCTCCATACAGAATTCTGCCAAGAAGGACTTCTTCTAAAAATGAACATCTGATTACATCATTTACCTGCTTTAAACCTCTCCATTCACTTCTTTCCCTAGCTGATGCCCACTTTCTACTTATCCCACCTCTCTCCCCATCCAGCCACACCTGCCTCAATGCCCTTCTGTCACTCCCAGCTCATTACTGCCCCACAGCTCTTAAACTTGCTGTTCTTCAACTTAGAATATACTTTCCTCAGGTCTTCAAATTTTGTAGGTCTCCAACCAAAAGTGTAGAGTAGAGGGGTGTTTTCTGAATCCTTATGTAAATGAGCCTTACACTCCTTGCCATTCCCTACCTCTAATTTACTCATGTACTTTCTTTTTCTTTTTTTTTTTTTTTTTTGAAATGGAGTCTCTCCCTGTCACTCAGGCTGGAGTGCAGTGGTGCGATCTCGGCTCACTGCAACCTCCGCCTCCCAGGTTCAAGCGATTCTCCTGCCCCAGCCTCCTGAGTAGCTGGGATTACAAGTGCGTGCCACCACGCCTGGCTAATTTTTGTATTTTTAGTAGAGACAGGGTTTCACCATGTTGGTCAGACTGGTCTCGAACTCTTGACCTTGTGATCCGCCCACCTCAGCCTGCCAAAGTGCTAAGATTACAGGCGTGAGCCACAGCGCCTGGCCTACTCATGTACTTTCTTATTGTTTCTTTCCCGCCCTAGAAAGTATGCTTCAAAGAGCAGGGACTTTGTGTCTTACTCACTGTTGTATCCTAGAACTGTGCTTAAGACATGAGAGGTATTTAAAAGATATTTGTAGAACAAATAAAGGAATGCTCTGAACCCTAAAGTGAGGCCTTATCAGGGCCTGCAACTGCCTCTTGGCGACAGAATATGGATCCAACAATGAAAAGTAAAAAGCATGGCAGATTGGGACCTAGGACAGTTCCGTTCTAATCTAAGGATACCATAGGAAAGTCCTTCTTCTCAGGAGCAGTGTGCTGCACTAAAACGAATACAGGCTTTGGAATCATAACTGGGTAGGAATGCTGGTTGTCACCTGCTTTGGCTTTTAGGCAGATTGCCTCTCTGAGTCAGTTTTCTCAACTAGAACAGTGACTTGAACCAGAAAGAACCTTTTATTGTGTTAAGCCATGGGGATCTGGAAGTTGTTATAGCCCCTGCTGTTAAATGATCCTAATAAACTAGAATCATGGTCCCTGCTCCTCCTTTGTGTACCTAGACCCTTTTTTCCAATTTTCTCTTCTTTGCAAATCCCCTTACCTGTCTCCTTCTACCCATTCTAGCTAGCACCCTCATTTGGCTCATCCCAGAACAGACAGGGAAGAGGGAATTTAATTTTTCCTCAACTTTTTATTTTGTAAAATGCCAAACCTTCAAGAATTTGAAAGAGAGGGTAAAATTAACACCAATGTACTTTTCACTGAAATTCACCAATCATTACAATTTTGCCATATTTGGGCTTCTTTCTCTTCCTGTTTCTCTCTCTCTCCCCTCCACCATCTCCCGCTACACATGCGCACACACACACACACAGTTGCAATCATCCTGTAACTTCACATGTAAGTACTTTATTGTGTATCTACTTAGAATCACCCTTCTCCTATGTAAACATATTTGGGCTTCTTTTCTCTCCCTGTTTCTCTCTCTCTCTCTCTCTTTCTATCCCCCCCTCCACCTCCTGCTACACATGTACACACATGCACACACACACACAGTTGCAATCATCCTGACACTTCACACATAAGTACTTTATCGTGTATCTCCTTAGAATCACCCTTCTCCTATGTAAACATATTTGGGCTTCTTTTCTCTTCCTGTTTCTCTCTCTCTCTCTCTCTCTCTTTCTACCCCCCCCCACCTCCCGCTACACATGTACACACATGCACACACACACACAGTTGCAATCATCCTGACACTTCGCACGTAAATACTTTATCGTGTATCTCCTTAGAATCGCCCTTCTCCTATATAACCACAATGCCATTAATTTACACATAAAATTTCAAGCGTTAATTAAATATTATTAAACAGTCTATAACCAAATTCCCCCAGGATACCCAATATCATCTGTAGAATTTGTTTGATCCAGAATCTATTGCATTTGGCTATGTCACTTTCAATTTAGAATATTTTCCCCACCTTTTCCTAGTTTTTCACGTCCTAGAAATTTTTAAGGTCCAAGCCAGACAATTTATGTCCCACAGTCTGGATTTGTCTGCTTCTTCATGATTAGATTCAGGTTAAACATTTTTGGCAAGAATATTCTACAGATGCTATTGTACTTCCCACTGTATCCACTAGGGAATACATAGTGTCAGTTTGTCCTATTATTGGTGACACTAAATTTATTACTAGCTTTTCCCATGATAAAAATATAATTGTTTTCCTCCACTGTTAGTAAGTGATTTGATATGTATTTGAAATGATAAATATGATCTTTTGAGAGCTTATGAAAATCCCATTCCCCAAAAGCCTTTCACTTAATGGTTTTGGCCTCCATTGATGATCTTTACCTGAATCAGTTATTGCATTGGGAACTACAAAATGGTGATTTTCCCCCTAAATCTATAATTCCTTGACATTTGCTAGCTGGCATTCCTCTATAAATATGAGCTTTATCACCCTTCTCCATCATTTATCTCTCTCTCTTTCTCATCACTATGGACTCACAGACACTTTGTAATTTCAAAGTTTTATAATTCAGTGCTATTTAAAGTCAGGTCCATGGATCAGCATCACCAGCATTGCCTGTGAGCTGCTTAGAAATGTAAATTCCTGCTCCCTCCCTCTCCACCACCCCAGACTAACTAATCAGAATCTTGGTTGGAGGTAGGGGATGTCTAGGAATTTGTGTTGTGACCAACACTGTTATACAATCCTCCCTCAGTATCCATGGAGAATTGGTTCCAAGACCTCCCCAGGATACCAAAATCTGAGGACACTCAAGTCCTTGATATAAATGGCATAGTATTTGCATATAACCAACCCACATCCTCCTATACACTTTAAATCATTTTTAGATTACTTATAATACCTAATACAATGTAAATGCTATGTAAATAGTTGTTATACTGTATTGTTTAAAGAATAATGGCAAGAAAAAGGGTCTGTACATGTTCAGAACAGACACAATTTGTTATCTATTTGAAATGATAAATATGATCTTTTGAGAGCTTTTGAATATCCCATTCACCAAAAGCCTTTCACTTAATGGTTTTGGCCTCCATTGATGATGAGCTTTAAATATGAGCTTTAAAGCTCATACCCAGGCTGGAGTGCAGTGGCGTGATCTCGGTTCACTGCAGCCTCTGCCTCTTGGGTTCACGCTATTCTCCTGCCCCAGCCTCCCGAGTAGCTGGGACTACAGCCGTCTGCCACCGTGCCTGGCTAATGTTTTGTATTTTTAGTAGAGATGGGGTTTCACTACGTTAGCCAGGATGGTCTTGATCTCCTAATCTCGTGATCCACCTGCCTCGGCCTCCCAAAATGCTGGGATTACAGGAGTGAGCCACCGCACCCGGCCAACAAACTGATTCTTACACAACTCTCCTCAAGTTATACGTAAGGTATAATGTAATACAACATTGTACTTCTAAGTCAGATTGGACTTTCTTTCACTTTAAAGCATTTTTCCACTCGAGTTTAATATACCTACTTTAATTGCCTATAAATGAGGGACGTAAGAGACCATAGTGATGACACCAGCTTCTGTTTACAATGGGATAACCCCCAGTAGCCTCATAGTTTTATTTCTGCTCTTGCTTTAATAATGTATTTTACATGTATTCTAAAATTTAACATACAAATGCACAGATCCCAATTTGTAAAAATTAACATATAGAATATATAAAATATCTAGGTAGTTGTACATAGGTGACTGGAATTCTGTACAGTTCTCAATATTTTCCAAAGTTTCTACAGTGAGCATGTGTTACTTTTATATTCGGGGATAACACACTTTATTTTTAAAGGAGCTGTTTAATCTTCATAGCGTATATAAAACACGAGTGGACAATGCTTGTATGGCCTTAGAACTGTCATTTCAAATGCATTAATCTAAAGTATTAAGAAGTCCTTTTAAAGACCAGAAGTATTGCAATGTATAGACACATGGGGGCACTGTAACCAAGTATTAATAATTAAAGAAAAGCAAATCCAATAACCAAAACAGTTAACATGTATTGAAAATTTACTGTAGTCCGGGTTCTGTTATTAGCATTTATATGTATTATCTCATTTAATCCTCACATTGAATCTGTGGACTACCCTTGTTATCCCCATTAGTACAGTGAAGAGATCTGAGACTCAAAGCTATGCAGCCACCTAAAATTGTGAAAAGCGTTTACTGTGGTCTTTTATACATAATCAAGCTTTCACTATCAGTTGCTTGGTGAGAATTCTATACTGTACTTCTGTGCAAAGGTTTAATTCTCCCTTAAGCCATGGCCTGCTTCATATTATCAAATGCTTTCTCAGCCGGGTGCAGTGGCTCATGCATGTATTCTCAGCACTTTGGGAGGCCGAGGCAGACAGATCACTTGAGGTCAGGAGTTCAAGACCAGCCTGGCCAATATGGTGAAACCCCATCTCTACCAAAAATACAAAAATTAGCTGGGCATGGTGGTGTGCGCCTGTAGTCCCAGCTACTCAGGAGGCTGAGTCAGGAGAATCGCTTGAACCTGTGAGGTGGAGGTTGCAGTGAGCTGAGATTGCGCCACTGTAATCCAGCCTAGGCAACAAGAAGAATGAAACTCCATCTCAAAAAAAAAAAGAAAGAAAAAACCAAAAACCAAAAACTAAAAAAACCCAAATACTTTCTCTATTGCTATACTCGGAGTATAAGGACAGCTAGGGAGCAGAGAATTGATATTTAATAAAATTTTGTTTCTTCATCAGAAATATATCATAAAATTACAGAAAGTTAGAAAAAATGGGTAAATATAGCTATTAGCATTTTGCTGCATTTTCTTGCAGTCTTAATTCTTCTTCAGTGTGTATATAATTCAATGTATCATTTAAAATTGTATTTATTTTTTAACAGGTAAATAAAAATTGTATATATTTATAATGCACAATGTGACATTTTGAAATATGTATACAGTTTGGGATGGCTCGATTAATATATGCATTACCTCACATACTTATTTTTCTGTGGTGAGAACACAAAATCTACTCTGTTAGTGATGTTCAGTTATACAATACATTGTTATAAACTATAATCACCATGTTGTACAATAGAGCTCTTGAACTCATTCCTCCTGAGTAAAATTTTGTATCTTTTGACCAATATCTACCTGCACCAAGCCTGGTAATCACCATTCTACTCTCTGCTTCTATGAGTTCAACTTTTTGAGATTCCTCATTTATGTGAGATCATGTAGTATTTGTCTCAATATATCATTTTTGATAATTTGGGAATTCGATTTTTTTCTTCTATCATCACATTCACATATTATGTACCTTCACCATGTTGTATATCTTTTAGAACCATTAATTTTCAGTGTTACCTCATTTCCAATGTAGTAGACATATCATATTAAATGTTTAGGTAGTTGCACACAGTTACATGTTTTTAACCATTTCTCTACCATTCGTTTTTTACACTGCAGTCAATTTTTCATATTGTAAATAATTCAGCAAAAACATTTTCATGCATGTACTGCCACCCCCATATTTATTACTTCATTCAGCAAATATTGATTGAAAACCTAATAAAAATACCAGGCCCTGTGTTAAGTACTGAGTTTAGGATTTTTCCCCTAGGATAGTAGTTCAATGTTGAAAAACGAGAACATGTTTTATGCCTCGATACATATTGCCAAATTGCTTTCTAAAAATCGATGTCAGATTAATCTAAATGAATTCTTTAAAAAGACAGAAAGAAGGTAAAAACGAGGCATGAAAACGTTATCATTAGATGACTAATGACTATAGCATTATTACATCAAAGTAAGTAGATACATTTGTCAGAATTCAAATTACTAATAGTATGAAAAAAATTAATGCCAAAATTAGTAGCAGTTTTTACCCAATTATAACTCAAAGTCCAGACACAATAAATAAAAATATTGTTAAACTGGACTATGTAAAAATGAAAGAAATTGCAGCAAACATAAACAAAGTCAAAAGACAAATGTTATAAAATATTAATATTAGAATTAATATATATCATAGACCAGGATCTTATGTTCCTAATATAAAAGAACACAAAAATCAAGAAAAAAAGAACCAAAACCTTCTAGAAAAATGTACAAAAAGCATGTACACAGTTAATAAATGATATTCAAATGGCCCTTTAGTAGGTCAAAATCCTCAGCTGCTTCTTCTTGCATTACAGAAATGCAAATTATTACTACATTTAGGCACCATTTCTCACAAGGTTGCAAAAATGTATAAGTTTGATACCATTCCATAATTCTGTTAGTAAGGCTGTGGGAAAATGAATACTCTCATCAAATGCTGGTGGAAATACAAAACGGCATGACCTCTGTGGAGGAGAATTTAGCAAAATCTAACAAAGCCACATTTGCACTTACCTTTTAATGTAGCAATCTCATTTGTAGGAAATTTTCCTGAAGATACACAACCATACACCTGAAGAAACATATGTGCAGGGTTATTCATTGTGGTATTCTTCGTAATAGCGAAATGTCGGAAGTCCTAAATGTTCTTCTATAGGAGACTGATTTTTTTTTAAGGTATATTCCAAGAGTGAAAAACTACTCAGCCAAACAAAGAATGAGAAAGGGACATGCCAAAAGGAAACTAAAAGGGCCAAGAGGCAATGACACCCAGCAGCAGTGGGTATACCTAAAGCCCAGATCTTGGTTTCTAAATATTATTCCCTACTGACAGGAGCCTGAGCTCTTTGGAGAAATGACCGTTCGGGTCAGGGGCAGGTAAAGTGGACCTACAACTCTCTTGTGCCAGAGAACAAGAGAGAACCCAAAGACTGACAGAGACAGGTCAAAAGTTTACTAGAGCAGCTTAAAGGACTCCAACGGGCCAAATCTGAGACAATTTGAGCATCAAAAAAGAATATAGTGCTGGGCGCAGTGGCTCATGCCTGTACTCCCAGCACTTTGGGAGGCTGAGGTGGGCAGATCACTTGAGGTCAGGAGTTCAAGACCAGCCTGGCCAACATGACAACACCTCGTCACTACCAAAAAATAAAAAAAATTAGCCAGGTGTGGTGGCACACATCAGTAGTCCCAGCTACTTGGGAGGCTGAGGCACGATAATTGCTTGAACCTGGAAGGCCGAGGTTGCAGTGAGCCAAGATCATGTTACTGCACTCCAGCCTGGGTGACAACACGAGACTCTGTCTTTAAAAAAAAAACAAGAAGAATATAGAATGGGCACCGTGGCTCAAGCCTGTAATCCCAGCACTTTGGGAGGCCGAGGCAGGCAGAACACCTGAGGTCAGGAGTTCTAGACTAGCCTGGCCAAAATGGCAAAACCCTGTCTCTACTAAAAATACAAAATTTAGCCAGGCATGGTGGCATGTGCCTGTAAACCCAGCTACTCAGGAGGCTGAGGCAGGAGAATCGCTTGAACCCAGGAGATGGAAGTTGCAGTGAGCCAAGATCACACCACTGCACTCCAGCCTGGGTGACAGGGCGAGACTCTGTCTAAAAAAAAAAAAAAATTACCATTAAAAAAAATTACCATATATATATGGTAATGGATAACATACATTAAATAAATGAAAATAAAACCCATAAATCCATAGTGATATTCATTGAAAATATAAGAAGAAGCAAAGGAAAGAAAAAGTTTGGGGTGAGGAGAAAGGAAAGCTCTTTTATACAGAAAAAGTAGAGGGTGTGATAGAATTGGAAAGCTACTATTTTGCAACTGCAAAGCAGTAACCGACTCTGGGTATATGAAGGTGATTTTCTGAAATATCTTCTGGTTCTAAGACTAACAGAGTTTGCAATGGAAAGCCTTGATAAGATAAGGGAAAAGCTGTGAAATTCTTTAGTATGTTTTTCCTTTCTCTCCAAAGCTGAAAATCACCATTTACAAGTCCAATATGAGGCAGATCCCTAGTTTTGTCACTTTGAATTCTTTATATCTTTGGTTAAGTGGCTACAAAATATATTGAAACTACTTTGCTAAAGAAGGCTTCATCATAAACAAAGTCAAAAGACACATGTCAATCTGGGATATATCACAGATAAAAGATAAAAGTCTAATGTTCTTAATAAAAGCTTTATATTTTTTATTGTTAAAGCAGAAGAGAAAAAGATCCTGCTTAGCCTGTTGAACCAGATAAAGCATCCCATCTCCAGCCTAAGGCATGAATTTTCTGAGGAAAGTAAAGCCTCCCAGTATCTTCTTGATCTCTCTCCAAGATCAGGCTAGAGGGTAGAAGTCCATAATAATGTTGCTTTAACTTAACTCCAACTCCACAGGTCACACATTCACTTCATTCTGCCACGTCCAGTCAGTCAAGTGTACACCTGAGTCCTGGTGTACATATCAATGGTGTCCCCTTTCATTCTCAAAAGTGTCTCAGTGTGGACAATAAATTATATGATTACCCTACTTTTTGTGGAACCCCTGATGCTTTTTAGAAAAGTCTTCACTTGGCTAATATTTAGGGGTAAATGCCAAGCTAGAGAGAAAAACAAGGAAAGACTCCGAAATATAGTAGGCAGAATAATGCTGCCTTCACCACCCGACAGAGATGTCCATGTTCTAACCCCTAGAACTATGAATACGTTACCTCACATGGTAAAAGGAAAAAGTGATTAAGGATGTTGAGATGAGGAGATTATCCTGAATTATCCAAGTGAGCCCAAAATAATTACATCAATCTTTAAAATCAGAGAACCTTTCCCAACTGAGTTCAGAGTTAGAAGGGGATGAGACTCTGAAAGATGCTCAGATGCTCACTGCTGGCTGTGAAGATGGAATATTAGGGCCATGAGCCAAGGAATGTGGGCAGCTTCTAGAGGCTGGGAAAAGCAAGGAAACAGATTCTACATTAGATCTGCCAAAAAGAAATGCAGCTCTGCTAACACCTATAAAAGCGCAAGATAATACTTTTGTGTTGTTTTAGCCATTAATTTTGTGGTAATTTGTTAAAGTAGCAACAGCATTTTTAATGAGCCTTGAAGGATACAATGAGCCATCATTCATTGGATAAATATTTAAGTCCTTATACAGGCATGCTTTATTTTGCCGTGCCTTGTTTTATTATACCCCGCAGGTATTTTCTTTTCATAAAATGAGGGTTTGTGGCAACCCGGCATCCAGCAAGCCTATCAGCACCATTTTTCCAATAGCACTTTCTCACTTCATGTCTATGTGACCCTTTTTGGTAATTCTCACAATATTTCAAATGTTTTCATTATTATTATATCTGTTATGGTGATCTATGATTAGTGATATTTGATATTGCTACTGTAACTGTTTTGTGGCACCTTGAACCCTGTCCATATAAGACGGTAATCAATAAATGTGTGTGTTCTTTCCGCTCCACCAACTGGCCATTCCCCCATCTCTCTCCCTCTCCTCAAGTCTCCCTATACCCTGAGACACAAGAATATTGAAATTAGGCCAATTAATAACCCTACAATGGCCTCTAAGTGTTGAAGTGAAAGAGTCCATGTCTTTCACTTTAAATCAAAAGCTAGAAGTGATTAAACTTAGGGAGGAAGCCATGTTGAAAGCCAAGACAGGCCAAAAGCTAGGCCTCTGGCACCAAACAGCCAAGTTGGGAATGCAAAGAAAAAGTCCTTAAAGGAAATTAAAACTACTACTCCAATGAACATATGAATGAAAAGAAAGTGAAACAGCCTCACTGCTGATGTGGAGACGAGTTTTAGTGGTCAGGAATAGAAGATCAAACCAATCACAGTATCCCCTTCATCCAAAGCCTAATCCAGAGCAAGGCTTCTTGAATTCTGTGAAGGCTGAGAGGTGAGGAAGCTGCAAAAGAAATGTTTGAAATTAGCAGAAGTTGGTTCACGAGGTTTAAGGAAAGAAGTCATCTCTGTAACATAGAAGTGCAGGGTAAAACAGCAAGTGCTGATGGAGAAGCTGCAGCAAGTTACCTAGAAGATCTAGTAAAGATAATTGACGAAGATGGCTACATTAAACAATACATTTTCAATGCAGATGAAACAACCTACTATTATTGGAAGAAGATGCCATCTGGGACTTTTACAGGTAGAGAGAAGAAGAGAAAAAGCCAATGCCTGACTTCAAAGCTTCAAACAACAGGCTGATTATTTTGTTAGGAGCTAATGCAGAGAGTGGATTTAAATTGAAGCCAGTGCTCATTTACCATCCCAAGAAATCTAAGGCCCTTACAAATTATGCTAAATCTACTCTGCCTACGCTCTCGAAATGGAATAACAAAGCCTAGATGACAGCACATCTGTTTACAGCATGGTTTGCTGAATATTTTAACCTCAGTATTGAGACCTAGTTCTTAGAAAAAAAAGATTTCTTTCAAAAGATTACTGCTCATTGACAATGTACCTAGTCACCCAAAAGCTCTGATGGGTATACAGGGAGATTAATGTTGTTTTCATGCCTGCTAAGACAACATCCATTTTGCAGCCCATGGATCAAGGAGTAATTTTTACTTTTAGGTCTTGTTATTTAAAAAATACATTTTGTAAAGCTATAGCTGCCATAGATAATGATTTCACTGATGAATCTGGGCAAAGTACATTGAAAAGCTTCTGGAAAGGGTTCACCATTCTAGGTGCTATTAAAAGCATTCGTGATTAGTGGAGGTTAAAATGTCAACATTAACAGGACTTTGGAAGAAGTCAATTTCAACCCTAATGAATGACTTCGAGGGAGTTCAAGACTTCAGTGGAGGGGGTCACTGCAGATGTGATGGAAATAGCAAGAGAACTACAACTAGAAGTGGAGCCTGAAGATGTGACTGAATTTCTGTAATCTCATGATCAAACTTTAGCAAATGAGTTGTTGTTTCTTATACATGAGCAAAGAAAGCGGTTTCTTGAGACAGAATCTATTGAGATTTCCTTCTTGAGACAGAAGGAAAAGAGAGCTCTTGAGTTCCTTAGAGTGGCAACCACATGCTGTATCTGAAAGTAAGAGAGTGGGGTGGGTAGGGGTGGGTCACATCTACTCAAACACCTCACTGCTCAGGGACCAGGAAGTATAATCCCATTATGTGCTGGGAAAGGGTAAAATTGGAAATATTTGGTGAACTAAATGATTATTAAACATAAATAAATATTTATTAATTGAACTAAGGAAGCAATTTGAGTAAGTTAGAGGTCATCTGAGGAGGCCTTATCTAAGGGAAATAGAGACTAGGGAAGGAATAGGAGATGGAGTGAGGGACTAACCGAGTGTGCCAGGCATGAAAGAGCAGAATGATAGCAGATTTTCAGTCTGGATAATTATAGGAAGGGTGATGTCAATAAAAAGATAAGGTGAGAGGTGCAAGTATGGGTGTGTGCCTATGTGTGTGCTTGTCAGGGTGCAGCTGAGACACCTACATTTGGCCTTATCTTTTGCTTGATAAGATCTACTATCTTAGCTTCAGGCCTTTTGCTCAGTATACTCTGCTTCTCCTTTGTGTTGAGTTACTGGAGATCCAGCTAGAAATCAGAAATGGTCCCTGCTCCGGGTTGGATGGACAGATGCCATGAGTAAGGAACATACGCAGGAATTTTAGGGACATGTAAGGTGCTTTGTGTACATTACCTAATTTAAACTTCAAAATATCTCATGAGTAAAATATGATTATGTTCCTTTTAAAGAAAAAGAATTATTAGACTATCTAGAATCCAGCTCTGCTATGTAATCTAATTTTTATAAATGCTGGTGATAAACCAGGTCTGATATATTATATATGCAAGTTAGTTCACCCCTCTGAACCTTCAGTCTCTCCATTTTAAAAGGTGAATACTCCCTACACTGACGGTCATGGGGACTATGGTGTGGCAAAAGGGCCAGAGAGTCCACCAGCACACTGCCCTGACGTCCTCTCACCCTGCCAGGGCCTATGATCCAGAGAAAGGGGAGAGGGGCACCTAGCCCCACCCCTGGGCCTTGCAGCGAGGTGGTGTCATGCCCCTCAGCCTCCACACACTTGGGGCTGCCCTTGAGCCGCAGCCTACAGATCAATGATTAGACCCTACTCCTGGCCCACACAGCGCACTGACGTCATGCCCTACTGGCTGCTGATGCATGCTGATGCTGACGTCACCCTGTGGGTGTTCTCACCTCCAAGGACCCAGAATCTCGTTTGCTAGAGGGAGAGGCAGGTGCCAAGAGCAGTGGGGCTTGTGTGGAGTCGATGTGACATCAGCCTTAGTGACCAATAGCTCTGGCCAACTTATAGGGCCATGTCTGAACCTTGGGGACACCTTGTCTGATGGTTGCACTCAGATTGCATGCCATAGGGATTGGTTATTTCTACAGAACAATGTAGAGGCTGCCTCTCTGGAGGGGTAATGGAAGAACAACTTGACCTCTAATCTAAACTTTTAAAAAGAGTTGTATACATGTGTTGCCTCTACTCATTTCCCATTCATTCCTCAACCCATTCCAACGTTAAAGATTATTTCTAAAAGGTAAAATCAGAATCTATGCAAATATACAAACATAAAACGAACATGTGTCAATTAACTCATTAATTAATAAAGGAACCAGTTGTCAATCTAAAATAAACAGCAGAGAGACCGACTCTCCAAAACAGAGTTAATTCGAGAATAGCAAGAAATTACCATTTGGGATGCGGGTTCTATGTCAGACCATAGGTGCATCCAAAGAGGTTTGGGTAAGAGCAGGCTTTTAAAAGAAAAAAGAATTACAGGTAACCTGCTTTGAAACAAAGACCATTGGTTACAGGGGCTTGTTGCAGGAGTTGGCATTAGCTTATTGGTGGAGACAGCCATTGTTAGGCAAGTGTCTTGTGCAAGTGGTTTATCTGGAATACTGTGATTTTGAGGAATTTCTTGCAATAATTAGTGCTACAAACTTAGGTGCCTGAGGGCTTCTTCTCCATAGCCTCCTGGCTCCATTTCATTAGATTTGACGTAAGTGACTTCATTTTGACACTGATAACTTCACACAGTCAGACATTATGACTGTCTCAAAGAATCTTAAGAAGTACATAAATAGGCAGTAGTATTCTGGAATGAATTTCCTCCCCCATCCTCTCTCTCATCCAGTGGATAAACAAGATCTTTTGACTCAGCTTCCAAATTGGATTAATCTTTTCTCCAGCTTCACAAACACCATCTTACTCTGAGCGAAATCATCTGTGGCTCTGACTATTGCCCTCCAGTTGGCCTCACCTTCTGCCCCCCAAATCTGTTTGCTAGAGTTTCCAAAGTGATCTTTTTTTAAAAAAAGAAGAAAAAGAACAACAATAAACTAGATCATATTGCTTCCCTTTGTAAAATCTTCCAAGGGCTTCTTTGCTTGGAGATTTAAATCCACACTCTTTGTGCTTGCTTACAAGGAAATACGTGATCTATCTGTGCCGCTTCTCCAATATCATGTACCACTCTGTCTCCCCACAGTGCTCCAGGGCCTTCTGCTTAGAATGCTCTTCCTCCTGAATTTTCCACTGTCATCTCCTTTTCATTTTTAGATCTCAGCTTGAATATTGCCTTCTCAGGCCTTTCCAGACCCTGCATTCTAAACTGGCCACTCAATCATTCTTATTTAAAATGCTAAATATCAATCACTTTGATACAAGATTTGTGTATTGTCCATCTCTCCACCCCCAATTAAAATGAAAGTGCATAAGTTCAGCAAGAAAAGCTCTGACTTACGCTGTTCACCAATGTCTTCTCAGCTAATAGGACGCTTAATTGAGTTCAGCATGTTATCTATTCATGCGTTGGGGTTTTATCACTTAAATTAAGCAGTTACTGTGAATATTCTCGCTGTTCTGATTTTGTAATAATCACGATGGGCTAAACATTCGCAATATTAAGACCATGTATGTATCCCTAGACCTAGTTCTTTCCCCAGGTCTGGTTTTATAAATGCTGGTGATAAACCAGGTCTGATATATTATATGATCATTTTGTGCAATCATATAATGGCTGTGATTCTAGGTTATCTTTGGTCAACCTTAAGAAAAATGACAGTACAGCTAACATAGTAACTTTTGCAAAAAATCAGTGCTAATTTGCAGACTGTTGTCTAAAGAAGGGATAACCAAAGTATAGAAATTTGATGGTACCAGTTGCTATTAAATGAATTGTAAAAATTACTGTATATAAAAATTTAAAAATAAATAAAAAATAAGCAGTTAATCCTCATAACAAAAGGTTTAATTATTTAAAATAAGTACTACCTTAGATGCATTTACAAACTATATTAGATTATTTTATGTGAAAAATACCTTTGATTAAAGAAAAACAGTGTTAAAAATATTTTCTGTGCTTGATTTCCAAAGGATATTATTGAAGATGATATTTTCAAGGATTCTAATAGTTCTTTTTCTCCTTTAATTGCTTAGATCATAATCTAGAAAAATAATTTTAGGTTAATAATCCAATCTAAATTTCCTAGAATGGAACTTAAAAACTCACTATTTAGCAGACATTTTTTGCTCCATCTCTGGCCAATCTCCAGGTTAAATGAGAGAGGATTCTAAATAAGACCTGGTGAAGGTGACATTTGAGTTTGGTCTTTCAGTATGAGTAGAGTGAAAATGGAAGTAGGTGAAAAGCAGAGAAACTGGTACTTTAGGCAAAGGCGTGAATTCAGGTCTTGTTCTGGAGATAGAATATAAATGAGATTAGCTGGAAGGGTTGGTGGGAGCCAAAACATCAAAGGCTGTAAAGCTGAGGAGTTAGGGCCTTACTCAGCATGGGAAGCCAACAGATTTTAGACTGAGTGCCATGTTCCTGTGTTGTTTGTGTTGTTGTAATGGATAAGATTGTGCAACATTAGCTAAGTAATGGACAAAAATAGACCCCACATACTTAATCAAAATCAATAGGGGCCAGGTACTAGTGATTATGGAAAAAAGGAGTTTCCAGTAGACCTTGGAATTACACATTAGAGCTAAAGGACATATAAAAAAGATTTATTCATTTATCTTTCAGTTGTTATTTATAGGGCACCAACCATGAGTCAGGCACTCAGGGAGACCTCCAAGCTATTTTCAGTATGTTGAAAGACCTAAAAGAAAATTGTCTATTTCCTCTCAACAGGCTGAGTAGGGTGATTAAAATTTCTTGTTTATTTGCTTTGGGTTGGAATTTATGGGAATTCACTATGGGAACACTGATAATCTCAGGCTGACCAGAAGCTCTGATAAGATGATAATTGGTATTTGTTTTTTTTTAAAGAGAGAATGAATTGAAATTTAATGTCCTTTGCTAGGTAAAATTATTCAGAATGTGGAAAAGCCGTTGCAGGGAAGGAGAATATTCAGGAGAGAAAAGTAATGAAATTCAGATTCCCACCTTTACACAGTCTCTTTTATATAAAAACCAACCTGTTTCTCCTCCCCTAATTTCCACCTCAGTAATGGCCCCACAATTCTTTCAGCTACAAATCCCAGAAACCCGGGCATTCTTCTCAACTCCTGCCTCCATTTAGTTCTTCTATCAAATCACAAACCAAACTATTGACTCTACCTGTGAAACTTTTCTAGAATCTTACCTTCTTCTTTATTCACACTATTCTGGCCTCTGTTGGTGTTACAGGAGACACTCTTCCTTCACCACACTATGGCTTTTTCCTTTGTTTTGCAGAGTGGGTGGAATTTACAAACTAACTGTTGAGCAAACCAAGGTCTATGTGACCTTGTCCAGAAAGATTAATTATATGTAATGCAACAGGGAATAAAATATGTCACAGTTGTCAAATTCTTCTGAGATGTCCTTCTATGTCCAGAAGCTGTGCTTGCTAGTTATTGAGTTTTTATTAGAAAAGAAGGAGGAATGTGTCCTTCAGTGTCCTGAATGAGCTAGAAAGTTGTGACTGGGTATCATAATCTAAGCTGCCTTAATTGAGATAAGCAAGGAATGATGAGTTGTCACCACAGGCTCACCATTCCTGCCCAAGGAAGTTATAACTATGATCGGATTACATCTCCTCTTGGGCAGTTGGGCCTGGTGTGTGCATGCAGAAGTGAAGGTGATAACTATTGCTTAGCACTATCTTGGATAATTAATAAAAGTAAAGTTAAAAGAAACTTAACAAACCACTTTCAGCTTATTCCATGTTCTGAAACTATTATCTCTTTGCACCTAGGAAAAGCAAAGTAAGACCTAGCCTAGCGAGGTACAAATTGTAATCGCTTACCCAGCAGCCATTTTTCCTCTTTTCTTATCACATTTGACACATACATATACTTTAAAAAATTGTTATTTATTTTAAATTCAACTGGCAATCCTGTATGTTTTTGGCAACCCTAATATTCATGAACTCAATAGTCACACTCCTTGGTAGCATATACTTATACAAATATGTCCAGATTGGCAAAAAAATAATTTTTACATTGATAATTTTTCCTCTGTCTAGGATTCCTCTTCTCATAGTTTCAAACGAGTAATAAAAAGCCATATCAGCAGTATCAAATTGTTTTTTAAACAAATATAAATGATATACTGTGAACAAAGAATTAAGTATCCTGACTTAACAGTCAGAAAAATTTGTGCTAGACTGTGAAATGGCAAAAAAAGTTTACTGAGTCTTTTGTCTTATGCATCCTTGTGGGGTATCTCCTCCTTCAATTTTATTTGAGCTACGTACAACTTTGTAGATGACAGAGTCTGCAGTTGACTCTTGTCCATAATGTGCATATGAATTCTGTCCAGTGAAGGGACAACTGATTTCGTTCCATGCCCTGTGGAAAAAGCCAGTTTTGCATCTATTTGTAAATTCGTTTCAGCATTCCTTCACTCTCTCTTTGAATTCACCTTTGAACCAGTTATATCTTTTACATGTTCTCTCGTTAATTAATAAATAAAACCTTTGACACATGTCCATTTTAACATTTTTACGAGAATCACGATTTTACCTTTAAAATATATATATATATATTTTAGCAATGCCTTTCGAATGATAAGTCAGT
Organism: Homo sapiens; assembly: GCF_000001405.40. Lineage (NCBI taxonomy): Eukaryota > Metazoa > Chordata > Mammalia > Primates > Hominidae > Homo > Homo sapiens. The sequence goes on from NC_000003.12 coordinate 160,700,096, forward strand.
TCACTGATAGTTGATAAGTTAGTGCTAGGATATATTTTCAATCATCTCAGGAGGCTTTTTATGTTTTTCTTAAAGCAATTCCAAAACAAATTATTTCTTACACATATTTTTGGTAACATTTTTGCTAAGGAGAAATAAAGTGTAATGACTTACAAGATAAAATTTGAGGCACTGTTGTCATAGGGAAACTTAGCAAAGCAACTGGAAGATAAGATTGAGGTAGAGGAAGAGAAAGAGAATAATAATGACTTTTTTAAGTAAAGTAAACAAATGAACAAACAAAGAAAACCCAAAGCCCTTGTGCCAAATCCTTACAGAGAGATGGATAATGCCTTAATATCTGGACCAATTAATGGCCTTACTCTTAAGCAGTTTTTACCCAATATGAGGACCAATTCTTGGGGGGAAGGAAGAAGGATGGAAATGGAGACGAAAGCCTCCAACACTTCCCCTTAGAGGTCAATACGCCCTTTCTGTTCAGTCTACCCACTTCCAGATATTCCCTCTTCAAAAGTACCCCATTCCCCTGCCATGAGCCCTGTCCTTTCGATGCCTTACTCGCATGTAGGGACTGTATGGAGAGATAATATGAGGAATATTCTAAGAAAAGCAAAGAGAGGGAACAAGGCTTTTGGTGGTGAGTTGTTCTGGGCTGGATCCTTTAGGAAGTGAGGAGCTGGAAGAAGAGGAATAACCACATGGGCATCTGGTATGGTAGATGTTTGGATCTCTCTGAATACTTAGAAAAACTTTAGCAGGTTCCCAAGTGATGGCCCTTCAAGACTACACAGCAACAATTTTTCTCCCTACCTGCATACCCCAAGCTCCCCAGCTGCCCTATTAGGAGCCTTCAAGAGCAGTATCAGGGGATAGAAGGTAAACACTATGCAAAGGTCCTGAGCCTCAGTGTGGAGAGGGTGCTGGGGGCAAGTGGGGGTAGTGTGGGTACAGACTTATGATCTGACACCAGCAACAGCAGGCTCCTCGCTCCAAACTGAGGTTCACACTTGGTGAGGGCAGGGGCATTCCCCACCTCCTGGGCTACCCTAGTAACTCTCAGAGCCCTGAAACTCCCTGGCCCCTATATCTCCAATCTCCAGTGAAAGTTGTAGGTTCCAGAAGTACCTCTGGCCCTAAATGACTTTTTCATTCCTGCTGTCTTTTGTTTGTTTGTTTGTTTCCAGATGAAAATAACTGTTGGCTAGGCACAGTGGCTCATGCTTGTAATCCTAGCTCTTTGAGGGGGCAAGGCAGGAGGATCACTTGAGCCCAGGAATTTGAGACCACCCTGGGCAAAATAGTGCGACCTTGTCACTATTATTACCAAAAAATTAGTTGGGCGTGGAGTATCGCTCAAGCCCAGACTTCAGTGAGCTGTGATTGTGCCACTACACTCCAGCCTGGGCAGCAGAGTGAGATCCTGCCTCAAAAACAGATGTATTAACTTTTACTTATTAATACTTTATTATATATTGCAATATATCTATTTCTATATCTATAATCTCCAATTCTCAAAACAAAATGTGCAAGGCAGCTATTATTAGAAATGGTCCTGGACAGTATACACAGCTCATTAGAGGGAGGGTGGCTGCATTATACAGAGCCCCAGGAGGCACAGAAGTGTCTGCTGCAAAGCTTTCGCTCTTCCCAGTGCCCCCTTGCCCCTAACTGTACCCTCTAAATGGGTTCTATTCCAGTATCCAGCAAAGGCTTCTATAGGAAGAGACACTGTCTTTGCCTGCCACATCTAAATGACCTTCCTGAGTCCTGGCCTAGGAGAAGGCAAAGTTTCAGACTTGTGCCAGGAAAATATTAAACCACAGTCTTGATGAATGTGGCCATAGCTGGCTTGTTTATTAATTACAATCTATTTTCTCACCAGTTAGTTTAGTGCAGGGACCACGTATAGTCAAGCCCTAGCAAAATGCTTGGCACAGAGAAGACATTTAGTAACTGTTTGTTAGGGAAAATGAATGCATTGCATGCGATCGTTTATTTTGTTCACATTAGAAAACAAAAGCATGCAATTCTCCTTTAGCATTAATAAGTATTGGATTATTAATGATGGAACAAGTTGGAATGATGGAACAGCAGAATGTTATTAAAGGCCAATATAATGAATTCCCTACATCCTCTAACAGATTCAGATACATATAGGTAGATTCCTTAGTACAATCATAAAATCTTGCAAGGTGGGAATGAACACAGATTACAATTATTTTAAAAATTATATAGTAGTACATGCTCACAGTAAAAATTCATACTACACAGATGTATAGCAAAAGTAAGAGTCTCCTTCTACATCCCCCCCTCCAATCCTATTTCCCTCTCTGGAAAAAAGTGCTGTTAATGACTCAGGATGTATCCATCAAATCTTTTGTGCATTTATAAATATGTATAGTGATTCTGCATAAGTAGGATTATGATCTACATATTGCTCATGAGTTGATGTTTCATTAATCACCTTTCCACTTCAGTGTAGTTAAATTTGCTGGTTGCACAGTGTGGCTATCCCGTAAATTATTTAATTATTCCCTTACTGGTGGATTTTCAGGTACTTCCAATATTTCATTCTCAGAACAATTGCTGTGATAAGCATTTATATGTTAGTATGTGTGCATTTCTCACATTTGCTTATATTTTTGTAGAATAGATCTCTAGAAATGACATCATTGGGTCAAATGACACGGGCACATAAAATTTTGACAGACACTACCAAATGGGTCTCCAAAAATGTTATATCTCCAAAAATCATGTGTCATGATTGGTGATACATGATTGATGATTGATATAGACAACTGACATGTTCATCAACTGTATTTGACAGTCCCTTGCCTGCATTCTTACCAATACTGAATATTAGCAATATTTTTCATTTTTCCCCATTTTAAGTGTGAAAAAAATTATATCTCATTGTTATTTTACTTTTTGTTTTCCTGAATACCAGTGAGGGTGGGCATCTTTTTGAAAACTTCCTGGTCATTCATCTTTCACCATATGTAAATTACTTGTGCGTGTCCTCAGGAGGTAGAGATCTCTATCCTCTTGTGCAACCAACAGGGCTAAGACTGGAGCTGAGTATGAGAGCATGTGTAAATTTTTTGGGATTGTTTGCCTGACACCCATCCACTCTGGCTTCCAAAACCTGGAAGGTTTGGCTTAGCGATACTTCACATGACTGTCAAGAGTGCTTTAGTCAACAAATCCAGGCTGGGGAAAAGAAAGGACCTGCAAATTGAATTACTGCATACCTGAAAGCAATAAGGATTCCCATCACTGGAGGTAAGCAGGGTAGCACTAACATTTGATGCATTACTAAGGTTTTAATATAAGATTAATTGGGATTGGGTAAAGATAGAGGGTAAGGTATTGAGACCAAACCCCTGTTTCTCTAAATCAGTATAGGGTCCTCATTAATCTTTAGGATTGTACAGTGGGATGATCTCTTACAACCAAATGGAAGGCCTTGGAAAAAGAAAATGATAGGTTTGTTAGTTAACTGCCAACCCAAGGAATGCTTTGAAAGCCAGAAAGTTTCTATGGCAGCTCATCTCCTGCAGACTGTGCTGAAAATCAGCTCAGATCTGATTATTAAGTGGCAGTACTGCAAAGGAGACTAGATAGATGCATGGCCTCAGCAAAACTCCTACATCAGAATCAGGGCCCTGATCGGGGAAAAAAGTGACCCTGAGACTGGGTATAAGGAAAATATTGGTGGATGATTCTGAGATGCTTAAATTTCAGATTTCCCTGAGCCATATTACCTGTCAGAAACAGTTCTTTCCCCTGAAGAAAAGTCTTCCCTTGTCTGAAGAGTGTACCATGGCTTTACATGAAGCATGTGCCTCACAAGATGACACAGATTCTCCTCAACGATTCCCCTCAAGAATATTCCCCCTTCCCCTGCCCCTTATTTTACAGACTTATAACCAGAGTCAACTCAAAGCCCAGCCTTAGAAGTGAAATACAAGCCCTATTATTGGAATAAATGGCTTACATACCAAAGGAATTACAGAACCTTGCTAATATGCACAGAAAAAAATAAGGTAAAATATATTATCTCAAAGATGTTTTTTCAGTGGGAAAAGTGTACAACAGGCTGGAGAAAGGAAATTCATTGACATACGAATACTCACTCATGACTCAGGACTTAACGCCTGGGAGGGACCCTGGAATAATTAGTTCTAGGAATTTTCTGTGATGGCTTGTTGAACTCTGGACATGATGAAGGATGACAGTAAATGAAGTGGAGCTTCCAGAATTTCCTTGGCATGGTATTAAATTGGTTCTTGGTATAGGAAATATTAGAATGGATTTATTATGTAAGGTCTAAGAACTCAAAATCTGTGTTCTCCAAATGGGCCAACCACTCTCTGTACTGAGGTAATAAGGAATGCACTGATGAGAAGCCCCTAGTATTTATTGGAAAAGCTTGGTAATAGCTATTTTCTGCAGGCTGAATTGTCCCTGTTTCCTGCAGAGAGTGAGAGAAGCTTTCATGAAATGGGGTTCCCTGATGTCAGTGGGGATTTTGGGATTCCAGAATGGCAGCAGCTAGAAGACAGCACTTAAGCATCGAAGGCAAAATGGTGTAGTGTCTGCAGCAAAGCCAGAGTAGCAATCAAGGTGCCTCCATTTACAGTACCTACGGCAATGGATGAAAGATAGCATGCATCTAGGTGTGAAATAGATGAGCACTCAACCAAGATTTTGCTTGATTTTTTGGCATTAGCTTTATTATTTTTGTTAAAATGACACCTACAAATTGTAAGAAATCCTATGTATATAGAAAATTCCCCCAAAAAGTAATATTCTCACCAGAGAATACCACCTTTACCATTTTGGTGACCATTCATCCAGATATCTGTCTGTGCTTGTGTTCATAGTTTTCTATGCATGAGATCTGGTTGTATGTGCTGTTTCTTTAACCTGCTTCATTAACTCAGTTTTCTGTAGGCATCCTTCCTTATCAATGACAATAGTCAAGAATTTTGACTATATAAGGACAGTATGACATTATTTTATGAGCCTAGCTAGACATTGGGCCAGATTGTCTCAGTTCAAATGCCAGGTTCACCAATTTCTAGCTTTGTGAAAATAAATTGAATTCCCTGCACCTCAGTTTCCTTACCTCTAAAATGGGTATAATAGCCATACATAGTGACTTAAGACTCTTGTGAAGATTAAAGGAGAGAGAATACATTGATCAATGCCTGACAGGTGTCACCTATTATTAGCCATTGCTTTACAGTCTCCTAGTAGTAGAAATTTAAGTTGTCTTTTTAAAAAAATTTAGATAAACAATGTTTCAGTGAACATCCCTGCCCCTACATCTTCTTATATTTGTGATTATTTCCCTAAGAAAATCCCCAGAAATGAGTTCTCCAAAGGAAAAGTCATGATCCATTTTCCTGAATGATCTCTTTTATATTTTTCAGAATTTAAAGTTTCTAGCATGTGAATTGTGTCCTCCTGGACTACACATGTAAATACAGATGTGTCCTATTATCTCTTTTTTATTATTAAATAGGAATTTGAGCTTGGGGAGAGGTAAACTAGAAAACAAGGGCTCATATTGACATGTGGTGTTTCGTGATTTTTAAATTGCTTCTAATTCCGTCGTCTGCACGTTTTGGCATGAATACAGAAGCACTGAATCTTGACCAGGCCATCATGTTTAGAACAAGTGAGTGAGATCAGTGACCTTGTGCTAATGACCATGATCCCTTGGAAAGTGTTTTCTGTAACATGATCAAGTAGCTTAATGGATGATATCTGAGTCTTGAGAAAAAATATTTCATTGATTCATTCCACTTTGGCACCCAGATGTAGCATTTAGATGCTTCCCAGTTCTCCCATCCATGACAATTGATCCTCATGGCAGTATTTGCCGGCTGGGTTCCTGTTCCACGGCGCCTTTCTCTGAGCCTGTGAACTATTGTTAATTTCCCTCTAGAGAAAGGAAGCTTCATTCCTTCCACTCCCTATATTCCATCTCTATGTTCTGCTCCTCTATAGAAAGCTCTACCATGACTCTCTGTCCTTCTCTTTAAAATTTAACTTAGTCTTTTCCCAAAACATTTTTCCTAAGTTAACTTCTCAGCGCCTCTCTGGACTAGATTTTCACGTAACAGCTCTGTTTTAGGGAGAAGCTCATCCATTCCTTTTCTTTGCATGTGGTGCCTGGGAGGCGGTAAAGTCAGGCATTGAAATTGATTAAAACTGGTCTTAAATCACATTTTTATGAATTCATTCTTCATTCATGCTTCCATTCAGTTTTTTACATGGGTGTCATTCATTTGCTTAGTTATTATGCAATTATTCATGCATGAAATAGATATATGTTATATGTGCCTGCATTCTGTTTTCATACATTCATCTCCATACCCATTCATTCATTCATGCTTTAATTCACCCAGTTATTTAACTCAACCATTCATACCCCATTCTCCATGACGTGCTTATTTCACATTGCATGCCTATATCAAAACATCTCATATACTCCATAAATATATACACTTACTATGTATCCACAAAAATATAAAATAAGAATTAAAAAGGCATTAAAAATAATTCAATCATTTATTTACATAGAATACATGTATTCAATTATTTATTCATTTGTTTCTTCCATATCAGTCAGGAAGCAAGAAACCAATGGCACACTCAAATTTAGATGATTTGAACGGATTATTTACAAAGGCATGAGCAGAATATAAGACCACAAGGATTAGTGTAGCACCCTATGGCCAGCATCAGCTGGGCACTATTACCACCTCTGGGTCTGAAAAAACAAGGGAAGGGATAACCTGAGGCCTCATATTGAGGGATGCAGTAGGCCCCTGATGGCGTACATGGGAGGGAATCTGGGCATAAATATTATGATCTAATGCTCCTTCCTCTCTTGCTCATGCCTTCTCACCCCCAATATTGTCCGAATGGAACTGGAAGTCATTGTGCAAGAGAGAGATAGAGGTGGTTCACATTGATTAGCCTTCTGGGGCACAGAGCAGGAGAAATGGGGGTGGAAAGAGGATCTGGAGAAGCAGAGGAAAGATATTCACACACCCTCTGAGGTGCTGAGGCTGGGCAGCACTGTGCCTTTCTTTGTCTTTCCTACTAGTGGGAAAGAAACAGCAGAAATAGGCAAGAAAATCCTGTCCAGGAAACTATTGTCATGCCGGAAAGCCACATAGAATGGAAAGAGCCTGGCTATTCATGAGTCTTTGGATTATGCCCCTTTGGGAAAATCTTTTGGGTTCCTCTACTACCTCCAACCAAGAAGGGCACTCTCTTCTGTGACAATATTTTAACAACATATTGTGTCTGGATGACTGCACTACATACCATGAGGACACAGACTGTGTCTTACTTGTCTTTTGTCCCCAGAGCCTAGCCAGGGCCTGGCACACAGTAAATGTGGCATGAAAGGATGAATGGATGCATGAATGCTTGAATGAAAGGATGCCGAGTTTAGGGAGGTAATAGACTCTTGACTTTCTTTCACAAACCCACAAGGTGGCAGCAATTACCATGGTCCAGTTTCTATGTGTAGCATTCAGAGATGCATCTTCATCAAAGGTCTTATGAATAGGATACGTATATTTTTTAAATTATTATATCAAGAACGGAATAATGCACTGGGGGAAAGATAGGAAAAAATTAAATATTTACTATCATGAATATGTAGATATATAATAGATATGACACTATAAATTTTACTTTAAAAGGGTTAATACCTGGGTGATGGGGTGATCTGTGTAGCAAACCACCATGGCGCATTTACCTATGTAACAAACCTGCACATCCTGCACATGTACCCTGAGATTAAAATAGAAGTTGATAAAAAAAAGAAAGCAGGATTTCAAGATTTGCACACCCATGTTCAGAGCAGTATTATTTGAAATAGCCAAGAGGTGGAAGCAATCCAAATGTCCTTCGATGGATGACTGAATAAACAAAGTGTTATGTATGAAAAAAAAAGCATTTAGAAAACATGTGTTACTAAATTTGCAAAAGAAGTAAAATTTTCCCTCTGTGAAAATGTTAGCTACATGAATTATATTTGCCTATGTTATCTGTATAGTGTCTGTGTTATCTGCTTACCCAAAAATCACTTGCTGAGCTCTTCCTGTACACGTGGTCCTGTTTCTGGACTTCAAAGTTAAAAAATTTCACAGGTTCTGGTTTCTCAAGGAGCCTGCTTCTTTCCCCTCTTCTCTCCAGCCACTTCAGTCTTTGCAGAGACCATACATTGTGTTTCTTATACCGGGCTGTAAATTCTTGAATTCTTCACTGTTTCAGGTCATATTAACTTCTGAAAAAGGGCGTCACGTTTTTTAAAAAGTTACTAAATTTTCTTTACAAGCTCAGGGATGATGGTGTCCCAGTGAAGTCAACAGTACCTTAGCTTCATTGAAAGTACTTAAAGTTCCTGTGTGTCTTAGAAATCAAGAGTATCATTTCTTCATTAAAAAAAAATTTTGTTTTAACTTGCAGAAATCTTGCTTGGATTTTTATTACTTTTGCACTGTAGCAAAGATTGCCAAAACTTATCTTCAAAGTTATCAGCAATTCTGGATTTAGCATAAATTTTACCTTCTAACTTTAAACAAAGCTATTGTTTTGTCCAAGAGATTAAGAAAAAGAATGCTAAGTAAAAGGAGACTCTCTTTTTTTATGAACAAGAGGTCACTAAAGAAGATCAATAAGAAGCTACAAGGGTGATTGGCTGGACCATGAGTGAATTCTTGAGTTAAAATGTATGTCTTAATAACAGATAAGAATAAGAAAGACAAGAATAGGAAGAGAATAAAGAAACAAAACAAGGCACACAACACAACTGCGTCAGTGTACATTGGCTTCTTGGCAGTGGATCAAGTCTCTCAGAGGTTGCTTCTCCCAAATCTCTCAGGTTTTTTTCAGCTGCTAAAGGAGAACTCACACTCATTCAATACCTGCTGAACCCCAGGAACCAAATCAATCTTTTAAATATTTTACCACTTAAGCTTTACAATAGCTCTGTGTCAAAGTACAATTTTCAAAAAGTTAAAAACATGACTCTCATACAAAAATTGAATGAACATGTCAAAAATATACTCAACTCATTGATGAATGAAGGAACTAGTAAACTGGCAAAGTTGGCACCCAAGGGCATTTGAGGAACAGGTGCTTATGTAGTATATCAGGAAAGGAATTTAAAAAAAAAACCCAAGAGACTGTTAAAGTCCTACAGATAGTAAAACTATAACCTTTAGTATTATTTTTTCCTACCGGACAGAAGTCTACAAATCAACGTGTAACTTCATAATGGGGCTCTGATCCGGTAGCAAATAGCAAAGTCAAACAAAGTTTCATTCTCCTTGGAATCAAACAATCCTTGAGCAGACCTGTTAAATAATGACCCAGCATGATGCTAAAACACAAAGTCATCCTTTTTGTTTCTTTTAATTTCTTGTTCTACCTCCAGCTTTTTGTCTCTAAGCTTAGAGCTCTGGGGGGTCCGGGGCTGGCTATGTCTGTCTTTTTCACCACTGTGAAAAACATGCAAACATGTAATGTGCAGTGACAAGCAGTACACAAATATTTGTTTAGCTGAATTGAATTGAGTTGTAGAAAGGTTAGTAACTTGCATAAAATCCAACAGTAGGAAAGTGGCCGATCCCCTGAGACTTCTTATAATCTCACAGTAGGTAGGTATATTAGTTTCCTAGGGCTGCTGTAATGAATTATTCACAAACCAGGTACCTAAAAACAACAGAAATTCATTCCTTCACAGCTCCAGAGGATGAGAGTCTGAAATCAAGGTATTGGAAGGGCCGTGATCCCTCTGAAGTTTCTAAAGAAGAATCTTTCCTTGCCTCTTCTAGTTTCAGGAATGCTAAGGTTGCCTACAATCCTTGGTATTTGTAGCTTGTAGCTGCATCACTCCACTTTCTGCCTCAGTCTTTGCATGGCTGTCTTCCCTCTATGTGTGTGTATGTCTCTGCAAAGACCCTATTTCCAAATAAGGTCACATTCACAGTACTGGAGGTTAGAACTTGAACATATCTTTATGAGGGACACAACTCAACAGGAGGCTTTAGAGACAGAAGGTCTTGGGCTTGAAGTCCTTTAGACTATTTAGTCAGATGAGGATCTCTCAGCCTTGTCTGCACGCTTTCTGCTTCCCCAGGTACTGAGGAAAACTCCTGTTCTTAGCCAAATAAAATTCCAGGAGCCCCATGCATTTATCATGGTTATTTTGCATCATGACCTTTTGATCTTATAGTTCTAGTTCTAGTAACAAATCCCTTTCATTTCTCTGAAACAAAATCCTTGCCTTTTGCCCAGGTTTTAGTAAGTGGATCTTTATCTTTTCCCTGCCATGTCTGAGATTTTGGTACCTGCGCAGGAGGCCAGTTTTCCTGGGTCCTGGTCCATGCCCTGCTCTCGCCAGGGTACCTGGGTGCCATCAGTGCCAGCTGAGCAACATGAGTTACTGGAAAACAGGGAGAGAGCAGATGCTCCCTCTGACTGGAAAAGAGAAAACTGGCTTGGGTGGTCTTCTCCCTTTTGCAGTTGGCCTGGAATTCACAAGGTGTGGTCAACAGATTTCTAAGCCAGGTGGCTGGCAGGGATCCCATCAAGATCCCAGGAAGCCTTTTGGGTCCCAAAGATCCCAGAGAGGGCTTTTGGAGCTTGGGGGAAGCAGCAGCTCTCAGCACTTGGTGGTTGTAGAGAACATTAGTCTTACAGTTTTTCATTAAAAAAACCTTCCAAATTAATTTTGAAAAACTATGAGTCATGTCACACATTTTTAAGTTAGCATCTAAAGTTTTTCATCTTAAATTTAAATAATTATAAAATATAATTTTTGACATTTCATAATTTATTAACATTCTAAAATAAAACTGTTCCATCACTCTTTTAAAAGTGTCCAGTGAAATCTAAATACTATTATGATTATATCCCCTATGACATCTTTATATATTCATGAACAAGTTTTTTTAAAATGGTAGAATTTGTTGTGTATTTCTTTATTCCTCTTTGAGCTCATATTTCGTTTTGATTCTTCCACAAAATTTAACCCTCATGTAATACACGTTTAAGCATGAAAGCATCTTATGTAATCTGTCCTACTTCTCTGTGAAAAAAGTTTAGAAAATCAAATTTTAAAACTGTCTTCTTCACAGTAACCTAAGGTTCTGAGGGTTAACAAATATTTGTTTGGGTTGAGTTACTATAACCATTATTAGTACATAATCAAAATAACATAAAGATAATAAATTTTGATAAATAGTAAATATAAAATGTAAATTTTTATTGAAAATTCAATTCTTACTGAAATGACTGGCTTTTCCCTCCCCCCAATTGGTTTTTGTATCTGTAAATGATGATTACTTATTGATGGAATGAAGTAGAGTTTTATGTTAATTCTATTACTCTTTTTCATTTTTATAGATAAAAGTGCTAAAACGGCTGGGCGCAGTGGCTCACGCCTGTAATCCCAGCACTTTGGGAGGCTGAGGAGAGCAGATCACTTGAGGTCGGGAGTTTGAGACCAGGCTGACCAACACGGAGAAACCCTGTCTCTATAAAAATACACAATTAGCCAGGTATGGTGGCACATGCCTGTAATCCCAGCTACTCGGGAGGCTGAGGCAGGAGAATAACTTGAACCTGGGAAGTGGAGGTTGCAGTGAGCCAAGATTGTGCCATTGCACTCCAGCCTGGGCAACGAGAGCAAAACTCTATCTCAAAAAAAAAAACTGCTAAAAATTATTAATCATATAAATAAATAGCAAAAATGGAAAGAGTTATGTAATAATGATGCAGTTTAATCTTTTGAGCTCTTTCTGAATTATATACCCAAAATAATGATAAATAATTATTTAAACTCATTTATTATCTGGCAATTTAGCAAGGTTCTTCTTCAAATTAATGAAAAAAATGAACTGGAAGCCACATGGCTTGGAAAATGATTTGTTGCCCACTCATCACAAGACGCTGACTTTCTCAAATTTCTAGGAAACATAACAAAAAGGCTTTACCAAGACTTAACAAATTATTATTAGTTATACTTATTGCTCTCTTGCTTTGAGATATCTTGATGAACTCAATACACCCAACGAGGACTTGGAAAATTGAAATATTGTTTATTTCCTGCGCCTTTGCCAAGGCAGTATATTTTATAAACTGCTTTTATCTTATTACATTACTTAAACATATTGTCATCTAAATCCTAGAGCTGAATATTTTCTTCATTCAGGTAGTGGAGGGGGCTACCTGGCAAACCAGTCATCTTTGTTAGTCCCATCAGCCCTAATCATGCTCAGTATCCATCAGAAAAACTCTGGCCTCATTTTTCAATTTAAATACATGTGTTATGCATTTCAAAGAAAGTATAAAAACTACTCAAAAAAGGTTAGAGAACACGTTTTATAAGATAGATTAGTAAAAGCAGTCAAGATTTGAATGATGTAATGTAATTTAACATAATTAATTCATCAATGTTTTAACAAGCTATAAAAAGGTAATAAATCAACACCAAAAGCAATGGCAACGAAAGCCAAAATTGACAAATGGGATCTAATTAAACAAAAGAGCTTTTGCACAGCTAAAGAAACTATCATAAGAGTGAACAGGCAACCTACAGAATGGGAGAAAATTTTTGCAATCTACCCATCTGACAAAGGGCTAATATCCAGAATCTACAAAGAACTTAAACAAACTTACAAGAAAAAACCAACCCCATCAAAAAGTGGGCGAAGGATATGAACAGACACTTCTCAAAAGAAGACATTTATGCAGCCAGCAAACATATGAAAAGAAGCTCATCATCACTGATCATTAGAGAAACGCAAATCAAAACCACAATGAGATACCATCTCATACCAGTTAGAATGGTGATCATTAAAAAAATCAGGAAACAACAGATGCTGAAGAGGATGTGGAGAAATAGGAACGCCCTTACACTGTTAGTGGGAGTGTAAATTAGTTCAACCATTGTGGAAGACAGTGTGGCAATTCCTCAAGGATCTAGAACCAGAAATACCATTTGACCCAGCAATCCCATTACTGGGTATATACCCAAAGGATTATAAATCATTCTACTATAAAGACACATGCACACGTATGTTTATTGGAGCACTGTTCACAATAGCAAAGACTTGGAACCAACACAAATGCTTATCAATGATAGACTGGATAAAGAAAATGTGGCCCATATACACCATGGAATACTATGCAGCCGTAAAAAAGGATGAGTTCTTGTCCTTTGCAGGGACATGGGTGAAGCTGGAAACCATCATTCTCAGCATACTAACACAGGAACAGAAAACCAAACACCTCATGTTCGCACTCATAAGTGGGAGGTGAACAATGAGAGCACATGGACACAGGGAAGGGAACATCACATACTGGGGCCTCTCAGGGTGTGGGGGGCTAGGGAAGGGATAGCATTAGGAGAAATACCTAATGTAGATGGGGGGCTGAAGGGTGCAGCAAACCACCATGGCACGTGTATACCTATGTAACAAACCTGCACATTCTGCACAGGTATCCCATAACTGAAAGTATTAAAAAAAGTAATAAATCAAAATACTATTTTTCATTACTTAATTTACAATGATGCAGTATAATTTGTAGCTTAAAATATTACTTACTTATGAGAAAGAAAGTATGATAGAAAGTATGTCCAGATGCTATGTTCAGCCTTTGGGATTAACTAAGTAAGGATCATATATAAAATTAGAATTACTCCATTAATTATTTTAGACATTATGATCGAGGTTTTCAGAAATCCATACATTTAAAGAAAAAGAAATATAAACAGCACTATAAAAATAATCAGTTCTCCAGCTAACGTGTGTGTGTGTGTGTGTGTGTGTGTGTGTGTGTGTGTGTATATTTTTTTTTAAATGGAGTTTCTCTCTTGTTGCCCAGACTGGAGTGCAATGGTGTGATCTCGGCTAACTGCAACCTCTGCCTCCCAGGTTCAAGCAATTCTTCTGCCTCAGCCTCCTGAGTAGCTGGGATTATAGGCATGCACAACCATGCCCAGCTAATTTTGTATTTTTAGTGGAGACAGGGTTTCTCCGTGTTGGTCAGGGTGGTCTCAAACTCCCAACCTCAGGTGATCCGCCTGCCTCGGCCTCCCAAAGTGCTGGGATTACAGGCGTGAGCCACTGCACTCGGCCTCATATATGTGTTTTTAAGAAGAGATAGAAAATACTAAACATTTAATAAGATGAAATAAGATAAGGATTATAATTGCAGTAAGTATTTTATTGTATGATTAGCTAAAAGTAAATTATGACTCCATATTGAGCCCTATACACCAATTCTTTAAAAGCTTTGTAAAGTTTTATAAATAATTTTTATTCACTAAATCTTGAAAAACTTGGTAGCTCAAGAAAATATCTCAGTTACATTAAGAGTCAGTTACTAATTGTGGTAGACAGTGTCTGAGGTGACTCCACAGGATCCTTGCCACCTGAGGTCCACGCCTTGTGCAATTCCTTCTCTTGGGTTCTAATTAGTAGAATACAGCAAAGGTGATGGGAAGTGATTCTGGGATTACTTGATGTTACAGAAGACTCTATCTTGCTAGGAAACTCACTGTCTTGCTAGAGCCTCTCCCTGCTGGCTTGTAGAAGTAATTGGCCACATTGAGGAAGCGCACATATGAGGCAAGGAACTACTGGTGGCCTCTAGGATCTGATCCTGGTCCCACCTAGCAGACAGACAGCAAGCAGCCAAGGCCCTCAGCCTTAAAACTGCCAGGAAATAAATTCTGTCAATAACCTGAGTGAGATTGGAAGTGGATCTTTCTCCAGTCAAATTTCCAGATGAGAATGCAGCCCAACTAAGACTTTGATTGCAATCTTGTGAGACCCTAAGCAGAAGACTCAGCTAAACTGTAGCTCCTGACCCATAGAAACTGAAATAATAAATGTTTGTTATTTTAAGCTGCTAAGTTTGTAGTAATTTGTTGTGTAGCAATAGGTAAGTAATATACTAACCTATTCAGCTTTGGCATTTTTGAAGTGCTTTTATTTGCAAATAATTACAAATCCCAGAAACAAATATTAACAATGGCTGAAAATAATTGCTTAAGTATGTGAGAAGGGGCTTTTTTGAAAAAAGCACTTAATATATCTCATTGACTCTGTTTTGTTTTTGCGGCACTCTTCCAGTGTAATGCCTTTTGTAGGGGGGATCAGCAGACAGAAGACAGAAGAGGCAAAGTTTGTAAATGAGAATTTTCATTACTCTCACTACTCAACTACTACATAGCACAATCCCTAGGTCAAAATGCTCTGCTTGGCCGGGCGCGGTGGCTCAGGCCTGTAATCTCAGCACTTTGGGAGGCTGAGGCGGGTGGATCACCTGAGGTCAGGAGTTCAAGACCAGCCTGGACAAAATGGAGAAACCCCATCTCTACAAAAACACAAAAATGAGCTGGGCATGATTGCAGGTGCATGTAATCCCAGTTATGCGGGAGGCTGAGGTGGGAGAATTGCTTGAACAATTCTCTGCGAGGCAGAGGTTGCAGTGAGCCGTGATTGCACCATTGCACTCCAGCTTGGGCAACAACAGAAAGAGACTTTGTCTTGAAAAAAAAAAAAAGAAAGAAAGCTCTGCTTATAATACAGCTTTACTCTGACTCGAAATGAATATAGAACAGGGAAAGACAAGAAGCTCTAAGGGTTTATTATGTCTTGATTAGTCATTAAAGGGGTCTACCTCTTTGTTTGGTTCCTTGGAGGATTTTATACTTAGAAATGCTCCATTCAAAGACTTGGGATGGGTGAGACATGTGCCTTTATTTTAAAAGGTAGAATAATGGCTAATGTGAACACAGGCATAATCTGTGGCACACTGGTTTTGAGAAGGAGTTCCTCTGGAAGATAAGGATCTGAAAATTGATTCCCTTTACAGTCTCCCTGCTGACATACCCTTTGGTCTAGATGATTAATCAGAGACATCTTTAAGATTTAGGGGTGCTGAAGCTTAGAGCCAGGCTTTTGTTCTCATGGGAAGGACAAAATTAAGGGAGAAAAAGCTTGACTCTCTTGAAGCTTATAGCCTGGTGGAGGAGTACATGAAATAAAATAAGTTACACAGTGTGTTAGGATATGATAAGTGTTTTAGAAGAAAGTAAAGCAATGGGATGGAGGCGATGAGAAGACTGCAACTTAAAGAGTTTGTCAGGAAAGTCCTCACTGAGCAGGTTACATTTGAGTGAAGATTTGAAGGAGGTGAGCGGAGGAGCTATGTTAATATCTAGGGGAAGAATTTCATACAAAGTTAAGTAAAAATGAACTTTTCATCCAGTAACACTATGTACTGGAAAACAATAAATAGAAATGGAATGGATAACAGCAGTGGGCAGGTAACAGAGTATGCTTCACTAGAAAGGCAGGGGCTGGAATAGCCAGGAGCCCAGGAACAAAAGTGAGAATGCTCAAGGAAAAGTAAGAAAGGTTTCATATTATGTTAATTGGTATACATCAACAAATTAAAGGAAAAAATTAAATAATCGTCACTCTGGATGAAAAAATAAATCTTATAAAATTAAATATTAATTCCAGACTCAAACTTTTAGTAAACTAGGAGAAGACAACTACCTTAATATCATCAAATTTTTGTACCAGAAATGAACAACATACATTGTACTTAAGATTGAAATATAAGATTAAAGCTATTTCTGTTAAATTTACAAATAAGACAGGAATAGCTATTATCTTTGCAATTTTTAAAATCTTCTTGAGGCTGGGCGTGGTGGCTCACGCCTGTAATCCCAATACTTTGGGAGGCTGAGGCGGGCAGATCATGAGGTCAGGAGATTGAGACCATCCTGGCCAACATGGTGAAACCCCATCTCTATTAAAAATACAAAAAAAATTAGCTGGGTATGGTGGCACAGGCCTATAGTCCCAGCTACTCGGGAGGCTGAGGCAGGAGAATCACTTGAACCCAGGAGGTGGAGGTTGCAGTGAGCCAAGACCGTGCCACTGCACTACAGCCTAGCGACAGAGTGAGACTCCGTCTAAAAAAAAAAAAAAAAATTATCTTGAATGTTTTAGTCAATGCCATAAGATAAGAAAAATAAATAAAAGGCATACTGTCAGAAAGGAAGATGCAAGTTTATCATCATTTGCAGATCAGATAGTCTAGAACATAGGAGTCTGAAGATAGTCAATTTATAAATATATTAGACCAATGCAAAGATCAGATGTCCAAGTGTTAGAGCAATATATATTTTTTAAAAATCAGGTTATACAGTGTGTACATATAGACTGAGTAGAGGTTATAGGTAGGCTAGCAGTGATAAACACATCTACTACGCAAGGCTGGCATAATGCAAAACTTGAAGTTTAGCATAACAACAGCACTCACATACAGACCAATCTCATTTATGCAGTAGCTTTCCTTTAGCTATATAATTGGTAAGAAAAAATTATGCGAAAAAACTCTATTCACAATAACAACCCATAAAACACCTAGGAATAAACTTACCAAAAAATATATAGGATGCAGGCCGGACATGGCGGCTCATGCCTAGATTATCCCAGCACTTTGGGACGCCAAGACGGGCAGAGGCCAGGAGTTCGACACCAGCCTGGCCAACATAGTGAAACCCCATCTCTACTACAAATACAAAAATTATCTGGACATGGTGACATATGCCTATAATCCCAACTACTCGAGAGGCTGAGGCAGAATAATCACTTGAACCTGGAGGTGGAGGCCACAGTGAGCCGAGATCACACCACTGCCCTCCAGCCTGCATGACAGAGCAGCCAGTCTCGAAAAAAAAAAAAAGAAAAGAAAAACAGGAAAAAATCTAGGATGCAAATATATTGAATTTAAAAGAAGAATAGATTGAGAAATATATCCCTGTATGAGGAGATTCAATTCAATATTTTATTTTATTTTAAATGAATATGGACTAAACACTTTATTTAAAAGATAGATTTTCAGATGGGATAAAAAACTCAAGACTTGACAGGGTGCAGTGGCTCACACCTATAATCCCAGTACTTTGGGAGGCCAAGGCGGGTGGATCACCTGAGGTAAGGAGTTCAAGACCAGCATGACCAATATGGTGAAACCCCGTCTCTACTAAAAATACAAAATTAACCAGGCGTGGTGGTGCGTGCCTGTAATCCCAACTACTTGGGAGGCTGAGGCAGGAGAATCGCTGGAACCTGGGAGGCGAAGGTTGCAGTGAACCGAGATGGCACCATTGCACCCCAGCCTGGGCAGCAAGAGCGAAATCCCATCTAAAAAAAAAAATCAAGACTCAAGTATATGATAGCTACAGGAGATACAGTTTAAATACAAGAACGGACAAATGGTCATACCACCCTGAACACACCTGATCTCTTCTGATCATAGGACTAAGCAGGAGTGGGCCTGGTTAGTACTTGGATGGGAGATTCAATATTTTTAATACAACCATTCTCCCCGGTAAATTCAATCCCAATCCAAACCACAAGAAGCTTGATTTGACCCTTGAAAAGTGCATTTTGAAGTTCCTCTGAGAAAATAAATTAATTAAAATCCTCATGAATATTTTGAAGATGAAGATTAAAGATGGGTAACATGTCCTACACCAGCAGTTCCCAAACTTTTTGGCACCAGTTTTGTGGAATACAATTTTTCTACGGACTGGGGTGGGGGAGATGGTTTCGGGATAATTCAAATGCATAACATTTATTGTGCACTTTATTTATATTATTACATTGTAATATATAATGAAATAATTATACAGCTCACCTTAATGTAGAATCAGTGGGAGCTGTGAGTTTGTTTTCCTGCAACTAGATGGTTCCGTTTGAGGGTGATGGGAGATAGTGGCAGATCATCAGGCATTAGGTTCTCATAAAGAGCATGCAACCTAGATCCCTCGCATGCTCAGTTCACAAAAGGTTTCATGCTCCTATCAGAATCAAATGCCCTAACTGATCTGACAGGCGGTGGAACTCAGGTGGTAATATGAGTGACAGGGAGTGGCTGTAAATACAGATGAAACTTCACTCGCTTGCCCACCACTCACCACTTGCTGTACAGCCTGTTAAATAAAATTTATGGGCGGCCATTGATTTGGACTGAGCTCCTATACTAGGCTCCAGCAGACCAAACCAAAATGGAGTCATTCATGTTCACGTTTCACATCAGAAGCGGGTCAGGATGGTGGACTAGAAGCAGCTAGTGTGTGCAGCTGTCACAGAGAGGAAAAAAAGTGGCAAGTAAACACTGACCCTGCAAGCCAGTCGTCTAAGAAACCACGTTGGGATCCATCAAGGGAGCAAGGGGACACTGAGAACAGAAAAGAGCAAAGCTAGGTCGCAGCCCATCTGGGGTCAGCGCAGCCAGGAGAAGTTCCCACCACCAGGAAAGGGAGAGTGAGTGAAAGCCTCCTGGGGATCCACAATTCCCACAGGAACCTATTCAATCCTGGGAATGGAAAAATTCCTCCAACCCCCAACCCGGGCTTCTACACTGATACAGAGAGCCACCCAGAGTTTTTGTGGAGGCAAACACTCAAGTCCACAGGGGCCTCCACAAGCCTTAGACCCTGGAGCAGCCCAGTCTCGGCTGCCATATCCCCAAAAGAGGCCGCGGCTGTGGTGCCCGGGAGCAGTAAGATTGCTCCACTCCCCCTCACCAGATAAGGCTCGGCACCATCTTCTAGCACAGCGGCCCCACTTCTGCCTGAACTATGCTGAGATACACCGCTCTGTGTTCCCCCAGGAAGCACCCTGACGGTGGATCAGACGACTCCACCCATCCACACTGTTCCCTCCGCCGGGAAGGCCATGCCTGCTGGGGCTAACAGCACAGTAGGCCTGCTTCTGCCTGAACTCTGCTGGCAGGCACAGCCCCATGATTTCCCGGGAAGCACCTGGATGGTGGATTGGGTGATTCCACCTACCCTGGCTCCTCCTAGCCAGGCGAGACACACCAGTTAGGGATTCCAACACAGCAAACCCACCCCTATCTGAATTCTGCTGGCAAGCACAGCTCTGCGTGCCCCGAGGAGGCATGAAGATGGCAGATTGGGTGATTCCACCCGTCTCTGCTGTTCCTAGCTGGTCGAGACTTGCCAGCTTGGGCAGCACCCAAGCAGCGAGGGTGCCCTCACTCTCAGAAAACTGAGAGGGGTGATACCCCTGAGTTAATGGGCTGGTTGGGGAGCAGGGTGTGTCTCCCTCCACAGGGCTGGCCTGGGAAGGGTATGACCTGTCTGCTAGCTGTGGCTCTTGCATGAGGGAGCCCTGCAGACCAGAACACCTAACAAAGGAAATGCAGGCATGGAGTCAGTGATCAGAGGTGCTCCTCCAAGGCCCAGGAGCAGACAAGGTGAGGGGGTCCTCTTTTCTCCCCTCACCACAGAGCACTACTGCCAACTGTGCCAAAATATAAAAGAACCCTGTTGCTGAGAGCCTATCTACAGGCCAACACTTTTAAGCACCACCTACTGGACTGCAGCCCAAAATGCAACACCAAAATACCCTGCCAGTATACAGCACCTGTGAAACCTAAGGCAAAAATGCAGCCACAAATAAAGATTCTGTATGGTCGTGGCCTTCTGAAAACACCCAGAAGTGAAGCCAACTGACTACTTTCAACTTACATCACAGTTAAATGAATATTAGCCCTCAAACATGAGAAAGAATCAGCACAAGAGCTCTGGCAACTCAAAATGCCAGAGTAAGTGTGTCCCCTTACCTCCAAAAAACACACTAGTTCCCCAGAAATGGTTCTTATCCAGATTGAGATGACTGAAATGACAGACAGAATTCAGAATCTGAATGGCAAGGAAGCTCATTGAGATCCAGGAGAAAGCTGAAATCTAATCCAAGGAATCCAGTTAAATGATCCAGGAGCTGAAAGATGAAATAGCCATTTTAAGAAACAACCAAACTGAACTTCTTGAACTGAATAACGCACTTCAAGAATTACATAATACAATCAAAGCCTTAAGAGCAGAACAGATCAAGCTCAGTGCTTGAAGACTGGTTCTTCCAATCAACTCAGTCAGAAAAAAGAAGGAAAAAAGAATTTTTAAAAGTGAACAAAACCCCTGAGAAATATATAATAGTACTATGTAAAGAGACTAAGTCTGTGACTCATTGGCATTCCTGAAAGAGAAGGAGAGAGAATAAGCAACTTGGAAAATATGTTTGAGAATATAGTCCATGAAAATTTCCCCAATCCTGTTAGAGAAGAAGACATACAAATTCAAGAAATACAGAGAACCCCTGTAAGATACTATACAAGATGACCACACCAAAAATACACAGTCATTGCAAAATAAAAAGTCTTAAAGGCAGCTAGAGAGAAAGGTCATGTCACCTACAAAGGGAACTCCATCAGGCTAGCAGCAGACCTCTCAGCAGAAACCTTACAAACCAGAAGAGATTGGGGGCCTTTTTTCAGCATTCTTAAAGGAAAGAAATTCCAACCAAGAATCTCATATCCTACCAAACCAAGCTTCATAGGCAAAGGAGAAATAAAAACCTCCTTAGACAAGCAAGCACTAAGAAAATTTGTTACCACCAGACCAGACTTACAAGAAGTCCTTAAGGGAGTGCTAAACATGGAAACAAATGATCAACACCTGCTACCCCCAAAACACGCTCAAACACATAGCCCATAGACAATCTAAAGCAATTACACAATCAAGAGTAGAAAACAAACAGCCAACAACATGATGATGGAATAAAAATCTCATCTATCAATACTAACCCTGAATGTAAATGGTCTAAATGCCCCAGTTAAAAAGCACAGAGTGGCAAGCTGGATAAAAAGACAAGACCCAAATATCTGCTGTCTTCAAGAGATGCATCTTACATGTAATGGCACACACAGGCTCAAAGTAAAGGGATGGAGAAAGATCTACCATGCAAATGGAAAATGAAAAAGCACAAGAGTCACTATTTTTACATCAGATAAAACAAACTTTACACCAACAACAATCAGGAAGGGTAAAGAAGTGCATGACATAATTATAAAGGATTCAATTCAACAAGAAGACTTACCTATCCTAAATAAATATGCACACAACACTGGAGCCCACCCAGATTCATAAAACCAGTTCTTCTTGACATAAAAAAGACTTAGACAGCCACAAAATAATAGCGGGGAACTTCAACACCCCATTAACAGTGTTAGACAGATCATTGAGGCAGAAAACTAACAAAGAAATTCTTGACTTAAACTCAACATTTGATGAATTTGACTTAAGAGACATCTATAGAATACTTCACCCAACAACCACAGAATACACATTCTTATCAGCACATGAGATGCATTTTAAGATTGACCACTAGCTCAGCCATAAAGCAAGTCTCAATAAATTCCAAAAGTATTAGATGGTTGGTGCAAAAGTAATTGCAGTTTTTGCCATTACTTTTAATGGTAAAAAACCGTAATTACTTTTGCACCAATCTAATAGAACTCATAGCAGGCACACTCTCAGACCACAGTGCAATAAACATAGAAATAAATAGCAAGATTATCTCTCAAAACTACACAAAAACAGGAAAATGAACCAACTTGCTTCTGCATAACTCGGGTGAACAACAAAATTAAGGTGATAATAAAAAAAATTAGAAATTAATGAAAATAGAGGCACAACTTAGAAAAACCTTTGGGATGCAGCTAAAGCAGTTTGAAGCACTAAATACTTTCATCAAGAGATTAGAAATATCTCAAATTAACAATCTAACATTGCACTGAGAGGAACTAGAAAAAAAAAAGAAGTATCTAACCCCAAAGCCAGTAGAAGAAAAGAAATAACTAAAATCACAGAAGAACCAAATGAAATTGAGAACCAAAAGTCAATACTAAGGATCAGTGAAACTAAGAATTTGTTCTTTAAAAGAATAAACAAAAGTGGTAGACCACTATCTAGATTAACAAAGAAAAAAAAGAGAGAAGATCCAAATAAGTGTAATCAGGAATGACAAAGATGACATTACAATCGATCTCATAGAAATACAAAAGATCCTTAGAGACTATTATGAACACCCCTACACATACAAATTAGAAAATATAGAAACAATGGATAAATTCCTGGAAGCACACAACCTCCCAAGATTGAACCAGGGGGAAAGTGAAAATCTGAACAGACCAATACCAGTTTAGAAATTGAATTAGTATTAAAAAAACTTACTGGCTGGGCTCAGTGGCTCACATCTGTAATCCCAGCATTTTGGGAGGCCAAGGTGGGCAGATGACCTGAGGTCAGGAGTTCGAGACCAGCCTGGCCAACCTGGTGAAACCCCCGTCTCTACTAAAAATTCAAAGAAATTAGCCAGGTGTGGTGGCGTGCACCTGTAGTCTCAGCTACTGGGAAGGCTGAGGCAGGAGAATCACTTGAACCCAGGAGGTAGAGGTTGCAGTGAGCCGAGATTGCACAACTGCACTCCAGGCTGGGTGATGAAGCAATACACCATCTCTAATAATAATAATAATGATCATCATCATCATCATCATCATCATATAAAAATAAAAAACAAAAATAAACTTACCAACCAAAAAGAGTCCTGGACCAGATGGATTCGTAGTCAAATTCTACCAGATGTACAAAGAAGAATTGAAACCAATCATACTAAAACTATTCCAAAAAAATTGAGGAAGAGGGGCTTCTCCCTAACTCATTGTATGAAGCCAGCATCATCTTGATACCAAAATCTGGCAGAAACACAACAAAAAAGAAAACTTCAGGTCAATATCCCTGGTGAACATAGACACAAAAATTCTCAACAAACTACTAGCAAGCCAAATCCAGCAGCACATCAAAAAGTTAATTCACAATGATCAAATAGGCTTTATTCTTGAGACGCAAGGTTTGTTCAACATACACAAGTCAATAAATGTGATTCACCATATAAACAGAATAAAAACCAAAGACCACATGAACATCTTCACAGATGCAGATGTTAGATTTTGATAAAATGTCAGATTTTGATAAAACCTAACATCCCTTCATGGTAAAACAGACTAGGCATCAACAGACTAGGCATCAGAGGAACATACCTCAAAGTAGTAAAAGCCATTTATGACAACCCCACAGCCAACATCATACCGAACAGGCAAAAGCTGGAACCATTCCCTTTGATAACTGCAACAAGACAAAGATGCCCATTCCTACCACTCCTATTCAACGCAGTGCTGGGCATTCTAGCCAGAGCAATCAGGCAAGAGAAAGAAATAAAAGGCATCCAAACAAAAAAGGAAAAGTCAAACTATCTCTTCTTGCTGATGATATGATTCTATACATTGAAAGTCCTAAACATCCTGCCAAAAGGCCTCTGGAACTGATAAAAAATTTCAGTAAGTTTCAGGATACAAAATGAATGTACAAAAATTAGTAGCATTTCTATACACCAGTAATGTCCTAGCTGAGACCCAAATCAAGAACACAACCCTTTTACAAGAATCATCAAAAAATGAAATATGTAAAGATTTATCTAACCAAGGAGGTGAAAGATCTCTACAAGGAGAACTACAAAACACTGCTGAGAGAAATCAGAGATGACACAAATAAATGGAAAAAATATTCCATGCTTATGGATTGGAAGAATCAATATTGTTAAAATAGCCATACTGCCCAAAGCAATTTACAGATTCAGTGCTATCCCTATCAAAATACCAATGTCATTTTTCATACAGTTATAAAAATCTATTCTAAAATTCATTTGGAACTAAAAAAGAGCCTGAATAGCCAAAGCAATCCTAAGCAAAAAGAACAAAGCCAGAGGTATCACATTACTGGACTTCAAACTACACCATAAGGCTACAGTAACTAAAACAGCATGGTACTAGTACAAAAACAAACATATAGACCAATGGAACAGAATAGAGTACCCTGAAATAAATCCACACACCTACAACCAAAAGATCTTTGAAAAAGTTGACAAAAATAAGCAATGGGAAAAGTACTCCTTATTCAATAAATGGCGCTGGGATAACTGGCTAGCTATATGCAAAAGAACGAAACTGGACTCTTACCTCTCACCATATACAAAAATTAACGCAAGATGGTTTAAAGGCTGAAATGTAAGACCTCAAGCTATAAAAATCCTGAAAGAAAACCTAGAAAATACCTTTCTTGACATCAGTTTTGGCAAAGAATTTGTGGCCAAGTATCCGAAAGCAATTGCAACAAAACCAAAAATGACAAGTGAGACCTAATTAAACTAAACAGTGTCTGCACAGCAAAAGAAATTACCAACAGAGTAAACAGCCTACAGAATGGGAGAAAATATTAGCAAACTATGCATTTGACAAAGGTAATATCCAGAATCTATAAGGAACTTAAACAAATCAACAAGCAAAAACCAAGTAATCCCATTAAAAAATGGGCAAAGGACATGAATGGACACGTCTCAAAAGAAGCTGTACAAGCAGCCGACAGACATATGGAAAAATGCTCAACATCACTAATCATCAGAGCAATGCAAATTGAAACCACAATGAGATACCATCTCACACCAGTCAGAATGATGATTATTAAAAAGTAAAAAAATAACATGCTGGGGAGGCTGTGGAGAAAAGGGAATGTTGATTTACTATTGGTTGGAAATACAAACTAGTTCAGCCACTCTGGAAAGCAGTTTGGAGATTTCTCAAATAACTTAAAACAGATTTTTTTTTTTTTTTTGGCAGCAATTTGATGCAGCAATTCCATTACTGGGTATATATCCAAAAGAAAACAAAAAACACATGCACTCACGTGTTCATCACAGCACTATTCACAATAACAAAGACATGGAATCAACCTAGGTGCCCACCAACAGTGGGTTGGATTTTTAAAAATGTGATACGTGTACACCATGGAATACTACACAGACATAAAAAGAATGAAATTATGTTCTTTGTAGCAATATGGATGCAGCTAGAGGCTCTGTGCATTGAAAAAACAAATGTAGAAAGATAGGCATTTTTGTTAACAGTGGTTAATATCTCAGTAAATGGCAACTCAAGTTTACTGGTTGCACAAGCCAAAAACCCAGGCATCACATTTGACTCTTTCTCACCCCACATTTAATCTATCAGGAAATCCTGTTGGCTCTATCTTCAAAATATTTACAGAATCCAACCACTTCTCGCTACTTCTGTTACTACCATGGGCCACTAGATTTTTGCAATCTAGTCTTCCTAATTTGCCTCCCTGATACCACAACTTGCCCACCTGTAGTCTATTCTCAACACAAAAACAAAAAGTTGAATCATATTACCCCCTTGCTTGAAACCTTCCAATGGCTCCCATCTCATTCTGAGTAACAGCCAAAGTCCTTAAAAAGTGGCTTATAGGCCAGGTGCAGTGGCTTATGTCTGTAATCCCAGCACTTTGGGAGGCCAAGGCGGGTGGATCACAAGGTCAGGAGTTTGAGACCAGCCTGGCCAAGATGGTGAAATCTCGTCTCTACTAAAAATACAAAAATTAGCCGGGCACAGTGGTTGGGTGCCTGTAATACCAGCTACTCGGGAGGCTGAGGCAGGAGAATTGCTTGAACCCAGGAGGCAGAGGTTGCAGTGAGCTGAGATTATGCCACTGCACTCCGGCCTGGGTGACAGAGCAAGACTCCATCAAAAAAAAAAAAAAAAAAAAAAGAAAGAAAGAAAGAAAGAAAGAAAGAAAGCTTATAATGCCCAAAATGATCCATCTATCCTCCCCTATGTCCCTATCTTCTTACTGTTTACTCCACCCTCCCTTCTGATACTCATTTCTCCCCATTCATACTGGCTTTCCTGGTGTCTGTCCAATCTCTGGGTAGACTCTCTCCTCAGGGTCCTTGCACCTGCTATTCCCTCTGCCTGGACTACAATTCCTCTACTGGATTTCTCACCATCTGCTTAACTTGCTCCCTCACCTCCTACAGGTCTCTGCTCAAATGTCAGGGATTCAGGGAGATGAATGGGCAGTACTATGGGAAGAGCGGATTTCAGGGAGGTCACAGTGATTCTCCCGGGAAGGGGTGAATGGTGGCTTATTGTGACGCCAGTGGAAATGTAGAGAAGTGAGCAGATTCAAGAAATATTGAGGAGGAACAATTCACAGGGGTTAGCATTTGATTGGCTCTGCGGATAGGGTAAGGCATCAAGGCATCAACATTTAATAGGAAATGCTGGAGGAGAGCAAGACTTGGAGAGATAATAAACAGAAGGATTGTTAAGAGACTTTTACTTTTGATGTGTTATATGTGATGGGTGTTTGGAGAGACAGACTTCATTTTCTTTTAAGCAAGATAATTGTCATTCTCCAACAATTTTTGTGCTTTGGACTCCTTAGTGAAATAAAACCTGTGGACACTTTCTCACAATAACTTTTTTTTTCTTTTTTTTTTTTTTGAGACAGAGTCTCTCTCTGTTGCCCAGGCTGGAGCGCAATCGCGTGATCTCGGCTCACTGCAACCTCCGCCTCCCAGGTTCAAGTGATTCTCCTATCTCGGCCTCCCAAGTAGCTGGGATTACAGGTGCTTTTTATGCCTGCCAGGCCGGACGCAGTGGCTCACGCCTGTAATCTCATGGTAATAAATTCTATGAATAAATATAGAGCAGAGTCAGGGGTAGAGAGAGCTGGAGGGTAGGCACCTATAGGGAAGGCCTCTCTGGCAAGGCCACACATGAGAAATGACCTGAAGCAGGAGGGAAGGAGTCATGTGGATATTTGAGGGAAAGGGTGTTTAGGAAGCGGGAACAGTAAGTGCAAAGTCCCTGAGATGAGAGAGTGCTTGATGTGTTTAAGGAATGGCAATGTGCAGCCAGGTACAGTGGCTCACGCCTGTAATCCATCACTTTGGGAGGCCGAGGCAGGTGGATCACCTAAGGTCAGGAGTTCAAGACCAGCCTGGCCAACCTGGTGAAACCCCGTCTCTACTAAAAATACAAAACATTAGCTGGGCGTGGTGGCGGGCACCTGTAGTCCCAGCTACGCAGGAGGCTGGGGCAGGAGAATGGCGTGAACCTGGGAGGTGGAGCTTGCAGTGAGCCGAGATCACGCCACTGCACTCCAGCCTGGATGACAAAGCCAGACTCTGTCTCAAACAAAAATAAAATAAAATAAAAATAAAAATAAAAAAAGTTATTGTGGGGCCAGGCATGTCTTGAACTCCTGACCTTAGGTGATCCACCTGCCTCAGCCTCCCAAAGTGATAGGATTACAGGCATGAGCCACCATGCCTGGCCCCACAATAAGAGCATATAATTAAGTAAAATTGACTCGTGAATGACGTGGGTTTGAACTGCATAGGTCCATTTATACATGGCTTTTCTTCAACCAAACACGGACCAAAATGTGGTGTTCAAGGGATGTGAAACCCACGCATAAGGAGAGCTGACTTTTCATTTACTCAGGTTCTGCAGGACTGATTACGCATGAATTTTGTTACATGCTGGCGGTCCTGGAACCAATCCCCTGTATATACCGGGGACAACTTGTGCATGTAGTTTAAAAGAAAATTAGTTATACAGAAATACTGCCAGTCTCTGGATCCAGATTAGGAATTCCTCTATGGAGTAGCTCTTCTTTGAGTCTTTCCTCCTTGCCTGAATAGGTCCATTTGGCCCATGTGTGCAAGATGAATGTGCCCATTGCTGAGTAACTTTGTTAAAAGCATAAGAATGCAAGGACAGTAGACCACCACCTTCACAGCAATCCTGGGTGGCAGCAACAGCAGGAAATCTACCCAAAAAGAGGTCAGCTATTCATTGGTGACACTGTCCTAGCATGTGGAAACAGCAGGCCTGAGTAAGCCCAAGGTTGCTTGACCAAATGAGGGGAGGAAGGAGAGGAAGCATCAGGAGGTAGATATGGGACTTCCTGTTAGCAGGGGCATATGGGGACCCAGTGATTAAAGGGAAAAGGACAGAGATGTGACTGTAATTTTACCTCTACCAGGTGATGTGGGTCTTATCTATTGCATTCATTTCTAATTGTTTGACTTTTAGAAAATTTTCACAATGACCATGTATAGCTTTTGGGATAGAAAAAAGAGTGTACAGGATTTTCCTTTCATTTCATTAATGTCTTATTAATGTCTCCTGGATTTAAACATCTCAGGCCTTTTGGCAGATGTTGTGGAATCTGAGAAAGGATTGGCCCAGGGTTACCTAGACCTAGTGGACATCTGTGTCAAAAGAAAGGGACAGTGGAAGCTCATAACTTCTTACCCTTTGGAGATATTCCCGTGACTCCAATAATAATAAATTGGTAATAAATGCTCAGAGTATATTGCGCTCAGGAGACTTTATTATTATTGACTTCTGAATCGAGGGATCAACGGAATAATATATGCCTGGAGACAGATACCTTCAAGCTGTGCAAGCTCAGAAGAGTTGGGAGCTTATGGATCTCCCTTGGGAATTTTAGGCAGTGGAGGGGTTTGGAGCAGAAATGGAGCATAGCTGCTTTATATAGTTTTACATGTTGAACTTCTGCTCATCTTCTGAACAAAGGGATTGGGGCTAAAATAAATTTGAAAACAACAGCACTGAAACCTATGAGAGAACCAGTTTAGAATTGGGAGAAATAAGTGCTAGGTGCATGGAACAGATGTTACTGACTCTGAGAAGTGTACCTATGTCACATTGTGGCTACTCAAAAGTCTGATCAAGCAGAGGACCAGCGATGAGTTTCCTGGGAGTCAGAGAACTCTCACACAGCACTTGATTATATATACATCACTGAAAATGCAATAGGATGGAGAAAAGCCTATTACCGAAACTTCCCTGGGGAAGATGACTCTGAGTGGTTGGAAAGCATTCATTCCCTTATTCATTAAATATTTACCAAGAGGTTTCTGTATGCCTAGCATTGTTCTGGACACTGGGATAAGCAGAGAACAAAAAGTCAGAGCTTCTACTCTCATAGAGAGTATATTCTAGTGGAGAATATAGGCAATAAGGAATAAACATGTAAAAATTCAGGTAGTGACAAGGGCTATGAAGAACAGTGTAGCAGATTAAGGGGACAGAGTAATGGGAGAGGAGCATTTTATACTGTGGAGAGGAAGACTTTCTATTAAGGTGACTTTTCTGTTAAGGTGAGACCTAAATGAGTGAGGGGTAATGGGGGAAAATATACCAGAAAGAGGAAACAGAAGCACAAGCAGTGAGGAGCTTTCAGGGGAGTTTGAAGAAAGTAAAGAGGCCGGGGTGGCTGGGGTGGAGGAAGATAGGGGAAGGAGGTGAGCTCAGAATACTTTTATAAGGTGGTGTGTATAGGATATGAGACCTCCAGGAAGCCTTGCTCAAGGAGCAGCAAACCATTGCTAAAATTTGTTCTGAGATGTCTAGGTCTGTGTGATTTGTTTTCTGAGTGGGGCTTTTCTTTCTCTGAGTGGCCTGCACTGCAGTGCTGGGGCACGCACCTTTGGGGCCTGAGCTGAGCCTCTCAGGGAAGGGACGCCATGTTGAGCCCTGTCATCTGGTGCTATACTTCTGGATCTTCTCTGTACATAACTCTCACCCTCTCTGATAAATGGTGAGTGAATACCAAAAGAACAGAGAATTGAAGTACAGTTGACCTTTGTACTGCATGGGTTCACACATAACGTGGCTGTTTTCAATCAATGTGGATGGAAAATGCAGTATTTGCAGGATGCAAAACCCACTTACACTGAGGGCCAACCATGTATACTGTAGTTTGAAATTATCAGCCTGCCCACGTGCCCACTGCTCCTAAAATTGTTTTGTCTGAGGACCAGATAAAATGAGAAGGGTATGAAAACTTAGAAAACAGGAATTCCTTGGCTCAGGTGCCCTTCCCTCTTCAAAGCCAGCAGTGGCTGGTCAATCCTTACACCAGGCCATCTTTCTGGCTCCAGCTGTTCTGTCTTCCCATTCCCCATTTAAGGGCTTGTGATTATATTGGGCCTACCCCCATAATCCAGGATAATCTCCTTATTTTAAGGTCCGCTGATTAGTAAATCTAATTCCATTTGCATCCTTAATTCCCTGCTGCCATGTAAAATAACACATTCACAGGTCCTAGGAATTAGGATGTGGACATCTTTGGGGAATCATTATTCTGCCCACTGCCATCACACTCCAAAAATGTGGTCTCCTTCTTATGGCCTTTATTTTCTATTTCTATGTTACTTCATTGTATTTATGTTCTTTAGTATAAGCTGCTTCAAACCTATTTTGAAAAAGAGGCAGTGAAAAATGAACCTCTGGAGATATTGGTCTTTTTCCCTGGTTCCTGGCAAAAGCTTCCAAAATCCTTAGACCCTCCTGGATGGTAAGAGTATCTTTGCTATGCTGGCAGCTCTTCGCTGAGAGACTCCTAAATAGCTTCCAGATGTGAGGCTGGCCACCAGAAAGACTAATCCAGAATTAGAAGATTGAAACTCCTAGTCTCACCTCCACCCTCCAGGGCAAGAGAGGGGCTGAAGATTGAGTCGATCACCAATAGCCAATGATTTAATGAATCATGACTTTGTAGTGAAACCTCCATAAAAACCCCTAAACAACAGGGTTCCAGAGCTCTCAGGTTGGTAAACACTTTGATATGCTGGGAGAGAAGCATGCCCTGAGAGGGATGTCATCTCCCTCACAAACCTTGCCTTATACCTTTCTTATGTTTGGCTGTTCTTGAGTTGTATTCTTTATAATAAACTGATGATAAGTACTGATAAGCACCTTCCTGAGTTCTGTGGGCTTATTTTAGCAAATTATGGAACCTGAGGAGTGGGTTGTGGGAACTCTTGATTTACAGTCTGTCTGTCAAAAGTATGGGTGACCCAGGACCAGCAATTGGCCTATGAAGTGAGGGAAGTCTTGTGGGACTGAGCCTTTAACTTGAGGGATCCAGCACTAACTCTGGGTAGTGTCAGAATTGAATTGAGTTGTAGGACATCTAGTTGGTGTCTGGAGTGTTGGAGTCATGGCATATTCTATTGATTAGAAGTGAGTCACTGGGTCCAGCCCACACTCCAAGAGAAAAGACTTCATATGGGCATGAGTACCAGGAGCAGAGGATTACTGAGATCTATTTTAGATGCTACCTATTACAAGTGCTATCTGAGAAATTTTCTAAAGTGTCCATTTAAAATGCCTTTGAGAACTTAAAAAAGAACTACCATTCAACTCAGCAGTCCTACATATGTGATATGGTTTGGATCTGTGTCCCTGCCCAAATCTCATGTCAAATAATAATCTCCAATGTTGGAGGAGGGGCTGGGTAGGAGGTGATTGGATCTTGGGGGCGGAGTTCTCATGAATGGTTTAGCACCACCCCCCCTTGGTACTGCATAGTGAGTAAATTCTCGTGAGATCTGGTTGTTTAAAAGTGTGTGGCACCAGGCCCCTTCCTCCTGCTTTGGTCATGTAAGATGCACCTGCTTCCCCTTCCCCTTCCACCATGATTGAAGGTCTCCTGAGGCCTCCCCAGAAGCCAAGCAGATGCTAGCATCATGCTTCCTGTACAGCCAGTGGAACTGTGAGCCAATTCAACTTCTTTTCTTCTCTTTTCTTTTTAAATTATCCAGTATCAGGTATTTCTTTATAGCAATTCAAGAACAGACTAATGCAGCATGTATTCAAAAGAAAATAAACCTCTCTACCAAAAAGACATATACACTCTCGTATTCATCCTAGCATTATTCACAATACCAAACACATAGAATCAACCTAGATGCCCATTCATGGTGGATTGGATAAAGGAAATGTGGTACACATACACCATGAAGTATTTTCCAGCCATAAAAAAGAACAAAATCATGTCCTTTGCAGCAACATGGATGCAGCTGGAGGCCCTTATCCTAAGCGAATTAATGCAAGAACCAAACACCAAATACCCTATGTTCTCACTTATAAGTGGAAGCTAAACACTGGGTATTCATGGACATAAAGATGGCAACTGGGGACTACTGGGTTGGGGGGCGGGCTGGAAAACCACCTACTGGGTGCTAGGATACTATGCTCACTACCTGGGTGATGGGCCCATTCATACCCTAAACCTCAGTATTGTGCAATTTACTCATGTAACAAATCTGTACATGTACCCTCTGAATCTAAAATAAAAGTTGAAATTATAAAAAGTAAGTAAATAAATGCCTTTGAAAAAATTCACCTGAGTTTACTATAGCCATTTTGGAATCCATCCAGCACATGTGGACACAAAGAAATATGTGTCAATTTAACCACTTTCAAGAGAGATAAATGCAGCGGATGTGACACTAGAAAACAATGCACCCAAGGAGCAACAAGTTGCAATATATTGTTATTAAAATTTTGATTAACAAATATAAGCGGAGTTACATCAAGCAAAGAGAAGCCAAAATACAATTGTTATTATTATCTACCACAATAATTTCTCTATGCTAGACTTGTTCGTTCCCCTACAGAGTTTGTAGCTGACATTATAAACAGCAAAACAATGGAAAGGCAGGAGATGTGTGCTGAACGAAGTAAAACCTAAGTGCATGTTATTAGAAAAGTGTAAGTATTAAATATTAAGCCAAAGCCAAATTCTCCATTACTAGAATCCATTCTGGGATAGCAGGAAAACTACCATAGTAACCAAAATAATAAATCTGAAGAAAAATCATACATCAGAACATTCACAGAAACCCAAAGTATGTCTTTGATTACTGATAGAGTGATGTAATGCAGAATAAATAATAAGGTGTGGCAAATGTAATTTCTATAGAGACAAACTCATGATACTAAAAAACTCAAAAGAAATAAGTATTATATAAACAGCAATATCTCTGAAAGCATAGATATCACTTATATGTGGGTGATTTTTATGGTGTCTAGGCATATACAACTTTTGAAAAATAATTATTTTTATTGCTCTTCTTTCTCCAGTTCCATTTTTCTTTAGTTTAATTTCTTTTTCTTCCCTGTCTAACTTTGGCTATTTCTTCTATTTGTCATTTCTCAAGTTATTGTTGGTTAAACTTTTCTTCTGGTCTTAAAAGTATTCCAGATTTCACATTAATATATCTTGAATCACAGATATATGAAACAAATATTTTAGTTACTCTCTGGCCCTCAAATTTTTTTCCTCTAGAGAAGGTATTGAGATGCTATTAAATTCTACACTGGTACACCTTGCCTGGACAACAGGTTAATTGAGCAGTCTCTTTTGTTCAACATTTTTGATGTTGAAATCACCAGGGTAGAGGACTTTGTGTTTTATTATGAAAACATTGATCAGGACTTGGTGGTTATGATACCACTATACATAATTACTTGATTATTTTAATAGTTCTATTAAGGTATGTTTGACATACTGTAACCTGAGCATAAAAATCTGAATTTTAATGTCATTTTCTTCTTTTCACTATGTGATTGCACTTTGAACTTTTTCATTGAAAAATGTCTCTCAAGGTAGAATATAAACAGGTTTGTAATAGACATTTGATGATAACCCTGGTGGACATGACAAACACTGTTAGTTGCCAATACAGCCTTGTTAAGGACCCCAATTTTGTTTAGATTATTAGGTGGCAATGTACACAGTGAAGGTGGGACCTCTCCTGAGTCCCAAAAGATAAATTATAATTTGCCAAATCCCATTAATTTTTTCCTTTGTTTAGGCAGGTGACCCAGTTCTGGTCAATGAGGTGTGAGGCAAAGTCTGCAAGGCACTTCTGGGAAAAATTTTCCTCCTTGTCAGCCGTCTTGGGACTATAAGAGACCAACCCCAACTTATTGAGGATGCAGAGTGGAAAGAAGAAGGAATATAGCTCTTTAATGATCTTGTTGAACTGCTAAATTAACCAACCCTGCGTCAGGCCTACCTCTGAACTTCTTGTTACATGATTTTATAGTCTTAGCAAAGCCACTGTTTAAGCCATTTTAGCCAGATACTCTGTTGTTTGCAGCCAAAAGCATCTAACCTCATAAAATAGGGCAAATAGGGTTCAAATATTAAGATTGCCTCTGTGTACCAATTTATACCTTGCAAAAGACTACCATTAGAAAGTTTTAAATTACAAGTAACAGAGGTACAACTCAGACCTAATATAAAAGGAATTTATTTGCTTATGTAAATGAGAAGTCCAGAGGCAGGGCAGGCTCCAGGTGGTTTGATCTAGAAGGTTTTGACATCATCAGTAATTTGGCTTTTTTCTTCTGTGATTTTCTCAACTCTGTCTTCCCCATGTGTTGGCTTCTTCTTCAGGTTGGTTTTCTTCATGATGGAAAAACATTTGCAGTAGTTTCAGACATCACATTTCCATATCCAAGCCCTCAAACTCTGATTGTGCCATCTGGCTAGCCAGGGAGTCGAAGTGCTCTGATTGGCTTAGCCTAAGTCACCTGCACCATCCCAGGAGCAAGGGATAGAATCAGATTTCCTAGAAGCTCATGGATCCTTAAACAGAAAGGAGAAATGAAGTGCTGGGACCCAATCATAAACTGTCTACTCCATGGCCTGAGAATTATAATGGAAATAGACTTTTAAAAATGTGTTTGGAATGTGTTTGTACTCTACTCACTCTCTAGAGAACGTGAGATGGAAGTAACCAATGGTGCTAGGCCCATGAATTACCAATAAAGCACAAGATCTGTTTCGCTATTTGGGAACTAAGGGTAGACCTAGCTATCTGAAAGCCTCTGCTAAGTTGTGGTTTGAATATTTGTAAGATAGGACTTCTGTTTATTTCTAGAACTAGACATCAAGGCAATCAATAGTGATTGAAAGCAGCTGCTTCAGGAGAAATGTCAAACTCTTTACTCTTTAAAAATGTTAATGGGAAATTTTAAAATCTGTGAACTCTTTTCAACACCTCTACTTTTATGAAATCCAAAATTACTAGTATAAAAAAATGCAATGCAATTTAGTCAAATCCACAGACACTTCCTGGCACAGCTGCCATTTGCACCAGAAAATGAAGCAAAATTGGCAGGATACACAACTAGCTATTTGCAGAGGCACTTGAAATCCACAGCCTATGTTTGTACAGATTCCTGGCACATGGTGCTCAGTGGCAAACCATGGTCATCTGAGAACCTGGCTTAGGTACTCATCACCCTATAAACCTTAAATTTATTTCACACCTGCTTTTGAAACCTGGAAATAATGCCAAGTTGTTTTTCCAGATGGATTTGGCAAAAATTCCAATGCATTGTACATTAGAAACCGAGTAAATTCACTTCCTAAATTTATTGGCCATCTGGAATCTGTTTTTTTTTTTTTTTTGTGGGCGGGTGTGGTGGCTCATGCCTGTAATCCCAGCACTTTGGGAGGCCAAGGTGGGTGGGATCACCTGAGGTCAGGAGTTCGAGACCAGCCTGACTAACGTGGTGAAACCCCATTTCTACTAAAGATACAAAAATTAGCTGGGTGTGGTGGGGGGTGCCTGTAATCCCAGCTACTTAGGAGGCTGAGGCAGGAGAATCGCTTGAACCCAGGAGGTGGAGGTTGCAGTGAGCCGAGATCACGCCATTGCACTCCAGCCTGGACAACAGAACAAGACTCTGTCTCAAAATAAATAAATAAGATAAAAATAAAATTAAAAAGTGATGTCTACTTCAGAAAGGAAGCTGATGCCCTTTGACTTTGACCAGAGATTTTGAGACAAGACTCTGTCTCAAAATAAATAAATAAGATAAAAATAAAATAAAAAAGTGATGTCTACTTCAGAAAGGAAGCTGATGCCCTTTATCACTTTGACCAGAGCGACACAAACTGGGAATGGGAAAAGCTGTGGTCCCAGCATCTGCTTGTCCTGGGTTCTTCCCTCAGAAATATTGCTAGTCAGGTGAGACTAGCCATGCCTAAAGCTATAAAGATTTTGCTACCTTCTCTCAGAAAACCATTCTACAAGCTAATTGCTTTTGTTATGGAAATGTATTCCCGAATTGAACTGCAAGGGTGATTTTGAAAATTCAGTATGGTGCAATGTGTATATAAATAAGCTGCTTAAGAGAGGAGAAAGGAGGCAGCCAGTGATAATTCCTTACTAGTGCTTTGAGATTGTCTATGGTTTAAGCAATTAACCTTTTATTTTTTCTTGAATTAAAAAAAAATGACAATTTGGGCACTTTAAATAACCACAATGGTGCTATGTTCGTGCTATAAGTAGAAAGTGTAAGTAATGGAAGACAGTGAAATTTCTCTGACCATAAACTCCAGCTTTCCACTTTCATGTACTAAAAAGGCTGTATTGGGCAGTTGTTAAGAGCTTGAATCTAGGCCAGACTGCCTGGATTCTGGGCTGAATCCTGCCTCTGCCATTTGTTAACTGGATGATCTTGAGTAAGTTACAAACTTTCCTTGTTTAGAAACCTTGGCTTCTTTATCTGTAAAATGGGGATAAGAGCAGTGCCTGGGGTATTAGAGTCATAGGGTTATAAGAGGATTACGTAAATTAACATATGTAGAGCATTGAGAGCAGCAAGCACAATTTAAGCATTAGCTGTAAATATTTATGAAGTTTCAGATACATGTACTGAAGGAAGTTTTATTGGAATCCCAAGACAACTAAATCAATATGTACTTCCAAATTGTATGTTTGAAGAGAAAAGTATCTGCTTTGAAAAGTCATTCAATTACCTTATTAAAATATGAATAGAATACTATTAGTTAAAAGCTACTTGGCATATAATATTAGTCTTCAGTCTGTAAAAATATTGCAAAACATATATGATTTGAAGCTTCTACAATCTATTTAACAAATATTTATTGAGCACCTACCATGTGTAAGGCAATGTTCTAGCATGGGGTTGATGGTCCGTGTGTGTGTGCGCGCAAAATCTTTGCTTACATGGAGCTTACATCCTTCCAGGAAGACACATATAGTAAATAAACAAACAAGCAATGTATCAGACGGTAATAAATTCTATTAAGAAATATAGAGCCGAAGCTGAGGCAGGAGAATCGTTGGAACTGGGGAGGCAGAGGCAGCAGTGAGCCGAGATCACGTCACTGCACTCTAGCCTGGGTGACAGAGAAAGACTCCATCTCAAAAAAAAAAAAAAAAAAAAAAAAGAAAAAGAAAGAAAGGAAGGAAGGAAGGAAGGAAGAAATGGCAGTGTGGAGTTTAAACCTAGGAAATCTGATTCCAAAGCTTGCATTCCATATTACCACATTATCTTCTGCACTCTCCTCCATAAACTCTCTGCTTCAGACAAGCAGACTGTACGAAACAATGACCATCACAGTGATACACCATCTTACATCTGTGTGTTATGCTCACTTACATATGAATTCCAAAGAATCAGCACGGACAACAAATTTGACTTCCCCTTTTCAATAGCAGCTCAGACTAGGAAGCAAAATATATTAAATTAAGAACAGCAACTAGAACATTCCCAAACAGACTAGAAAGATCCTTAGCCTAGAGGTTTGTGTAAAATTGTATGTAAAATTTTGCATGCCTATGCCTTCTTCTGAGGTGAGTGCTGGGTCCTTGCCTGAAGAATCTCTGATCCCACTAAAGGTTAAGAGTCACCATGTCAGGTAATAGTGTTTTAAAACAGATAAATATTTTTGGCCTTGTTTAAAAAAATCTCAAACAGGCAAAAATGTAGCAGAAAAATAAACATGGTTTTCATTGTCTTAATTCAAAAAGGGAAATATAGAGGAAACCACTTGTTTTTTTTTTTTTTTTAAAGGTTTGTAGGTATGGCACCACTTAGAGAATAATTGCTGGTTAGCTGAATTAAAGCAGAGGAGCTTAGTCGGGAAGAGCATATTTTGAGGGCAAATTGTAAAGAGTAGCAGATAACTTCGTAGAAAAGCAGCCACCTGGCTAGAGGAATATACTGAAGAACATGCACAACTGAGTATTATAAGCTTTCTATTTTTGAGGCAGTGCTAGAAATTCTGAGGAAAGAGAATCTAAATCAGTGGTTCTCAACTTAGAAAGTGTGTTATTCTGGGTCCTCTGAGAATCAGCCACCAAAATGGGATTCAATGTGAAAGGATTTTATTAGGGGAAATACCTCTGCAAGACAGAATGGGGAGAAAGGTAGACAGGCTGGGAGAACCACCAAACTGTGATGTAAGTGTGACTCTGAAAGGAGACCCAGAAGGAAGGTTAGGTGGGAATATCCTAGATCATTGAGCAGCCTAAGGAAGGTTCAGCAAGGTTCTCAGGGAGTCCTCAAGCCAAAGTCATGAATCAGAGAAGTGCCATGTCTCCTGGGACTGGGCTTGTTTTGGTACTGAGTGTCCCTGCAGCATTCAGTCATTGGCTGGGAGCAGCCCGTGAGAATCCTGGCCTTGGCATGAACTCAGAGATGGATTGCAGTGTGGGGCCCTTAGCCAATTATGCTGTAGTTGAAATTGGAGAGGTGCAGTCTCATGGCCACAGAGTGGGTATGGGAATCACTTAGGGAGCTGTGTCTATGCATCTTCCACAACTCTAGCCCTTCTACCTCAACTCAACCCCATGGAGGCCTGCTGCCTACATGAAAAGCACTGTCCAGGCAGCCAGAAACTGTGTGTGTGTATGTGTAAGAGTGTGTATGTGTGATGTCCCTCACGTGTGCTGAGATGGCAAAAGGGGTTGAGACCATGGGAAATAGAAAAATATCTTCTGTTTTAATGTTTATTTTATAAATGCATTGTTAGGAAAGGTGTTTTGTAAACGTCTTACTAAGGATTTGCCAAAAAGTTACTCAGTAGCTGATAAATTGCTATGTCTGTATCTTTATTTTTTTCTAAAAATTTAGAGGAATAAAATTATTCATTAAAGAGCTCCCCTGGTATATGGACAGAGCCCAGTCTCCAGAGTCCTGAGAACACTTCAGCAAAGGACAAGTTTAAATGCTCGCTGGTGAAAGATAGCTCAATAAAAATTACTTTGTGGCTAAAACACAGGATATTTCAGAATATATCCCCGCTGTACCTCACTCATGCCTCCCTGTGTTCCTCTCATTGGCTTTCTGCTCTTCCTTCTCACTGCAACATTCTCCTCTCTGGCTGTTTCAATAAAGCACTTCCTGCCTGCTGCAGTGCACAGGGATGTCTCTTTTTCTACTGTGGGATCTGACCTAGAGGATAGCACTTGATTATATACAGGCATCACCCTGGAAACATGAGTACTTCAGTCCCAAAAATCAGATGTCACATGCAACAAACACTTGTGGGTTTCTATTTGCCATTGTTTTAAATGGAAAAAACTGTGTTGGCTGTTGGTCAATACTTAGCAATTCCTAAAACGCAATGTAACACAGTAGAAAATTCTATAATTTTAAAAATGGACATGTTAGGATATAAGTTTCTCAAATTATCACCTTCTGATCACCAGAAAGATGAATACAATTATTAACTATTGCTTTGTATGCAATAATGTGCAGTTTGCATGTCCTATACGGCAGTCACTAAACTTTGTATTAAAAAACTCCATCACGTTGAAAAACAACTGGAAGTTCAAAAATAATTTTGTAACATGCATAATATTTTCCTCAGAAATTAGAGCCAAACATAAATTAAATGAATTAAACAAAGAAAAATAAAAGCAAAATTATAAAAACTCAAAAACAACTTTTTTAGCTAAAGAAATTTTATTTAAGCTGGGACATGGTACATTTCAATACGTTTTATATGATGTGGGGTAGGGTATCCTAAAGTAAGTCCTTGGGTATTACAACAATTTTAAAGCAGCCCTGTTGACCAGGGCCTTGGGGAATCCTCTCCTTGAGGCGATCCAGTAACCTTGCCCACCTGAAGCAGGTCCTGCTTACCTGGCTTTGTGCCCAGGCCTACTCATACTTGGACATACCTTGAGGTAACAGGCATCCTCTGATGGTGGCATCCACTCCTTCTGTCCCAAGCTTGGGCCCTAGAAGACTTTTGGTCTGGGCTCCAAAAGTCATGAACTTGGTGGTCAGTTCTCAGGAATTCGTGTTACCCCTCCTTTGTCCTGGGTGTTCCTCCTCTCTGGAAACCCTCTGTCCTATTCCCAATTGCATGCTTTTCCTCTTGCATAGGCACTGATCTTCCAAATCAAAGTGGGATGGTCTGCTGGACAGCCTCAATACCACTGAGTAAGCTATTAGTGCCCTCCTGGGGTAAGGGGACCCAGGGATCTAGAATCCAAGGTATGGAGGTTTTTCCTAAAAAGGAAGAAGAAGAAGAGAATTATTTTTCCATTTTGGTTTGTTTGCTGCCAAGGCTACCAAAGCAAACGTTAAAAAAAAAATACATTAAAAAAGAACCAAATGGATTGATTTCTTTTTAACTCAATGTGTTACATTTGTATTTCGAGAAATACAAAGGCTAAAAATATCTCCCTCCTTCCATCCAATTCTCTTATACATGCTTTTCTTTCCCCCTTTCCCTTTACTTCTGTGAGAATCATCTGTTTTATTGTTCAGTAATTGCTAATCCTTGGGATGAATTCCAAATGAGAATGTACTCCTCTTTTAAACTCCCAAACCACAGGATATAATTCTGTTGTAAGGTTACAGATATTTTAAAATTAAATTCTGACATATAATCACAGCAATCAGGTCTTCTCTTCAACTTCTGACTGGGTCCTATGCAGCAAGCATAGATTCTTATCCAAAGACATTTTCACTGAGTAGAGTTTACAATAACAATGGAGCGATATTTTATACTTACTAACATCTGTCCTAAATACAGTCTCATCATGTTTGTATGCCATAACCTTTGAGACCTACTGTTTCTTAATGTCTTTATGGATACCAGATTAGCATTGGTTTTATCTTGATTTCCTTATAATTGTAACTGTGGAGGCACTGAATCCAGATGTGATCAGCTGGTTTCAAAGGAAGACTGTATAGAAGATGGATCTCACACTATTAGAACATGAATGAATGTTGACAAGGCTGATCCTTCTTTCAAAAAGGACCCCAAATTAGTTTATTGGTGGGAAATAAGTTACCAACACCAATATATAAGTTTTTTTGAAATTGTAGTAAGAAACACATATGATTATCTTAACCAGTTTTGTGTACAGTTTAGTAATGTTGCCTATATTCACATTGTTGTGAAACAGATCTCCAGAACTTTTTCATCTTGGAGAACCAAAATGCCATACCCATTAAACAACAACTTCTCATTTTCTCCTCTTTCTAGTCTGTGGTAACCATCATTCTACTTTCTGTTTCTATGAATTTTGTTACTTTAGATACCTCATATAAGCAGAATCATGCAGTATTTGCTTTTCTTGTTTGTGTGACAGCTTATTTCACTTAGCATAATGTTCTCAAGGTTCATCCATGTTGTATCATATGACAGGATTTCCTTCCTTTGTAAGGCTGAGAAATACATGCATCCTTTTTACATGTATACCATATTTTGCTTATCCATTCATCCATCGATGGGCATTTGGATTGCTTCCACATCTCGGTCATTGTGAATAGTACTGCTGTAAACATGGGCTTACAAATAGAAGGTATACATTTTGAGGCATCTTTTCCTATGATGTTGTGGATTTGAGTTTATTTAATCATATTCTCTCAGCAAAACTCATTGCGTTGTTCCTCTTTTAAAAACTGCCAGTCTTCCTATATAGCCAATGAAATAATATAAACATATTATCCAAAGATCTTCAAGATACAGGTCAAATGATCAGGCTGGTCATGGTGGCTCATGCCTGCAATCTCGGCACTTTGGGAGGCCGCGGCAGGTGGATCACTTGAGGTCTGGTGTTTGAAACCAGCCTGGTCAACATAGTGAAACCCCGTCTCTACTAAAAATACAAAAATTAGCCTGGTGTGGTGGCGAGCGCCTGTAATCCCAGATAATCAGGAGGCTGAGTGAGGGAGGAGAATCATTTGAACTTGGGAGGTGGAGGTTTCAGTGAGCCAAGATCACGTCACTGCACTCCAGCCTGGATAACAGAGCAAGGCTGTGTCTCAAAAACAAAACAAAATAGAACAATGCCAACTAATCAGCCCTGCTCTATCTCCTGCTAGTCCTCTAAGATTTCCTCTTTTTGAAGCACTCAAAGCAAACAGAATATGTGTCATTTCTTCTTTCTGGAAGTCCATCCCTTCTACCCCAAACCTCTTTTTCTGATGTCAAAATCTTCCCATCCCCAAATCCTCCCATCCCCTTCTTCATGAAGCCTTCCTGCTCTCTCTAACCCAATATGATTTCTTTTTCTGAAAAATTCCCATCATATCTTGGGCCATACATAGGGTCCTAACATACTCTGCCCTGTATGTATGAGTTGCCTATAAACTTGTTGTATCTATTTACCTCTTCCAACTGATAATAGTTTACTTCTATTAGTTGCTTACTATGTGCTAGGCATTGTTCTAAGTACTTCGTGTATATTAACTCCATAATTCTTACAATAGCCTATGGAATAGGTACAATAATATCCATTTTACAGATGAGAAAATTGAAGTACACAGAGAGAAGTTAGATAACTTGCCCAG
Source organism: Homo sapiens (assembly GCF_000001405.40). Classification (NCBI taxonomy): domain Eukaryota; kingdom Metazoa; phylum Chordata; class Mammalia; order Primates; family Hominidae; genus Homo; species Homo sapiens. The sequence continues at coordinate 160,743,419 of NC_000003.12, forward strand.
TCACACACATTGTGTGTATGTATGCAAATAAACTTTTTAAAGAATAGTTTTAGGTTCATAGCATAATTGAGCAGAAGGCACAGAGATTTCCCATTTATTCCCTGCCTCTGTATATATACAGCCTCCCCCTACTATCAAAATCCACGCCAGAGTGGTACATTTGTTACAATCAATGAACCTACATTGAGACATTGTTATCATCTAAAGTCCATAGCTTACATTAGGGTTTACTTTTGGTATTAGACATTCTTTGTATAATGACATGTATCATACAGAATAGTTTTACTGCTCTAAAAATCGTCAGTGTTCCACTTATTCATTCTTCCCTCCTCACTGACCCCTAGTGAGCACTGATCGTTTTACTGATTCTGTAGTTTTTCCAGAATGTCATATAGTTGGAATCACAGGGTATATAGTCTGTCCAGATTGACTTCTTTCACTTAGTAATATGCATTTACATTTCCTCCACATCTTTCCATGTAATATTTGATAGCTTGTTTTTAATGCTGAGTAATATTCCATTCTCTAGATGTACCAGTTTATCTATTCACCTACTGAAGGACATCTTGGTTGCTTCCATGTTTTGGCAATTAAGACTAAAACTGCTACAAACACTTGTGTGCAGGTTTTTATGTTCACATAAGTTTTCAACTAATTTTGGTAAATACCAAGGAGTGCACTTGCTGGATTACGTGGTATGTTTCGTTTTGTAAGAAACTGCCTAACCGTTTTCCAACATGGCTATTCTGTTTCGCCTTCCCACCAGCAATGAATGACAACTCCTGTTGCTTCACATCGTCTCCAGCATTTGGTGTTGCTTTGTTTGGATTTTGGCCATTCCAATAGGTGTGTGGTGTGTTTTGAGTGGTGAAGATGGGTGCATATTCATTATTCTAGGGTGGAAATATAAGAGAGCAATAGAGTGGAGGCAGTGAACTCTTGTACAGGGAGCACTAACCCAAGAATGGCAATTTCTTCCATTACAGGAGGGCTCCCAACACCTTCTACCTGACTTTAGAATTGGCAAGTTGAAAGTCACCACAGGAATTATACTCTGCATGCTTACATTTTTGTTAACAACATTGGTCAGTGTGCAACTGCATATTTGTGAATGATTATATGTTAAAGGTCTTTCTTATTGCAAGCTCTGTGAAGAAAGGGTCGGTGTCTATTTTGCCTGGTTCCTAGTACAGTCCTGACATATGTTGCTAAGTAAGTGATAAATTTACAAATAGATGAATTAGCAAATGAATGAATTGTATCCTGCAGTGGTGAGAAAAATAGCTGGAGGACTGTACCCTTGAGCACAGCAGACTCTCATGCACACAGAGGCATGAAAAGCCTACTTCCCTGTTCTAAGCATGATGAAAAAGGCACAAATTATGAAAGAGTAAAATTGACTTTGTAAAAATAAATATAAACAATAACAAGAAATCAAATAAATCTCCTTATATTTCAAACATCATAAACAATGGAAAGGTAAATGACAAGATGGGGAAAATATATACTACCTGAATGATAGTTTTAGTACATCAACAGTTTTAACATTTCAGGAAAAAAAAAGACAAACACCCTAGTAGAAAAATGGACAAAGACATCTATTTTGTAAAGATGTTTGTTTTTGCAAAGAATTTCCCTCTGTCTGTAATGTAAGCTTAGTCTTAAGATAAAGTGAGCAAGAATGTAAATGTAAAAAAAAAATTTACAAATGAAAAAAATCTATATGGCCTTTAATGTTTTCTGTCTGCTAGTAAAATTAATCTTCAACTATTCCTGGGTGACTTAGTCTTTGACTTTCTTTTTGTTGCTATTCATGATTCAAAATCACACTAATTAGTTTTGCTATTTACTAGCAATGTTGGAGAGACTTTGAGTGGAGCTGAAATAATGATTTCAGAATAACTATCTTCATTCATTTATGAACATATATTTATAGTATGTCTACTATATTCCAGGGATTGTATTGGTGCTTGGATTACAATGGAGAGTAAAACAGATGCAGTTCCTGCTCTCATGGAGCATATAAACTAGTGAGAATGGGAAAAAAGACATTAATTTTAAAAATCCTAACAAATATATATTTATAATTCTGGTGAGCACTCTGAAGTACAGGTTGCCATGAGAGGGGGTGAGAAGGACTTCACTGTGATTGAAGAGTCAGGAAGGCTCTTGAGAGTGTTTTACAAGCTAAGATCTGAGGGATAATAGTTAACTAGGAAGAGTGTGAGTGGGAGAGCAGGCTTGGGAAGGTCAGTATTCCAGCTATATGGAACTGCATGAATAAAGGCCCTGAGTCAGGAGAAAGTTTGGTGCTTTATAGGAACTGTAAAAAAGCAAATGTGGCTGAAGAGGATGGACTGAGGTAGGAAGTGGCATGGAAAAGGCTGAGGAGAAGTTCACAGTAAAGATTTTTGTCTTTATTCTAAGAGCAATGACAAGTCTTCTAAAGTTTTTAAGTAAGATTGTTGCAGGATTAGATTTGTGACTTTAAAAAGAGTCACAGTTTTTTTATTTTTTCTTATTTTTATAATCTCATATCCATCCCCCACCTCCACCAGATATCTTCTCTGGCTGCTATAGGTACTGTGGATTGTAAGAAGGGAAAACTGACTACAGAGAAATAAATGGGAAGGCTATAGCAGTGTCCTAGGTGGGAAGTGATGGTCAATTGGATGAGAGCTATCATAACAAAGGTAGAAAGCAGTGCACATATTAGTGCTCACATATTGGCTTTATTGGTGGTAAAATCAACAGGGTTTGATGATTTGTTTATGGGGAATGAGGAAGATGGAGAAATGAAGAGTAACTTAGGTTTCTGGCTAGTGCAAATGGAGATGGGTGGTGCCATTTTCAGAGAGAGAGAGAGAGAGAGAGAGAACACTGGAGGGGGCCAACAGCTTGATTTCGAATGTGTTGACCTTGAAATTAGTTTAGCAGAAATGTTAATTATTTGGATGCAGAAGAGGAGAGGTCTGACTACAAAAATGTATTTAGGAGTTTATTAAGATTGTAACTGATTTTTTTCTTGGGCACAGATGGGAAGTTCTAGGGTGATAATAAAGTGAGAGAAAAGGGCTTTCAGTGAAATTTGGAAAAAATTCAAAATTTACTAAGGCATGCTTTCTTTTTCCTTCTTTTTGTATGTCCTTTTAATATTTTTACTTTAAAATTAAAATTGTTTTTTGTTCTCATAGTTGAGCTAATTTTTTTCAGAAAATTTCTGATTTTCTCTTATTTCTATAATGTCACATTCTCCCCACCCGCTGAATATTTTTCTCCTTGAGGTGAGCTAATTCAAAATTAGGCCACTCATTTTTTGGGTTATTACAGATAGTTCAGTAAATTATCTTTGGTTCTAAATTATTTGCTTAGGTTTGATTCCATCAGTTCAAATAAAACAAATCAGTAAATTAACCTGCAAGGTAAGCAAAGAAGAATGTTCCATTGCCCATCCATAGGCTTTTTTACATATTGCATTGCTTCAGAGATTTTGTTCTTCTCTAAATAGACATTGTGAGAGACATTAAATCAGGATGAGCCATCACAGTGTCTATCATCAGACTACATAGATGATAAGAACTCGGTATGAACAAATGCATTATCAGGCACAAAGAGAGCAGAGGAAATGAGATGAGAAGACCAAAGGAATAGCTGAAAAAAAATAAAGACTTTTGTCTACAGGATAATTGCATTTATTTTATTTTATTTGAAACAGAAGACTTCCTTCAGTAGCAAAAACTGCTCTGTGGTTAAAAAAAAAATTGGCAAGGAGATGTTTTTCCAGCAAGCCCTTAGCTTGCTTAGCTTGCAAGAAAAACAAAACAAAACAGATGACTGGAAGGGAGACCTGAATAAAAGGATAAAATCCATAAGGATAAAAGCGATGTGGATAGAAAACAAGTGAAAACTAGATTCTATCTCAGAAAAATATGCTTTTCTGTTACCTAGAATCTCTTCCCTCCCTCTCTCTCTGCCCCCCGCCCCCAGACAAACTGAAAACAAAAGTGGAAAGAGAGATGTAGATTAGTTGTAAGAAATACTTTCTTGTAGAAAAAAGGTGTTAAACATTGTATGTATTAGGCTAATAAAGGAAAGTCCCCAATTCCTTTCTTTAGTTGTTCTTAAAAGAAAAAGGCAATTTTGTTTGTCTTTCCCTGAAATATGGCTGCATTCCAGTAGACCAAGGAGGTTGTATAAGATAAAAAACCAATCAAACAAAAATGACTAGTCATTCTTCACTATTAGGTCTCTGACGTTATAAAAAATAGTAATAACAATAAATACTTTCCTTCTCCCCTCACTTAACTGAGCATTCATTTTCTTGACTTCTAGTAGATCTTTTCTTTCTTTCTAGTAGATCTACTGAAAAAAAATTATAAAAAGTAGTAATTGATTAATGCCACAGCATAATCTCAGGATGTGAGTGAAATGAAAGTCATCTGAGAACATTTAGAATGAGAAACTACATAGGCAAACAGATTAACTAGACCTGTGCTGGTGATGATTCTGATGTTTCCTTGGGATGTTGCAAGAAAGAAACAAACAAGCAGATGTCAAGAACACATGTTACGTGAGGGTTTGGTGCAGAAAACAAAAACAAAAACACATTAGGTTCTTGAAGAAGAAAGTTATTTAATACAGGGAATTAGGCACTCACAATAGCATTGCAAGGCTCTAAGCAGTTGAAATCAGGGGCTGTCATTAGGCAATGGCTCAATTTCCACAAAACTGGAGACTAGAAAGGGGAACCTGGCTGGGTGCTGTGGCTCATGCCTATAATCCCAGCACTTTGGGAGACCAAGGCAGGTGAATTGCTTGAGCCCAGAGTTTGAGATGAGCCTGGGTAACACCTGTGCCTGGGGAGGTTGAGGCTGCAGTAATCGGGTCACTGCACTCCAGCCTGGGTGACAGAATGAGACACCATTTCAAAAAATTTTAAAAACAATAAATACATAACTAAAAGGAAAGAGAACCTGATTTGGCCACTCAAACACTCAGTTTACCAGAGCTTGGCCAGCAGCCAGCAGAGCTGTAGGAAAAATAGTTTCTGTCTCTTCTCTGCATTCCAAATCTCACACAAGGTCATCTCATCAGTAAAACCTAAATTACAGTAAAAATTCCAGCTGGAAGGGATTCTGGAAAACGTAGTTTTTGTTCTTTAATTTTCATGATTGGAAGGGAGGGAATTTAGATGGAGGTAGAAATGGATGTTGAGATTCAATAGACAATATCTAGAACACACATATTCCTCCAGCAGAAGAGTGTTGCCAGTCTGTTGTTAAACATAGGCACTATGAAAATTAAATTATGTAATTTGTAATTAAGTAAACTATATTAAAGACAAAGGTAATAAATATTAATCACCTCTTATTTTACATTTTGATACTACTTATGTTCTTGATGTTATTTACATCTATCATGTCCATTTGATGGCAATATTGTATAATAGTGGGCTACTGAGCAACTATTTCCAGCTTCGTGGTCAGTGGTACAGTTTGAAATCAACCATGGTGAGAGGATTTCTACCATGGAAATTGGCAAACACAGCAGAGCTGAGTCTTTACCTCCTCTTCCTAGAGGTCAGGTGGTTAAACATTTACTTGCACAACACTGGTTAAATGTATTAGAGGAGTTGTATAAGAAGAAGAAAAATAAGGCAATTAAGAAGTTGTTTTCAGGTAGCTAGGAATAGGAGGGTCACAATGGGAATAATAGTTCATGATCAAGAAAAAGACTGGGAAATAGAAAGTTACTGGTAATTAGAATTTAGGGCAGTAAGTGTTTGTTATACTTGACCTTGACTAATGCCTGTCACTTAAAGCTTTAGCAATTACAGTATATTTAGTCTCAGGAGCAGGATTGAAGATATCTGGTCAACCTCTGACAGCTCCAAGGCTACATGATTGAAAGAGTCTTCTCCATATGTAGGATAGGCATGAGGAGTTTGTGGTAATTAAAATCCTTTACAATTATGATATCATTTGGGAACTATTTATTGAAGTATAACAGTTTGGGAGGGAGCCATGTGTGTTTTGAGTAGATGGAGAGAGGCGAGGAGCCTTTTAAGGAGTTCCTCATCAGCACAGGTATGGCTGGGGAAAATAGATTGAACAGCGACTTTGCAAGCAATGCCCTGGTGAATTTGGGTTATGGCTACAATGTAAGAAGCCATCATAGGCTACTTGGGCTCAGGTAGCAATGAATGAATGTTGGAGGTTACTAAGGCACCATAAGATCTAGGAAAGAGGAACTCTTTTGAAAGTGCCATGGAAGTGGGACATATGTCTTAGTTTTACCTGTTTGTAACCTTAGATCACGTAATTTTATTTTGGGGCATAACAACATTTACCTCAAGTATCATATATAGAAATCAACTCTAAAGTTAAATCCTGTGTGACTAAAGATTTTCTGCAGTCCTATCAAGCAAGCATCTTAAGAGGTAAAAAACAGAAAGGTTTTGTGAATACTTTTACATATTAAAACTACTCAGTTTCCGAAATTTAGTGTTTCTAACAGTGCACCCAACATAAAACAAATGTTTTCAATGGGAACCATTTGGGGAACATAGAAAAACTGGAGGGAATACAAATTATTCTCAGGGTGCTCAGAGAAGCCATCAGAAAAATTTGGGTATAAGAATGGGATATTAACATTAATTTACCTTGATATAATACAAATGGACATCAAGCTTGAATTAACACCAACAATTCTCAAGGGCTCAATTCTCACTGTTCTGTTGGGCTATGAAACAGAGTTAGTTGTGTTCCTGAGGCAATTTTTCTTCTTTCTGAATTGCACTAAAGAAAAAAAAAAAAAAAAAAAGCCCCTACCTCCTATGGAAAGAAACAAAATTTTATCTTTCCACTTGTATTATTTCTTACATCCACTGCAAAAGAATTGTTCAATTATTCACAATGCTTCATGTTATAAATTAGCTAGAATATTGATGTGTGTCAATTGGTATACAAAAATTTAGGAAATGCTTTAGATTAACATTAAAATTTAGGAACCTTGTTTGAAGATTATCAGAGAAAAGCCTAGGGGAATCAGATGACGGATTCTTAGGCTATGTATGGTTTGTGTATACAGAGTTAATGCAATGATATAAAAGTTTTATTCAGAAAAAAACTATCTTCGATATATCTCTGTAATTAATACAAAAACTTGGGTATTAGAAACATTCTTGTGTTTTTGGAGTCCAGTGAAATAAAATCATATTCCACCCCAAAATAATTGGTGTCTGTCATGTGAGTTCTTTGTTTGATAGAACCCCAGAGATATTAATGTAAATCTAAATTGATATACTATTATACTTAAAGTGATGAATTTTTTTCTTAGCTATACTACTAAAACATTCATTTTTCACTTGAAGGTCATTGACATTTTTTATTTTTATGTAGTTATTTTAAAACATTTTTACTGATATGTGGACAGGCATTTAAAACAAGATTTAGTATTAAATTTTGCATCTAGAAAGGTTTTATGAAAAGAATTGAAGACTTAATATGGTTTAATAGACATGATCATGGATAACTATTTACTAAAGGACCAAATTGAAAACTACTTTAAAACATAATTTAGATGATCCTTTTCATTAAGGAGCTTTGATTACATTGTTGGTTAGACTGCAAAAGGGAACAACACATTTTCAAAAACAATTTGGCCTTAAGTTGTAAAGTCGAACATTTTCATTCTCTATGATTAAGTAATTTCACTTCTAGGTATCTACCTAGAGAAACTTTTGCATATGTGCACGAAGAGATAATACAAGAGTAATTCAAGAAATTATTGATCCTAATAGTAAAAACTTGGAAATTTGAACATCCACAGAAGATGAATACATAACTTATGGAACAGTCACACAATGGAGTATTACATAGCTGTAAAATGACTGATTTACAGCTATATGTAACAATATATAGCTATATGCAACAACATAGGAGGATCTAGAAACTTAATAGTGAGAGAAAAAAAACAAGTACCAGAGGACTATATACAGTAAGATACCATTTTTTGTAAGGCTCAAAACCAAAACAAAACTAAAAAATGTATTACTTAGGGATGCAGACATATATGATACAGTTATTTTTTAAAAGGGCAAGGCAGGAGGCTGAGGTGGGTGGGTTGTTTGAGCTCAGGAGTTCGAGAACAGGCTGGGCAACATGGCAAAACCCCATCTCTACAAAAAATACAAAAATTAGCCAGGTGTGGTGGCATGTGCCTATAGTCCCAGCTACTTGGAAGACTGAGGTGGGAGGATTGCCTGAGCCAAGATCGCATTAAAAAAAAAAAAAAGGCAAGGGGATAGTAAAACATAAAATTCAGGATAGTAGGCTACCTGTGGAGAGGACAGGCATGGAGGTGGGATAGGGGAAGAACTAGGTTGGTATGAAGATATTGGTAACACTCTAGTTTTTTGGTTGGGTGTTCTGTGTTCATGCATGGTTGTTGTATTTCATAACAATACTTGCATGCTCTTTTATATGTGTCCTTTAAAAGGTTATACATACATAGGTATATATTAATAGAATGTCAGTAAGAGAGTCCTACTTAATACCTACTACATATTTGCATACAGATGGCAGGAACAATTTAAGAATATAAATCAAAGTGACAACTGAGAAATTTAAAACTGTGCAGAGAATTTCTATGTGTATAAAAGTTTCATATAAAATTTACTTGAAAGGATTTTAAAAATCATATTTATCATTCAGAGTCTCAGCAGATAAGTCACTTTACATTTTGTTTTTATGAGACGGGGTCTCATTCTGTCACCCAGGCTGGAGTGCAGTGGTGCAATCACAGCTCACTGCACTGTCCGCCTCCCGGGTTTAGATGATCTTCCCAGCTCAGCTTCCTGGGTAGCTGGGACTACAAGCACATGCCACCATTCCTGGCTAATTTCTTGTATTTTTAGTAGAGACAGGGTTTCACCTGTTGTTCAGGCTGGTCTCAAACTCCTGGGCTCAAATGATCTGTCTGTCTTGGCCTCCCAAAATGTTGGGATTACAGGCATGAGCCACTTTTTATCATGTTCTATGAGGTGATAAAAAATAAAGTAGATAAGGACATCCTAAAACAACATCATACTAGAAAACAGATTTATTGGTTATCAAACTCCATTTTAAAGACTTTTTAAACCTAAGAGCTACAACTCTGAAATATTTTTGAGAATAAATTATTTTTAAAAGCTATATATTTTTTATATACTTGCAAGGCTGACATGGGTTAATTGCAAAGCAGAAAACAGTAATTGCCTGTAAACAGTTTGATCACTATTGTTATATCCCATGAAAACCTAGGATTGCCATTAATTCTCTGTTCATTACCATGTCACTTGCAATGGCAAAGTATTTGTATAATGCATATTTTTTGGTACCTCTTTCCTCTGTGAAATTTTGACACTATTTTACTTTAGCAACAGATCTCTTACCTGTTTATTAAAGAAGTACACTTGCACCTGTTTTCTGCCCCACAGGTATTCTCAATGGGTGAGGTAAATACTCATGGTGAAGTGCTTATCCCAAAGGCTAAAAACAGAATTGTGGAATAAGAATACATGCATTCTTTTTGAGATTTCTGTAACAGAAATCTGGTGAAATATTAGTGGAGAAGTGTAAAAATTAATCATCTCAGTATCACTGCACAGTAATGGATGTTAAGAGTACTGAACTGGTAATCAAAAGAACTGAGTTTGAATGTATAACCTCTTATTTGCTGAACAGTGATATTCGCTTAACATCTTTGGGCTTCGCTTTCCTCATAAACAGATAATAACTTCTATCTTCCTCAGAGGATTGTTAGGAGAATGAAAATAACATTGCCATATATGAAAAAACCTTCATAATCCTCACAAATATGCAAATATTAGTTTGTCACTAGAGGAAGGTCTTTTTTCTTTTTGTAATATATTAATATTCACAGTAAACTATAACAGAGTTTATTTAGGCATTTTTGGAAATTGCCACATAAACCACATGAAGTTTTTAGTAAGAAAATGCCTATAGGGTCTGCATGAAAAAATATTTTATTGATTTTCACGGATGAACACTTAGATGTAAATGTCAAAGCATATTTCCACCAAATCTTCAGGATATTTAGCTTTATTAATTAATTCATCAAGTCAAACCTTGCTATGAAACCTCCAGGGAGATCATCAGTATGGTAATCTCTCTTCTTAGTTATGGGGGAAGCAGAAGTCATGTCTCTCATGAGTGTCTGTTCTGCTCTCATCAATATAGGAATGTAGTGGACAGACTGGATGGGCCTTTGGGTTTGGAATTTTACTGCTACTCCAGGGCCTAGTTTGATTTGTAGTTCTGGAATCTTTATCAGCTTATCTGCAAGTTGCCTTTGCCACAGTGAAACGAATCCATGTACAGAAAGACTGACAATGCACCCAAAAGTGATTTGATAATTTACAGTAAGAAATATTGTAAACTTATCTTCAAAATAATACTAATGCATTACTTTTCTTTATAGTTCCCGAAGGCTTTTAAATTCATTATCTCATTTTGGAACCTCTTGGCTATTGAACAGGATGACTGAATTTATTTTAAACTGTTTCTCTATTTATCAGATGAAAATACCTGAAAGGTAAAGCAGGACAGGAGACTATATCCTAGTTGTGAAAAATAACATACTGTTAGCAGTTCTTCATATCTCCTTCCTGTCTTTTGTATGCATGTTTATACTATTGAGATTATATTGTATGTGCCATTTAAATGCTTACGTTTTCATTTTTTCTGCTTATGGTGGAAATATATGGCCTTTGTAGAAACTTTAGAAAAGTTGTGGAAAATAGACAAAAGTCTAAAGCAGAAAATGAAAGCTGCATATAATCTACTACTGTACGCATGATTAACCACTGGGAACATTTTAGTGTATTTCCTTCCAGGACTTCTTATTATTTTGTATTTTTAGAAAAGGAATGGGGATCACACCAAGGCAGAAGTGCTTGCTGGGGGACAGACACTGGCTTGGCTGGGATCAAGTAGCCTCTTTCTGCTCTCCAGCCCAGCGGACTGGAAGCAGCAGATCAGCACTCTTCTTCCTGGACAGGGGTAATGAGAATGAGTATTTTCCTTTAAAGCTCACTTGTTTCCGTATTCTAAGCGGACGCGAACATTGTTCTTTTCTCGTGCTTTCCCACTTTCAAGACCCACCAACACCTGCCTGCCCACATTTCGAGTTATCTTCGTCGGCTCCTGCAAGCCCGCACTCTTCTCCGCGGTGGCTACTCTCCGCTCATCCAGACTCCCGCCCTCACTGCGCCTTCTTCCTGCGATGACCGAGGAGGTGGTGGGAGACCACCACTTGCGAGCTTCCAAAGGACTTTCAAACCTGAACCGCAGAGTCAGAGCCCTCGCGCCGTAGAAAAGTCAGGAGCGCCCCGGGGCCCCCATCGGAAGCTTCGTGCCTTCCCGTGGAAAGGTCGCGAGCAGGGAAGGCCTTCGTGGCCACTGAGTCCCCTACTCCAGGGGCGGCGGCCGCTCTCCGAAAGAGCGGCCCTTCTCGTCCCTCCCGAGGTTATCGTCAGAGTGCACTTCCTTGGGGAAACAGAGGTCATTCTGTCGAGTCCCCCCTTTCTGCTGTTCTCGGGAGGGAGAAGGCTGCTGGACCCAGGCTCGCTCCCCGCCTCTCGGGAGATCCGGGAAGGCCTCTATTGCTGAACGCCGAGACAGCGGCCAGCGGCCCGATCGTCTCCCTACCGCTTTGCAAGCCGGGAGAAGTGCGTCCCTTCTCGCTTGCCTTATGGCTGGCGAAGCGGGGACCGCACTATAGTGCAGCCGCCGAAGGGGGGAACGCTCACGTATGGCTCTCGGCTTCCCAGTGAGCAGCAATAGTTCCTGGAAAACCAACGCTAAGACTACCGGGGTCAGTATTAGCTTGTCTTAGGAGCCGGCACAGGGGGAAGGAACAACGATTCGCAAGAGCTAGGCAGCGGACCTCCCTCTTTTCTCCCCCTTGGCTGTCCTGGACCGCATGGGGCTGCGAGCCCGCACCGGCGGCCGCGGAACTTGCTCAGCCTCTGACAGCTGGGTGGGAACACCTCGGGGTGTCGAGTCCCGACTCAAGGGGCGGGACGGGGCGGGGCGAGCGCGCGGGGGGCGGAGCGCGCGCGAGCCGGGACGCGAGGAGGGAGCGCGCGAGTGAAGCCGAGCTGAGCCGAGCCGATCCGAGCCGGGAGGTGCCTGGGAGAGGCAGGCAGAGCCCAGCCGGCCGCCTGCGGCTCAGTACCGACCGTGCCGCGTCGCCGGGCTCTGCGTACCCCTGTCTCTGCCCAGGCTCCCGCAAAACTTTTATTCTCTGGGGCCCCCGGGGTGTGTGAAGGAATTGGAACCTTCCGCCATCTCCGCGCTCCCCTTCGGCGGCGACCGAGGGGACCTGCGTCCCTCGTCCGCCGGGCTCTGGAGCCCTGCGCCTCACCTGCTGATCGCTCTCCGGAGTCTCGAGGGGGCACCCCCGGAGGGACCGCGCGGGCGCCGGCGCCCCTGAACTCTCCCGCTCACCGCGGCAGACCCGCCCAGCGCAACTTTAACTTGATTCTTCTTGCCCAACCGGGGCACCAGCGGCTGCTGCTGCGGCGGCTGCTGCTACCGCCGCCGCCGCGGTCTCACAAAGGGGCTCAGGGAAGGGAGGCGGCGCGGGCGGCAGGGACGGGCCTCCGGGCCGCCGAGGCGGGGAGACAAAAGGGAAGCTGCCTCTGCTCGCGCTGCCTGCTCGGAGCCGCTTGCTCGGCTGCCTCTGGCTGGGCTCCGCGATCCTCTCCCCCACCCTCGGGCACTGCTCCGCCTCCCTCCCGGCGGGCTGTCCCCGCAGTGCTCCCGGACCCGGCGAGCCTTCGGGGCGCGCGTCGCTGGTGGTGGTTGAGGCTCTAGCGATAATAAATGATAGAGGATACAATGACTTTGCTGTCTCTGCTGGGTCGCATCATGCGCTACTTCTTGCTGAGACCCGAGACGCTTTTCCTGCTGTGCATCAGCTTGGCTCTATGGAGTTACTTCTTCCACACCGACGAGGTGAAGACCATCGTGAAGTCCAGCCGGGACGCCGTGAAGATGGTGAAGGGCAAGGTAGCCGAGATCATGCAGAACGATCGACTCGGGGGGCTTGATGTGCTCGAGGCCGAGTTTTCCAAGACCTGGGAGTTCAAGAACCACAACGTGGCGGTGTACTCCATCCAGGGCCGGAGAGACCACATGGAGGACCGCTTCGAAGTTCTCACGGATCTGGCCAACAAGACGCACCCGTCCATCTTCGGGATCTTCGACGGGCACGGGGGAGAGGTAGGAGCTACCCCGGGGCTTTGTATTTGTGTCCGTGTATGTCTCGTGTGTGTGTGTGTGTGTGTGTGTGTGTGTGTGTGTGTATAAACAACAGGACAGCGTGTGCGCAGCGGGAGAGGATCTGGGTGCGAGGGGCGTGGTGATGACACCACGGTGCCTGGCTGGACAAATGCGGCTCAAGTTGCCAAAAGCACTGCTGGATCCAGACTTCTTGGTGCTGAGGGTCCACTTTAGGGAAAGGAGAGTCATCCACAGCATATTTGTTGCTACTTAATGTGAGGTTCCCAAGGCCGGAACCCAGAAAACACTGTGCTAGTTTAGCAAGGAGAATTAATGGTATCTCCAGTGAACTTTGGTCCCAGACCCCAGTGCCCTTGTTCTAGGGTTTGAGCTGAACTAGGCACAGAGAAGGAAGACAATATCTTATGCTTCATTAGGCAAACAGGCTATATCTGCAGAGCGAGCTCATTGAGGGTGAAGGAAGCTGTGACTCCTTCCCATCGCCTTCACTCTAGGGAGGAATCCGAGGGGCAGCTCTGCGCTTCTTTCCAACTCTATCAACTTTACAAGTGCAATCGGGCCAATTGACAGGAGCGCCTCGCTGGCCGCTTGTTTTCACTAGGATCTCAGAGCGGGACCTAGATGTCCCTGGCCTTTGCAGAGGTGGCTATGCCCGCAAAGGAGGCGGTGCTTTGACCTCACCCTTGCGCCCTGGCGGGCTTAGGGGTGCAGACGTCGTCCTGCTTCTAGATTCCTTTGTTTGTGGTTCATCTGGAAGCAGGAGATAGCTAGAGGCCAGTTCAGTTCCCTCTCCCACATTTCTGTGGCACCCGGGTTGTGCGCTGAGGCCCAGGTTTCCTGGAGGTTAGGCAAAGCTTGGCTCTGGTCCTTGCGCATTGGCCCAGGCAAAGTGAGAGGCAAATGTGGCTCTAGCGCCATGCTCCAAAGAACACTGGGCCAATCACCCCATCTCTCAAATTGGCGGTTTGTAACGGGTTCATTGCTGCATACTCTTTGTTTTCCCTTTTGGCAGCATACTTTTCTTATTCTTAACCCCTTCCTGTTTTTGATTACACCCCTCCCCCGAACTCCCATACAAGTTTTCCCCCAACTTTCTTCTCTGCCCTCTGATCTCTGGGTAGGCTGTAGGGAACTGCAGGGACTGCCATTCTTTTTCAAGCATTTGCTTGTTCTTTGGCCTTTGTTTTGGGTAAACATTGAGAAAGCTTTCAACTGGATATCTTATCCGCATTCCTTACCCATCACTCTGCTAATCTTTTCATGCTACTGTGCCTACCTACCTTGTAGAACCAACTTTGCCAAGAATGACAAACTTAGTAGAAAAACTCATTTGGTAGAACTGAAATCAGTTTTTGCCATTTTCCATCCACTCTAGCTTTTTTTATATTGTTTTTTCAGAATGCAGGTTTCTCACTGGTTGTAAATTTGTAACCTCTTGGGTAGTGTCGGGGTCCCCTCCCCTTGGTCACAGAGTAAGTGAAAGATATAAAATTAATTGAGGGAAAAAAGGCTGTGTACATGGGCAAAAACATATCTTAATGACAAAGTTGCCAGTATAATGGCTGATTTGTCTTCTTGGCTTGAAGCAGACTATCTGTATTTTCATTTTTTTGTGCCTAAATTCAATGAGGGTGAAGGAAGCTGTGATTCCTTCCTTTGTAAATCATTTAACAAGCTTATATTTATTATATATTTTTATATTAAAATTGGTGGCTGGTGATAATCTGCTTCTGGTCTTAGAAAGCACAGTTTTAATTTTATTAAAGATTTGGTTGTAATAGTAATGTGGTGAAATTTTGGGTTGTGGTTGTCTGGGTGTGATGCATTGGCATAGTTTCAGCCTTGGGCTAAAAAGGTGTAAGTGATTGGGTGATTTAATTTTTTTTTCTTTTAAGTTGATACTGTAAAACCTGAAAGTTGCAGACCAAAACACTTTTCAGGTTGAAAAATTTCTAGTAGTATCTTGTGGTAAATGTACCATCCAGAAAAGGGACACGATAAATGCTTTTATTTTACTAAAAGTATTTTACACGTACATGGCTTGTCATTAAATTTTTTAACTGCAAATGAAAAGATGATAATCTTTAGCCAAACCATGAAATACTTTTCTTTGTGCCTTACATTAAAAAGCATGCTGTTTGCAAAATAATTGATATTATCAGTACTCTGAAAAATAGAGTATTTGTTCTGTTCATAATCCCTTATCGTATGTAGCCAGTTAGTTCATTTTGGCTTTGTTTTAGGGCAAAATAAGGAAAGTGCTACAAAAGGAGTTACTTAATTGCTATTGGGAGTATAACAGTGACAAATAATATTAGATAATTTCTCTTGCTTTTTCTTTATATATCATTCAAAATCCTACCATCTAATTCTTGTGTGTTGTTTAGCTCCTTTAACATTCACCAGAGGAGGGTGCCACTGTTTGATTTTAGTATAGATGATGTTAGCTCCTGTCACAGAAGAGGAAGCTTTTTCTGAACTTTCTATTATTTATGTATATTCTAGCTCTAGAATGGTGCAGACGATAAATGAGGAGTTTAATTTTATTTCTAATAACTCACACTAGTAAGATAGACCATCAAAAACTAGGGCCCGTCTGTAATTGTAGTACTCTTTAGATGCAGAGGAGACATTACCTTGTATATCCTTGTACATCCATTTCATCTGTGTATATCAATTTCATCCCTCACCCTTTTTTTTTCTTTTAAGCTGAGATGCTGATAGCTGGAGAAGTTGTGACCTTCCTAAGGCTATGTGGCTAGTTCAAGGCCTTCAGTTTGTTGATCTCTATATGAAACCACTGGACAAATTGGCTTGAATATTTACCTAGATAGATGGTGCCCTGGGGATACAAGGGTGAATGAAATATAACCCCTATCCTCAAAAAGTTTCAGTCTAGTGAGAGAGATAGACCTCTACACCAAAAATTATAGTCATGGTGCGCTTAGAGTGTTACGGTGACACAGAGGAGGGACATTTAAATCAGACTGGTAGGTAGGAAGGCCCAGGAAAAAACGCCTTGAAGGTATTGTTTACTTCAAGATTAGCAGCATAGGTTTTGACTTGAGATCTGGCTTTGAATCTGTGCTCTGCTTTATTCTAGCTGCGACATTGGACAAGTTGCTGAAACAGCTTTATCTGGGAGTTTATTATCTAAAAAATAGGGATAATAATGCCTGTAAGGTGCACCTTCATCAGTTGTATTATACCCTGTCTAGAGAAGTACCTAAAGGAGAGAAGGATATGGAAGAGGAAAGGCCAAGAAGACCAAGAAGTCTGCAGTGCTGGGGCAGCACTATTCAAGGGAGAGAGACTCTTCCTGTGTGAGCCACAACTTTTATCTCTATGAAGATGTATGTAGTGCAGGGATAATTTATTAGCTATCCCCCAAACTCTCTATATCTCAAGGTTCTAACTTTCAGTGGACTCCTGATTACTAATTCAGGATTTCAGTTATCCAGATATTTGAGAAAAGTGTGTCATGGCTTTAGGTGTAAATTTTCTTACTAGTCAAAAGGAATATTCTCTATGATTAATTAAGAAATTGGTATTCTGATTTGTACTTCAGCCTCTTATGATTTGGGTTACCATGAGTTAGTTCTCTTGAGCATATTTAACTGTGAATTCTTCGGCAAAGATATGTCTCTGGACTTTTTATGCTGAGGACCAGACTCTCTAGGGCTGTGGCTTCTTCTAGATGGATGAGATTTTAAAGAGCCTTATCTCAGTGGTCCTACAGGCCAGCTTCCTCCCTTGATTCTAACCATGATACTGTGTGTGGATGGTTCACAGTGTGTGTATGTGTCTAAAGGTATGGCAGTGATTGTCTTCTTATATAACAAGATTAAAACAACAAAAAGGTAAAAAGGAGCTCGTTATATAAATTGATGTAGAAAGATTATTTTAAGATAAAAATGATTTTTGTCTAGGAAAATCATTGTTTTTGTGCTTACTTGTAATTTTTATCTACAGGCAAAAGGTGGTTTTTTTTTTGTTTTTTTTTTTTAATACCATCTAGAAGAAATATCACCAAATCCTTTGGCACCTCTATCAATGTTCATGGCTGAAGCCTAGCTAGAAGAATAGATTGTTATGTGCTCCATATGTTCATGAGCACTACTCTATTAAAGGTCTTATGTATCTTGATAATTGACACACAGCTTGGCCAGTGGTTAAAGCCCAGAGTTCCACATTTTGCATGAGGGAGAAGCCATACTTCAAGCGCTTGCCAGGGACTGCAGTCTTGAGGCTCAGCACTTCTCAGAAGCTCAGAAAATAAACTCCTTATGGAGGGTTGCCTGAAGAATATATATATAGTCTTATTCTTTAGATCAGTGGTTCTTAACTTTTCTTGAGTCATGCTGCTCTTTGAGAATGTTATGAAACTACAGACATATTCCCCAGAAAAAAGGACATGCATATCAAATTTTCTTTGTAGTTTCAGAGACAAGTGGATGCATGAAGCCTCTGAATTTCAGATTAGTCTAGATAGAATAAAATCTGTTTTTGATGCATCTAGCTCTGCAAGGAACTGTGTATCTGAACCCCTTGCTTGGCCCTCCTGCTTTCCTCTCCATCATTTGCTTTTATTGAATTGTTTGCTGTCATTTGCCTGTGAGGGTTGTTTGGAGGAATAGTCTCCTTAGCTCTGAGAAATAACTGCAAGAATGTTGTTGAGGAAATCATTTATTATATTATATAGTGTCATTTTAATGAGGACCAAGGGAGAAATAGTACTCTATTACCTATTTATCTTAAGGATGCTGAATTATGTAACTGATTGGGCCATCCTGGGTTTGTTGGCTGCTACAAGTATTAAGAGCCAAACGCCTGACCTACCTCTAGCAAATGTGCAGACTTTTATGGAATACATTCATCTGGTACATGAACCTCACTCCTAGGACAGTTTATCTTTCCTACACTCAATTTTCCTTTATCCCATTTGTATTAGCCCGTTTTCATGCTGCTGATAAAGACATACCCAAGGCTGGGAAATTTACAAAAGAAAGAGGTTTAATGGACTTATAGTTCCACGTGGCTGGGGAAGCCTCACAGTCATGGCTGAAGGTGAAAGGTGCATCTCACATGGTGGCAGACCGGAGAAGAAGAGAGCTTGTGGAGGGAAACTTCCCCTTATATAATTATCAGATCTTGTGAGACTTATTCACTATCATGAGAACAGTATGAGAATGACCTGCCCCAATGTTTCAAATTACCTCTCACTGGGTCCCTCCCACAATATTTGTGAATTCAAGATGAGATTTGGGTGGGGACACAGCCAAACCATATCACCATTTTTCTCTTCTCTTAGATATGTCATTTTAGCTTGTATTATATGTATTTATGTAAGTTTCATTGACTCCTTCTGAAATAAGATACACTTCTGAATAAATAAATTATGACTGGCACAGTGAATGATCTGCTTTTCAGACATTATAGCTACTGTTAGTAAATGTTCGGCTTTCACATTATGATGTATAAGAGGCCTAGGGATTTAGTATGGACAAATGCCTTATGGTTTAAGAGAAGATTCTGATTATTTTGGTTTAAAATGGCACATTAAAGTTTCTGCAAAAAATTTTTTTTTCAATGAAACCCTCCTTCCTATGCCTGTGCTTAAAGACCTTTTTGTATGGGAATGTAGGAACCTGACTGCTGACCTTGCTGCGTCTTCTGAACAGGTTGTTAAGAAATTCAGTTCAATTAAGCCAACATTTTCTGTATAGTTTGGCACCTGTGAAAAGCAGTGTTATGTTCTATGTGATGTCTAAAGATGATTTGGTGCATTCTGTGTCCTCAGGGAGCATTCTGTCTACTTGGAGAGATGAGCTTTTTTTAAAAAAAATAGCAGAGTTACAAGATGCCTGCCACCTACAAGTGTGTGATGGCTTGACTGAAGGAGCTTGGGAAATTTTGGATAATTTTGAAGAGGAACTGACATTTAATTGTATCCTAGCATTTCTGTAGACAGCGATTGGGTGGAGAAAGGAGGGGAAGATGATATTAGAGATTGAAGAAAAAATATGGAAATGGTACAGAGGAAATAAAATGCAGGCACCGTTGGAAGAAGGCAGGTAGTCTTATTTGTCAGGAGTAGGCTTTCCCCAACGGTAATCATTCTAGAAGCTCATTCATTATTTTTTTCCATATTCAAGTACCCTCTGTGTTTTGATATACTAAACTTATTTTTAAATTAACTGTTTTTTTAATGTTAAGTATATTTATTTGAAAAAGAAACTTCATATCAGCACCGGGAGTGGAAAAATCCATGAAATGAAATTCTTGGCCTTTAACCTGCTGAGATGCTGTCTCCATCTTGATGGAGCAGAATGATTCTAAAAAGATTTATCTCCTAGTCTCTGGTTGTCTCTAGAGTTCCTCTATCCTCCTCCCCTTGCTTTTTTATGAGGAGAAAAGGTGGCTTTTAAAATTTAATTGCCAGCCATAATTTGAAGCAAGGCAGCCTGCTTGCTCCCTTTGCAGGTGGAGAGCACTTCCAGTGATGCCACTTTGTGAGGAGCTCAGGTTTGGAGTATCCCTTTCCGCTGTGACTCATGTGGCAGAGAAGATTTTATTTGTATCATGCCTCCATGGGAAACACAGAGTTATGGGCAGTGTTTCAGCATAGATTCCATCCTCATTTTTAATGCAGGTAAATGGGAAGAGATTATAGGAATAAAACTGATATTTTTCTAGCTAGTTTAAAAAAATAAATAATTCACAACTAAGGTACTTGAACCATTATGGATAACACATTGCTTGTGACATAACTTACAATGACAAAAATATACCAGCATGCTAGGTCCCCCTGTTGAGCCATGGCCTGGGGTTTGGGATACACACAGGTGAGGAGAGTGGGAGATGCTGCTGGAACTATTAGCACTATTATTGAAGCTGTGCTGAGGAGCCTGGGCCATGTTCTGTATATATTGGAGAACTACTGTATAGGAATGGCATAAATTCCATGCTTTAGTAATCCTGTTCCTCCAAACTATGTGGAGGATTGATTTGAACTAACAAGATAGAAGTATGGGGGGAGAGGGTCAATTGGGAAGCTTGAGACAGAGCAGTGAAGATGAAACTCAGGAGCGTGGGCCATTGTTGAAAGAGAGGGAGAGGATGTGATGGGAGTGGATAACTCTTGAGGTGGTAAGACTGATGTCAGGGTTTGCATAACTTTTGTTACCATTTTAGTAATTCTACTTAATGAATGTCAAAATAAATCTACAGCAAAGCCAAATATATTTTAAAGTAAACTAATTTTAATATTATAAAAATAATATGACTCCATGATAGATATTACAGAAAAGAAGAAACATTCCTCCAAATCTCATTACCCTGTCACATCTACTGTTACATTTTTGGTGTATTGCTTGCTGGTCATTTTGTTTGTTTGTTTGTTTCTTTTTTAGGGGGTGGGGTGGGCAGGATCTGGCTTTGTTGCTGAGGCTGGATTGCAATAGCACCATCATAGCTTACTACAGCCACAAACTCCTGGGCTCAGATGATCTTCCTGCCTCAGCCTCATGAATAGCTGGGACTATAGGCATGTGCCACTGTGCCCAGCTTCACCTTTTTTAAAACAATATGCATTTTAAATATAATTTTACATAATTATAAAAATATACATATGTAGATTTAAATCTTGTTTTTCTTTGTATAATTCTATAAACATACTGTCATTTTGCTCTATAATGCTTTATATTTGATTTGTTATTTATTTTAATTCTCCCTCTCTCTCTCTCTCTTTTTTTTTTTAAGACGGTGTCTTGTTCTGTCCCAGGCTGGAGTGCAATGGCACGATCTAGGCTCGCTGCAAACTCTGTCTCCTGGGTTCAAGCAATTCTCCTGTCTCAGCCTCCTGAGTAGCTGGGATTACAGGCACCCGCCACTATGCCCAGCTAATTTTCATATTTTTTAATAGAGATGGGGTTTCACCATGTTGGCCAGGCTGGTCATGAACTCCTGACCTCAGGCAATCTGCCCCCCTCGGCCTCCCAAAGTGCTGGGATTACAGGCATGTGCCACCACGCCTGGCCTATTTTAATTCTTTATATTTATATTTTGAGTGTATTTTTTAGTGATAGAGCAATATTTTATTGAGTAGATATTTGAGAAATTACTCAACTGCTTCCTTATTTGTATACACTTAGGCTCCTCTAACTTCTTACCATTGTAAATACCATTGTAATAAATATTTTTGTGTTTCTACTGTACTTTGGATTATTTCTCTAGGGTGGGTTTCCAGAAGTGGGATTTCTGGATCAAAGGAATAAAGGAGAAGCCACCATTATTGATGGTAATAACAATTGCTAACATTTATTGAGTATGTATAATATGCCAGGCAGTATTTATAAAGTACTTTACATATGTTATCTAATTTTAATTCTGATAAGAGTTTATGAGGTAGGTACTATATTATCCCCCATTTTGTAGGTGTAGAAATTAAGGCACTGAGAGGTTAAGTAATTTGCCCATGGTCTCTCACAGCTTGTGGGTGGTGAAACTAGGGTATGAAACTGCCATTCAGACTTAGAGCTCCCTGTCTCCAAAGCCTGTTCCATCAGTTTTTGGTTGAAGCCCTACAGATCTCCTAATTTGGTCAATGAAGTGCTGATAACATTGTTATGTGGACACTGCCTAGTCTTCTCGATTTGCTTAGTGGGACTTTGGTTTTCTCATATGACTGTGACAGTTGTGTCTCTGTGACAGGTGGTGGTGTTTTTGAAAACCCTATGCTGCTAACCTTGGTAGGTTGATCTTGTAATTACCTAGAAAAGTCCTGTAGTTAAAAAAGATTGGGGTTAGAAGTCAGAGCAGGTGATGCTTCACATTCAAACATCTGTTCTAATCTACCCTGCTTCTTTGCTGGCAGAATCTCTATCCCACTACAGAAAATCTGCAATATTTTTGCCTGTTGGCTCATGAAAGGCTTTCATAGAAATTATAGTGGTATTAGCATAACCAGTCACAATAAACAAAAATGACTTATATTTTATTTTACTTCAGAGTACCAAAGGCTTGACTTTAGGATAAATATGTAGGAGTGTGGATGTGTTTGCATAACTTTTCTTTATATTCAAGCTTCGACTTTTTTTTTCTTTTTCAGGATCAAAACAGTTTCCTATTGCATATATTGTTAATTTTAAGCAGCAAATATCATTTTCTCATTTGTTTATAATACTGAGTTGGTATGTTTAGTTTGAGTGGATGCTAATCCTGCGTTTTCATTCTAGAAGGCTACTTAATACATTATTTTCTTAGCCAAACTTAAGTCAAGCCAAGCTTTGGTTATGGCTAGTTATAATCTGTTTTTAATAGGAATCCTCAAAGTCAAAGTTTAAACAAACAAAAGAAGCCATCCTTTTCAAAATAGTTATTGTAATGATAATCCCTTTTATAGCTTTGTTTTATAGTTTTAGGCCCTCCTCTGAAAAGTACAGAGCATTTTTATTAATATTTATATAGGCAAAAATCATGCATATTGATAAACTAATATATTTTCAATAAAGTTGAAGTCTATGCTATGAAAAGCTGCTTAAAAAGTGAAGATATATGATATGGTCTGGGTCTGGGTCCCCACCGAAATCTCATCTTGTATTGTAATTTCCATGTGTTGAGGGAAGGACCTCGTGGAAGGTGATTAGATCATGGGGGGACTAGATCATTAGATCTGGGGATTAGATCATTAGATCATTAGACCTTCTTGCTGTTCTCATGATACTGAGTGAGTTCTCATGAGATCTGATGGTTTTATAAGGGGCTTTTCCCCTCTTTCCACTTCTCATTCTCTCTCCTGCCACTCTGTGAAGAGATGATTTCCACTATGATTGTAAGTTTCCTGAGGCCTCCCCAGCCATGTGGAACTGTGAGTCAATTAAGTCTCTTTTCTTTGTAAATTACCCAATCTCAGGTATTTCTTCATAGCAGCGTTAAAATGGACTAATACAATATAATATTGTACTTCTGAAAAAAAAAAGAAGCTACAAGTCTTGATCACTTGATCTCTCTGGAGGTTTTTTTTTTTTTCCCTTCTCTTTCTCTGTTTCTTGATAATAGGGCCCAATTGAATGGAACCTTAGCTGCTTCCAACTTTTCTGGAATTAAGGAGGGCCTTGATACTCGAGTCTGTTAAGATTGAGACTTAACCTACTTTCTTCCATTCCTAGAAGACAAGAGAGTTCCTGTCTGCCACTGGGCGTGAGGCTCCTGAAGGCAAGTTTGGGGCCATTGCATACCATAGTGCAAGATGTACACCGTACAGTGTTACTAGGTGGAGAGACATTATTTTCTAATGTGTGCAGAGCTGTCTGCTCCCCAAGCTAGGCATCTATGGGTCTACAATAACTTGGAAACTTTTCTAGTTTGTACAGAAGCTAAAGGCGCCGTAGCAGTAGGCTGTATTTCTGAGACTCACAGACTTTTTACCATACCATCCACCATTAGTGCCCTCCATGTCCTGCTCTTGTATGAGCAGCTGACAGATGATGATCTTTGTGTCTTAGTTTCTTTTTTTTTTTTTTGATATAGGATATTACTCTGCCATCCAGGCTGGAGTGCAGTGGCACCATCTCGGTTCACTGCAAACTCCACCTCCCAGGCTCAAGTGATCCTCCCACCTCAGCCTCCCAAGTAGCTGGGACTACAGGCGTGTGCCACCATGCCTGGCTAATTTTTTGTATTTTTGGTAGAGATGGGGTTTTGCCATGTTACCCAGGCTGATCTTGAACTCCTGAGCTCAGATGATCCACCCGCCTCGGCCTCCCAAAGCGCTGCAATTACAGGTGTGAGCCACTGCACCCAGCCTGTGTGTCTTAGTTTCTAAATCAAAGACCAGTTGTCTATTGCATGTCAATAAACCTTGTGACTTCTCTGGAGTAGTAAACACTTATTTGCATTTGCTTTTCAACATTATTGTTGCAAATTTTGGTCATTATAAATGTGAGTGGTGATTTAATGCCCTGTAGCAGTAAATCTTAAATATTTCAAATTGTATTTTTAAGAAGAGGGTCTATATTCAGCACTACTCTTGGACAGCAAAGTTTTTAATCTAAAATATGGTATAAAATTTATTCTCTTAGTTATGAGATTGCAATAGGGCAGAAA
Organism: Homo sapiens; assembly: GCF_000001405.40. Lineage (NCBI taxonomy): Eukaryota > Metazoa > Chordata > Mammalia > Primates > Hominidae > Homo > Homo sapiens. The sequence goes on from NC_000003.12 coordinate 160,767,835, forward strand.
CTGTTTTATTCTGATAAGTGTATACCATTTCTTTTTAATCTAGTAAGTGCTTTCATTTATCGTTTTAATTAAATGAATTAATTTTCAGTTAAATTAGTCACTGGATATTTTCTGGCCAAATAAGTCTCTTAATGACACCGTCAGGATTTTACAGAAATTGAGACATGGTGGGATCTTTGATCGTAGTGTTTATCTTTTTGCTCCATAGATAATGAAGTGAATTTTCTATAACAGCTGGTTTACATAGTTATATGATAGATATGTTCCAGAGTTTGAGATTAAGAAGTTTTTACTTCTGGTTTATTTGAGCACTTAGATGTTTTTCTAAATTTGTCTTTCTGAGTTTTCTCTCTAGATAGGTCTGGCAGGGATTTTTGAATTGTCATGTAATCCAAATATAGTGCCTAAGGCTTCACAGCTACATGAAATATCTATTTTTAAGGACTTTCATCAAGGAGATTCCACATTTTCCCTGGAGAATTTTTTTCACTATAATCCTTTCTCTCAAGAAATTCATCTCTGTATGTGAACTAGGTCCCTCTGGTTTAAGACTATTTCTTCTAGTCTGGCTTCATCAGAGAGAGATAAAGATTAGATTGTTACCATTTTAAAACTGGTAAAACTATGATATTAATAATTTTTTCTCTTCCCCCAAAATTAAATATTAACATTAAATTTATGTGAGAAGTACTCATCTCAAGAAGGGAAATTCAATGTAATTTCTACTAAAGACAGAATAGTTTCTAGATAATCAGTAGTGGCTCCTGTTTGTAAAGAGCTAGTCTGGCAATAAGGAAATGTCCTCTTACAGATCGGTTGGTTTTGTCTGTTATAAGTCTCTGTTGTCAGAGACTTATGCTACAGGTGGAGTGGGTTCTAGCTGGCCACCTAGATGGTACATTATTGGGAAGTTTTTGGTTGCAAGTGACAGAAAACTCAAGTGGAAGCGGATTAAACACTGGAGACAGTTATTATCTCACATAACAAAAGGCCCAAAAGAGGCTTTTGATCTAACAGCTCAATAACTTCAAGGCTCTGGTTCAGTGTCTCAGAAATTCTCTTCAGTTTTCCCTCATGGTTCCAAGATGTGATACTCTGAACTGCTGCAGCCATCTTTGTATAACTACATCCAGAGACATGAGCAGGAAATTATATCTGTCCCGTTCTTTTTTAAGCTTCAGGAAACCTCTCTAGAAAGTACTCTTCACATCTTATAGTCCATAGCTGTATCACATGCTCATGCCTAAACCAATAACTTGGTCATGGGAATGTGATCAGCATGATTAGCCTTGACTCATCATAATTCATTCTGGGTCTGAGGAGGAGCCCAGCCTCTGGAGGACATGACAACTTAGAAAGGTGAACAAAACTAGAATTGTATTAGCTAGGAAGAAGGAGAAGTGGAAATGGTTGTTGAGTGAGCCACATAGTTGGGAAGGGGGTTTAGAGAATGTTGCTTGTTCTGCACGTTAGTAACCTCATTGGAGAATGTTGCTGTAAAGTGTATAACACTGATATGGGGGAAAATAGACTTTAGAGGACTTCAGAAAAGAGTAAACCTTCTTATTTTTGGATTGTCTTAGGGATGGTTTTATTTGGGAGCTGAGACATAAATTTGGTATTTTAGGGCCCCATCAAGTCTTAAGAAACTACTAGTAGGTGTTAGGTTGGTGCAAAAGTAATTGCAGTTTTTGCCATTAGTTTTCTAACTCAGGTTTTTTTCTCCGCTGTGTGAACTAGTGATCAGGAGGGGTCTGAGTGTTTGGAGAACAACAAGGTGGGTTTTTTTTTTCTCTAATATATATCTGTATTCACTATAGTTAATGCTGCTGATGAATGTGGAAATATTATAGTAGTTCTTCTGTTGGCTATCCATTTTTACTTTACTATCTCCTGTTTTAGATGATGAATTTGTTGGTCAAATTCAGTAGGATTTTTGTTCTTTAATTATTAGATATTGTAAGTGTTATTTTGTTTTAAAATATTCGAATCTACTCCAGGCCAAAGAGGGGATTACTGGGAGGGTAGGAATTTTTGTACCCATTTCGGAGGGGGACAACCTCGCAATGGTCTAGGCTACAGTGAGAAGAGAGTGTAAAAGACTTTTCGGTAGGTCAAATGAGTGTACTTGGAGTAAATTCTGTGTATGAGGATGAAGTACTTATCCTTCTGCTGCTACTATAAACTGATTACAATGAGACCATCTTTTCATTATGTTTTCTCATCTGATTATTGTCAATTTATAAAAATGCTTACTGACTCAACTTCCTATTTAGCTTTAGTAGCATTTCTGGTGATTCATTCTCTCTCTACTTTCTTTTCTTTTCTTTTTTAAAAAGATATGCCATTATATTGACTACAGATAATGTAATTTTGTCTCCTACTTTCTAGATAGTTGTATTTTTTGTTTTTGTTTTCTGCCTCATTTCATTAACTAGAACTAACAGAACAATATTTTTTAATACTGATGATAGTGGATGTTATCATGTTCCTGTGTTTGAGATTATTTAAAAAGTTTGAGATAAAGGGAATGTAAAAATGCCTTCAGTTTATGGATAATGGAGTAAATTTTCTTTACTGATATAGTGAAAGATGAAAACCTGTAGAAAGTAAGAGCCAAAGAAGAAAGGATATTTAAAGTATAGTAATATAGAGAATTGATAATCACAGAATAGACTAGAACTTATATAGATGTAATGGTAAAAACCAGCATGCATCGATTACATAACAGGAAGAACAAATACTGTAGTTTTTTCTTTGGAGAAAAGTATCATCACTAGATCCATCTGAAGGAAATGACCTAGAAAGCATTAGTCTAAACAATAGGCAGAATATCTGACTGCACAGGATAACGATTCTGCACGTTGAAAGACCTAACCAGATATGCTCAGGAATCCTGCCCTCTGGTTTCAGAAAAGTGGGAGCTCTGGAGCCATTTTGCCCTGGCACTTCTGCTGGTTTTGGTGAAGGTCATCCTTATTTTTTCTAGGATTTCCTGTGCATAAGATCCTTGCCCTAGTTTCTACTATCTGTCCTGTAAAGAAATAGTGGCTGCTTGCGGAGGAGTCTCATACTGAGTGAGGTTAGGTCCTGAGTTGGTATAAGAGACAAAGTCATGTCTAGTCAAAATCTCTCTTGAAAGATCCCTCAAATTGCCCATAAAGAGCAGTGTACATGATTTTGCACATCTTACTGTGTAGAGTAATATGTAATTATAAATGTGTAATATCCAAAGTTAAAATTTATTCCAAAGAATAAAGTATATGTATGTAAAATATATTTTTATAGTGTTTTAAATGATATAGAAGAGTATTTTGAATTTGTATAAATTTGTAAATGGTACCATTTCACTACACCTTCTATAAAGTAATAGAATAAGTAATTAAATAATATTTTGAGATTTTCAGGCAACTTTCCGGAACTTTTCTTTTCTTTTTTTTTGAGACAGGTCTCACTCTGCCACCCAGGCTGGAGTGCAGTGGTGAGATCTCGGCTCACTGCAATCTCTGCCTCCTGGGCTCAGGTGATCCTCCCACCACAGCCTCCTGACACACAACCACACCAGGCTAATTTTTTATTTTATTTTTTTGTAGAAATGGGGTTTCACCATGTTGCCTAGGCTGGTCTTGAACTTCTGAGCTCAAGCAATCTGCCCTCCTTGGCCTCTCAAAGTGTGGGGATTATAGTCACGAGCCACCAAGGCTGGCTCTTTTTTTTTTTTTTTTTTTTTTTTTTTAAAAAGAGCATATTAAATATTTCTGTGTGTGATCAGTTGGAGGAAATTTAGTCTCTTAAAGTTTTAAAGATACGAAGCAGAATAAACATGTGACTTTGGAGTTGGGAGTAAGATTAATTCATTCCGATTATATTTTTGTAGTCAGTTTTAGGAAGATAATTGTAATGCCATATTGAAAGCTTTATGTTTAATCTAAGTGCCAGCCATAGCTTTGACACCAGATGGGAATATAGAGATGGGCACTCAGCCTGTTAATTTATATTCTAAATACATGGAAAAAGTTTATATTTGCTGTTTGTTTTTTTTTTCTTATCTATGGCTTGAAACCTTGGAGGATTTTATTCTCTAATGATTTCAGAAGAGAGACCAACTGGGGATTCTGACCTTTTCCCTACTTTTCTGGAACTCTTCTGAGCATCTGATATGGTACCTTCAGGCCTGACCTGTTTTTATAAATGCCTGGGCCTGGATTTGTCTAGGAGTGAGACTCACAAAGCAGCAAATAATTTTTGGAAAGGAAGCTCATATTTTTAACATGTAGGGGGACCTGAGTGTCTGCTGCTGAAGAAGTCATGGGGTAAAGAACTGGGATCCCGACAGTGGTCAGAGAAGCTCTCTATACCTTCATATTAGAGCCACAGGCCCTGATCTGATTCATGAAACTACACAGAGACAGAAATTGTTTATCCCCAAAGGATTATGTAATGCAAACAGATTTAGACATGAAACAGTACAGGCAGGAGCATACTTGGGAAATATTGCTTAAAAGGGAATTCTTCAGTGAAAAAGACAGCTAGTTTTTACTTTCCTCTCAAAAATAGGATGGCAACAGGAGTGCTTGGCTGGTGTTCCTCCTTTAGCAAAAACAGGTCCTCATTCCTTAGCCTCCATGGTGGCTTTATGATAAAGGGAGAAGGTCATCTAATACATACTTCATATTCAAATTTTGCCAATTTCTCTGGCTATTCTTTTAAAAATATCTTTACTGAAGTATGATGCATACAATAAACTGTACATGCTTAATATATGCAATTTGATCAGTTTTGTTATATACCCACGAAACCATTGTTACAATTAAGGTAGTGAACATCTCCATCACCCTCAAAAGTTTCTTGATGCTTCTTGGTAATTCCTTTCTTTTTCCATTCTCCTACCCTTCTCCTTCATCTCTAGGCAACCATTAATCTACTTTCTGTCACTATAGACTAGTTTGCATTTTGTAAAACTTTATATAAATAGAAATATGCAGTATGTAGTCTTTTTTTCTGGCCTTTTTTTTCTCAGCACAATTATTTTGAGATTCATCCATGTTGTTCCACTTATCAATATTTCATTCATTTTTATTGCTGAATAGTATCCCATTGTATGGATATATATCAAAATTTGTTTGTTCATCACTTACTGGACATTTGAGTTGTTTGAGTTTTTGGCTATGAACCTTCATGTACAAGCCTTTGTATGGACATATGCTTTCATTTCTCTTGGGTAAATATCTAGCAGAAGAATGGCTGGATTGTGTGGTAGGTGTATGTTAACTTCTTAAGAAACTGCTCAACTGTTTTCCAAAATGGTTTTCCAGTTGTTCCACATCCTCACTAATCTTTTTAATTTTAGCCATTGTAGTAGGTGTGAAGCAGTATCTCAATGTAGTTTTAGTTTGCATTTTCCTCATAACTAATGATATTGAGCATATTTTCATGTATATTTTAGAAGATGTCCCTCTTTTGAAGACGCAGAGAGAAACAGTTATCAAATTATGATTATCTCGTAAAATCTGACTTTTGTCCTTGCCCCTATAATGAGTGAAAAGAGAGAAAAAAAGGCAAAAGGGAAAGGGGTGATTGGCCTGACTCTCTCTTACTGCGAGGAAAGAGGCTGAGAAGTACAGCCTAGAAATAAGTATGGAGAGAGGTTGTGCGGGGTAACCAGGGAATCAGATGGAAACAAGGAGGGTAGAAAAGAAAGATTAGGGCCTGTGCCAGTACCGTCAGTGTGTATTATCAGATTCTTCTGTTTTTTAAAGCCTTGTTTCCTTATATTCCATGTTAAAAATCTGAATGAGACTTCTTTTAGAAAAGTGCAGAGGGTAGCATGGACTATTTACAGTGTCTGCTTTCTTCCTACTTACCTCATTTCCTTTTTCCATCTGACACTTTTTCAGACTTGAGTTTTTGAAGATCTCTAGGAGCCTCATACTTGTCATATGTGAGCCTGTTTTCAGCTCTCATCTTTGATTTTTTGTTGGATCTTACTTTCTTGACCACCTCTCTTCCAGAGACTCACCCCCTTGGTTTTAATGACACCACCTATGTTTCTCTGCTCCTTCTGTGACTTCTCTGTGGGCTTCACTTCCTTCATGAGTCTGGGTTTCAAGAAGGGCTGTGCTCAGTGTGCTGGTCTCATTTTTGCATCAGAATCTTTGGAGCTTCTATGGATTCAGCCATCCTTTCTGAGCACAGGGCTCCCCTTCCTGTTTATAGCCCACATCTTTACATGCTGACTTTACTATTTTCTTTCTGGATGTCACATTGATAACAACCTGCCTGAAACCAAATTTACCTCTTTTGTCCCTAGATTAATTTCCTCTCCAGAGTTGTCTTTTCTTCTCATGGTCGTGCCTTTATTCTCTCAGTCCGCCACTCCTGAAGCTGCTGTGTCATGTTTTCCTTCTTCCTTCTTCATGCAAGTCTGTGAGAATTTCTGTAATGCCTGTCACTCCTGTCTCCATCTTTATGGAGACATGCCATAAAGATGGTACTGCCACCATGCTAATTCAGGCTTTCAACACTTTACACTAGGATTGTGACAGTGGCCTCCTCATGGTCACTTTGTCTCTGGCATCTCTCTTCTTCAATCCGCTCAGTGATGTCTCTGATGGATAAATCTTCTATTAATAAACCAACTGGATTATATATTGTTTCTTTTTTTAAAAAAACCTCTGATTTTCAGCAACCATGATTTATTTCTCTGAAATTTTGGGTTCTCATAATAGTATCCCTGGCTCCTTTATCTTATTCAATCTTACCTTCTGTTGTTTGCCTATGCAAAAGTCCGCACTACAGCAAAAATAGTCTCTACTGTTCACTGAATACCTGATGGATACACATGCTTGCTGCCGCTTTGTTAACACATAGCCATGGGGAAGAGGATGTCTTGTCCTTATTTCAAGGTTCCCCTCGATTTCCAGCTCTTCCATAAAATGTTGCTTGGTCATGTCAGCTCTCTCCTTTGAATTTATGGTCTGTTATAGGCAATCAAACATTTTTGTGTTATTGTTTGTTTTTAACTTAATTTTCCTCTCCAACCAGGGTTCACCTTTCTTGAGTTTCACATCTCTATTGTGTTCCAGTGATAATGATACCTTGCAATAATTCTAAAAATAATGATGTCTAACAAATGAAAAGGGGATACCAAGCTGTCTGATTGCATTTGCTATCACTTATGTCTGTTGGAAATCAAAGGGCTTTGCTCATTTTGACTGTTAAGTGTCTGCAATGTGCCAGGTACTTTTAGTGGTGTTCTCTCACAAAATCCTAATGGTGTTTGAGGCAACGGTTGTTATCCCCATTTTACAGTTGGGGAAACTGAAGCTCAGACTACTATGTGCCCAGGGTTATACAACGGCTAAATGGAAGAGCTGAGATTAAAATATTTCCCATGTCTGTCTGATTCCAAAAGCTATCCTGTTCCAGTCCCATGCTCTCCTTTGCTGTGTGCCAATAGGCCTGGTTTGTTAAGGCATTCATATAGGGGTTACACCATTAGCACTCAGTTTCTAGCATTGTAGATGATCTGTGGGAAATATTTCAAGGTTATGGGAATGGAAATAAATTGAGGAGATAATTTATTTATACCATTCACTCATGTTTATTCTCTTTGCTTTTCTTATTACCCCTCACAGCTCCTGCAGTGTAAGGTCTATCCAAAAGTCCTTTAAATAATGACCAGGAAAATGTAGATTAAATATGTATATAGGATTCTGAAAGTTATCCTAGGCAAGTGGTTTTCATCAGTTTGACAGGTAACTCTATTTCTGGTGTGAGGCAAGAAGTTTGAGAATTGGGGGCTGGCTCCTCAGAGGAAGCTAGGCAATACTCTCAGATTTAACTCAGCCTGCCATTGAGAAGGTGGTTCAATTATTTGGTTAGGAGTGTTATGGATTACAGTACATTAGACGTGCCTGAGTTTTCAAACGTAAGTGCAAGAACACGTCCTCAAAAGTTCAATCTATAGTTTCCCTTCCCCAAACGATCATGCAAAATAAAATTAAACATAGTATTTAGTGAATATCAAAAAGTGGGGAAATGTAAATGAACCATATCAGCTGCCTGGGGGGCAGAAACAGTGATTTATAGACTTGAGATTTAGAACTCAAACATTCTTGGTTTGTACTCAAGGAAGAGCGTCATTAGGTAAGTTGCATGGCAGAACAGAAAAGAGCTTACTGATAGTGTGGGAATACCTTAGAAAGGAATAAAAATCATCACCTTTATCTAATATCTCTCTCACTTTATATATGTGTATATATTTGTTTCTTCTACATTAACTATTAAGTTGAAGGAATTACATTTTAGAAAATGTTGATTATGAGGAATTGGTAGAATTCTCATGTACAAAATGGACATTTTCTACTTTGGGGAGCTTTATGAATCATATTGAAAATTAGAGTAACTGAGTTCTTAACAAGTAACAGCAACAGCTACTTCTTAACTCCTTCATCCATGGGAAACAGAAGTTGCTTTGTGTGTGTGTTTGTGTGTGTGTGTATGTGTGTTTACTCATGCAATTATTACTGATCACCATACTAGAGAAAGATGGTCTCATAGGATGAAAATATGATGTTCCCTTAATGATTAGATTAAACTTCCCTTGGCAGTGTTGAATCTAAACTGAAAAACATTTTTGCCTTCCTTAAATTGAGTAGGAGTTATGGCTATGAATATTTAGACTTATATCATGCCTATGATATTATGGTTTACTTACTGTATGTCTACTTTCAGATATACTGCACTACCTTGGTACTACCTTGGTGCCTTTTTTTTTTTTTTTTGGAGACAGAGTCTCACTCAGTCGCCCAGGTTATAGTGCAGTGGCAAGATCTCAGCTCACTGCAGCCTCTACCTCTGGGTTCTAACGATTCTCCTGCCTCAGCCTCCTGTAACTGGGACTACAGACACATGCTACCACACCTGACTAATTTTTGTATTTTTAGTAGAGACAGGGTTTCACCATGTTGGTCAGGCTGGTCTCGAATTCCTGACTTTGTGATCCACCTGTCTTGGCCTCCCAAAGTGCTGGGATTACAGGCGTGAGCCACCATGCCCGGCCCTTGGTGGCTTTTATAGAATGGGTGCCCTATAAAGGTTTGTCAGATTAATCTCATCATGGAATCAGAGAAGATTAATACTATGGAGGGTCTTTGTTAACCTTTCCATTTCTTCTAGTATGAAAGTTTAAGCTAAATAATTTCTGCTGGGCATGGTGGCTCATGCCTGTAACCTTAGCACTTTGGGAGGCCAAAGTGGGAGGATTGCTTGAAGCCAGGAGTTCAAGACCAGCCTGGGCAACAGAGTGAGACCTCATCTCTACAAAAATTAAAAATATTAGTCAGGCATGGTGGTGCACACCTGTAGTCCCAGCTACTTGTGAGGATGATGCGGAGGTTGCTTGAGCCCAGGAGTTTGACGTTGCAGTGAGCCATGATAATACCACTGCACTCCAGCCTGGGTGACAGAGCAAGACCTTATCTATATAAAAAAATTAAGTACATAATTTTTGATATGTGCTCTTTTTAAATTGTAAAAATCATGTAACAAAATTTATCATTATAACCATTTTTAAGTGTACAGTTCAGTAGTGTTATATGTGTTCACATTGTTATGCAATAGCTATCTAGAAGTTTTTTATCTGGGAGAACTGCAACTCTATACCTATTAAACAACTCCCTATTTTTTCCTCCCTGTAGCCCCCTGATAATCACTATTCTACTTTCTGATTTCTGTGAATTTGACTACTACTGCATATAAGTGGAATCATTCAGTATGTGTCTTTTTTGTGACTGGATTATTTCACTTGGTATAATGTCCTAAAGATTCATCTATCTTGTAACATGTGACAGGATTTCTTTCGTTTTTAAGGTCAAATAATATTCCATTGTGTGTATATACCACATTTTGTTTATCCATTCATTCATTCATTGATAGATATTTGAGTTGCTTATACCTCTTGGCTATTGTGACTAGTACTAGGAACATAGGTGTGCAAATATGTCTTTGAGATACTACTTTCAATTCTTTTGGATATATTTATACCTAGAAGTAGGATTGCTGGATCATGTGGTAGTTCTATTTTTAATTTTTGAGAAACTGCCATACTGTTTTCCATAGTAGTTGTACCATTTTACACTCCTGCCAACAGTGCACAAAGGTTCAGTTTCTCAACATCCTTGGCAATACTTGATATTTTATAATATTTGGGGAGTAGCCATTTTTAATGGCTGTGATATCTCATTGTGGTTTTGATTTGCATTTTCTCTAATGATTTGTGTAACTGAGCATTTTTTATCTGCTTATTGGCCATCATTTTATATGCTTGTTGGCTTTCTGTATGTCATCTTTGGAGAAATATTATTTAAGTTTTTTGCCTATTTTAAAATTAGTTTTTTTTTGTCATTGTTGAGTGGTAGTTCTTTATGTAGTCCAGATATTAATCTCTTATCAGGTAGATAATTTGCTAATACTTTCTCCTATATTTCTAATATATTTTTATAACTTTTTATATTGATATAATTTCAAACTTACAAGAAAGTTGCAAGGCTAGTACAAGGAACTCCTGTGTACCCTTTGTTCAAAGTCCTCACTGTTTTTTTAAGGAGCATCTGGGTACTTGAAATTATGTTGAGCCAATCTAAACACACTGAATTACTTGCGGCTGTGGGAGAGATAAAAATACAAAAGTGGTCCCTGTCTGAATATGCAAAACAAATAGGAATGTTCATGAAGCAGCAAGTACAGATGAGACTAAGATAGAATAACTTGAATTATTAGAACTGAGAGACCTGTCCCAGTGGTTCTCAGCATGGGTTCATTTGCCCTCACAAGGGGATTTTTGATAATGCTTGAAGACATATGAGTTGTCACAGCTGTGGGGAGCATGGGGGAAAGTTGTCCAATGTGTAGAGGCCAGAGATGCTACTAAGTATCCTACAGAACACAGGACAGCCCTGTGCAACCCAGGAATAGGACTATTTCACAGAAAACCTGTCTTGAGAACTTTAAAGGCTTTGAGCCCAGAAGCTCTCTCAAACTCATTCTAAGTGCTTGGTGAAAACTGTGGTTGGTAAAGAATATGGTATGAAAAACTATTTCTTTTTTACCTTTTTGTGCATAATCCACAATAAGAGGGCTCAGTTGGTCTGTTTACTGTAGGTTTTCTACAGTAAACAGTCTAAAAATGCTTTGTTTTCCCTGGTTTTATTTTGTGTTATAGTCCTGTTTCCTGTTATTACATTTTTTTTTTTTTGCTACTTTCTGCTGTAAAAAAAAAACTGTGTAAACGCTGAAAAAAGCAAATGTCATTAGACAAAGATCTTGAAGCATAGAGAAAGAAAGAGGTGGTGTTGGGAGAATGTGACTTAAATGGCTTCCTTTCAATTCTCAGTTTACTGTGGAGAAGCTAGGTGTCAGTTCTGCTTTATCACTGACTCCAGAAGGCAGAGAAGGGGATAGAAATAGTATGGGCATTTAAATCCTGTAGATCTGGATTTGAATCAAGGCCCATCCATTACTAGCTGTCTGAATTTGAGCAAATAACTTCTACACCCTGAACTTAGTGTCTTCTTCTTTGCTAGGGGGATAATATCTGCTTCACTGAGTGGTGAGGGGCAGTGGAGTGCAGTGGTTAATGATGTGGACTCCCACACCTAATTGCCTGGCTTCTAACCTTCACTCTGCTACTTTTTTTTCTTTTTTGAGACAGGGTCTCATTCTGTTGCCCAGGCTGGAGTGCAGTGGCACCATCTCGGCCCACTGCAACCTCTGCCTCCTGGGTTCAAGCGATTCTCCTGCCTCCGCCTCCCTAGTAGCTGGGATTACAGGTGCCCACCATTATGCCCTGATAATTTTTGTATTTTTTTTTTTTTTAGTAGAGACGGAGTTTCACCATGTTGGCCAGGTTGGTCTTGAACTCCTGACCTCAGGTGATCTGCCTGCCTGGGCCTCCCAAAGTGCTGGGATTACAGGCATGATCCACTGCGTCCGGCCTCTGCTACCTTTTAGTTACCTGCCCTTTGGTAAGTTTTACTAGTTTTCTAGGCCTGAGTTTCTTCATCTGAAAAAATGCGAATGATTTTTTTTTTAGTATGTACCTCATAGGACTGTTAAGACATTAAATGAATTCATACATGTAAAGTACTTAAAGTGGTGCATGGCACATAGTAGGCACTCATAAATGCTAGCTTTTTTTTTTTTGATACTGGGTCTCATTCCTCCATTGCCCAGGCTGTGATAACAGTGGCATGATCACTGCCCATTGCAGCCTCAAACTCCTGGGCAAGTGATCCTCCCACCTCAGCTTCCTGAGTAGCTGGGACCATAGGCACATGCCACCATGCCTGGCTAAAGCTATTTTTTAGGATTAATTTGGGACAAAGGATATAAAGAGCCCTTCAGCATCTAGCAAATAGAAAGTGCTTGATAAATGATCTCTAGATATTTAAATTTTAGTAGCAGATAGTTTGTTATAATATAATGCCATTATAACAAAATTTCATCAGCCCCTGAAAAATTAGTGGGAACCAGTCTTAAGAAGTCTTTAGAATGCAAAAAGGGAAGTGGTCATTCTTTCACTTCCTACTTGTACCTGGCAAAGGCTCCATTGGATCCTTATTCAGAAATGTGCTTAAGGAATTGCAGGCCTAGCCAGACTTCTGTGGAATTATAAAAGGCTAATAAACAGCTGCTTGAGTGCATGGAGTGGTGAGGAAGGGAAATAGCTATTACTCTAGTTCAGCTTTCATGACAGTACCCTTGTTGGTGAGAAAGTGGAGCAGAAGTAAAGAAATAGCATGGAGTTTGATTCCTTTCGAACTCTATATTCGTCCTCAGGATGTGGGTGTGTGTCAAGGTGGAAGAATGGGCCTTTCTTTCCTACTTGATAGCACAGGAGATTTAGACTCAATAGTTTATGGTGGGGCCAACCATCAGGTTGTAGCAGTTCCTGTCAGGCAGATATTGGGTTGTAGACAGACATATTTTTAGGGCACACATGGTTCAGTTCTTTTTTGAAATACAAGAATATATTATCTTGTTTTAAGATAAAATGTATGTAAAGGGTTTAGTATAGTGCCTGGCATTGTGGTATTTTATGAAGAGTTAGCTGTCATCATCATTGTTCTCTTTAACTTGATGTTTTATTTTAGTGAAGAAACTAATGAAGTCTTTACTCTTCATTTAGCAACTCTGTTTCCCTCTTATTTATTTTTTACTTTCTATGGAAGTACACATATTAACAGGTATACGTTGCTATTCTCTAACTTAATGAATTTTCACCAACAGAACATTACCAGTAGTACCCCAGAAGCCCCACTCATGTTCTACTGTGGTCACTATCCCTTATTTTTTAGGAAAAGAATGGTTTTTCTTTTAGTGATAGAGCGACTCATGGCTTTTTGTAAACTCTTAATAGCTATGGCTGACAGATATAGCTTAGGGATGGCCTTATTATATGCTTTTATTTTCTTTGGCTTTAAAAGCATGTCTGCTGGAAAGGGATTTCAGTCCTGCAGATTGTTACATTTAGACATGATAGGCTGAGTGATCTTGTAGATCTTCCTCGCCAAATAGGTGAGGTGTTCTTTGCTTTTATTTGTATATACTATAGAAGTCCATGGAAACCAAAAAGTTGTCCATTGTATTAAAAGAAAAGGAAAATGGCCTAGCTGCACAGACCTCTTAGATGTCCCCTCTAAAAGCATTTCACATTCAAGAGAGCTCAGGGCACATGAAAGAAATCCTGTGGTGGAGGAAGGCTGCACAATGCTGGGTGCACTCATTTCCTGCAATAGGAGAGATGATTAGGCTGAAGGACCGGCAACTTCTAGAAGTAATGGACTACAGTGTGTTTACCCTGCTTTTGTCTGCGCATATTTAGAAAACCAGTGGTAATTTTTCAGAAGGCAGCTTCTCAGAGGAAGCCTAACGATATGGGGGTTGAGCTTAGGCCCTTTATATATCTTCTTTTTGAAATCAAAGTGCAGAACATGTTCATTCTGAAACACCCTGGACATGAGCCGTACCTATGTGTCTTGTTTAACTTCCTGTGCCCAGCAGTGGCTCTGCTAAAATACTGTATATGTATTTCAGAATGTCATTACTTATTTTTGGCCAGTGTTTTGTTCCTTAAGATTTATTTGGTTTTTAAAGAAATTGAGATATAATTTACATGCCATAAAATTCACCACTTTAAAGTGTATGACTCACTGGTTTTTAATATAGTTATAAGGCTTTATAGCCATTACCACTGTCTACTTCTAGAGCATTCTCTTCACTCCAAGAAGAAACCCTGTGTCTGTTAGCAGTCACTCTCCCTATTCTGTTTGTTTTTTTTTTGCCAAATAAATGTTGTCATGATTATCTCTATTACATAGGAGCCTGTCTTCCGCAGAGTGTCATGACAGTTGTTTGACCTTTCGCGTATAGGTTTATCACGTTCACCTTTTGTTCTAAGGTTGATGGAGGTTGCAGTTTTCAGCACTACCACCACCACCACCATGTTGACTGAAATTATTATAGGACATAAAATGACAGTGTGTTACTCACAATCACTTGTGAAAGTTTCAGTGCTTATGAACAACAGACAACTGAGCACTGTGCAGATTTCTGACTATGTGACAAAGTTGGCCTGTGCTTTAAAATTTAATGAATAGAGAAGTAAATTCTTCTGGGCTATGTGGAAAGGTTTAGATTTATTTGTTTCTTACACTAATTAGTTTTTTGAAAAAAATGCATAAAATGTGTTCATACTTACACTTATTTCTGAAGGACTGGAATTGGTTGTTCCTAAACTAACATGATTGACTTTCTTAAAAAACCTCATTTATAATTTAAAACTATTTTGAATCTGTGTTTTTATTATTCCAGAAGTGATATATGCTAGTTGAAAAATTTTAAAAAATACATAGAGCTTAGAAATGTTGTAAAGTAAAAAAAGAGTTCTTTGTCATCCTTTCACTTTAGAGTTTATGCTTCAAATTTTTAAAAATGCCTAATTCTATAACCTACTTGATTCTTTGCTCAGTTTTTAAATACTTCAGAAATGCTTGTTTATTGAATTGTGTTATTCTTTATTTTAATACTGTTTGAAATTGATGAAAAACTTTAAAATTTTTGCCTTTCAAAGTGGTGATTGCTAAGAAAAACTCCCAGTGATTTTTCTTAAAAATTACTTTGCCCTCTTCATGGGCCAGTGGAACTTCTGAGCAACTATAGAAATGTACATACTTCAAGACCTGGAACTGTTTATCATCAAAGAAGGCCACAATCCTTAAAAAGGCTTCCTCCTTTAGAGCGGCTTTTATAGAAAGGCTTCAGGACCCAATGACTTCCAAAGTCACATCTGTGTCTTTTCAGGCACAATTGTTTCATCATGATGATGCTACATCCTGCAGTTATATTAGCACATTAAAAAAAATGATTCTCAGGAAAAGAATGACATTTATCATGTCCTGTCTATAGACATTAAATAATGGAGGCTGGGTGCGGTGGCTCACGCCTGTAATCCCAGCATTTTGGGAAGCCAAGGCGGGCGGATGACCTGAGGTCAGGAGTTTGAGACCAGCCTGGCCAATATGGTGAAACTCCATATCTACTAAAAATACAAAAATTAGCCGGGCGTGGTGGCGGGTGCCTGTAATCCCAGTTACTCAGGAGGCTGAGGCAGGAGAATTGCTTGAACCCTGGAGATGGAGGTTGCAGTGAGCCGAGATCTCACCATTGCACTCCAGCCTGGGCAACAAGAGCGAAACTCCATCTCAAAAAAAAAAAAAAGAAAAAGAAAGAAAGAAAGAAAGAAATTAAATAATGGAGGTATCAAAATTCTGTGGTTTAAAGAAAAAAAATTCTATGGTTGACTTGATTGACTAACAAAAGTAAGTAGTTACCATGTTCCCCCTCTGGATGTTAAATGTCTCTCTATTTCTCTGTTGAATCCCAGCTTTCTGCATTGTGTCCTGAGTTTCCCAAAGTCTCCTTGTAATTATGTAGGGATGCCTAACTTAGAACTATATTCTAAGGAATCAGGTATTGAACTGAAGAAATATCTGATAGTTAGAAGAGATGGCTCTAGTAGTAAGATTTTTGAAGATACCAAAAAAGTGATTTTGAAGAGAATCCTACATTTATTTTAGGTTACAAGTATCTAAAAAGAATATAATTTATGTGAATTGTTATTTAAACATGTTGGATTTCACTATTGCCAGAACCTAATAATGGCTTTAACATCTTTGAAAGTGCAACGATGTTTTCATTCTTCTAGGTTAACTTGTAGCAATTTAATAATTTTAATGTACTTCATAATGCTATACTTGCTTTTAAAAAAAGCGTACCTATCTATATTCACAGATATATACTGATACCTATATGTGTATATATTTTCACTGTTTCACTATATGTGTATATATTTAAACCATTTAAAATGGTTTAATACTGTTCTAATCTACCATACTGTTTCATTCACATATAGTATCATTTACTAGAGTTGTGTGGTTTTTGGAATGTGACTTGATATTGATAATGGACTGGAAAAGTTGTAAAGAGCCAAGCAAATCATCTTCTACCATATGAATAGTTAATCAGGAATAAGAGTTTCTTGCAGAAAACTGGAGCTTTAATGGATATTAGATAGCACTCACTGTTGAAAGAGAAAATGGAAAGAAAAAAAGCCACACAATGTAAAATGAGGTCGGGTTACCCATACTGCTTTTGCAATAAAACAGAGAAGAATTTGTAGGCTTTAAAGTTTACCTTGTGAGTTTAACAATCTACAAAAGGCTGGACTTAATACTTATTAAATGTCTTTTAAAAAATGGTTTTGTTTTTCTCTCCCTACATGCTCTCTCACTCAAAGACAAACCCATTTCCTATGTAATCACTCTATCAAACATTAATTTATCTCAACATTCCTTATTATGCTCCATAAGCACTGAATTTTGTATCAATCAGTGGTCAGTTGGTTAGTTGAAAGGAAAGTACTTTTATTTGTCCCAGATAAACCTTATTTAAGGGAAGGTTGAAGGAGGGGAGGTTGAAGAAAAAATGTGCTGATCAACAAGCTAGGATTGGAAAGACAAAAGTGGTGATTGTTTGGGAAAGAGTATGTCAGGAAACTACTCTGACCAGTCTATCTGGCTCTGTGGTTGTTCTGAGGGTGACTGGAAACTTTCTAAGCCTTTGGCACACCCAGTAAATTGTTGCTCATATTTGAAGACTAGCACTGGGGAGTGTGTTTAGTTTTATCCAGTCCATTTTTTTCCTTATCTCCTTCAACAAGGATTTATACAGTGTTTGCTTACTCTGCTAGCCACTGTGCTAGGTGTTAAACACTGTGGTTAGACTGTTAGAAGTGTGCTTCACAGTCTAAGTATCCACATTTTTATAGAAAAGAATTTTAAAGTTCATTTCTTAGAATATTTTGAGTTTTCTATACATTTTTAAGTGTTGTATAAGAAATAATAAATTATTTTATTTAGTTAAAAAGAAAATAGTTTATTATTTAAAAAGAAAGATTGATTTTGTTACTAAAGTACCATAAATCTGAAAGCAAAATGAAGGATGTATTACTTTTTATAACTTAAAATGCTCAAACTAAACATTTCAAACAGCATAAAAATGCTCAATAAAAAACTTAAATTTTCTTCTACTCTGGATCTCTAAAACCCCTCCCCAGAAGTAACTGTCATTATCTGTTTTCTGTTGCATCTTTTGAGCAATATTTTAGGCATGTGCAAATATATCTATGTGATTCTAGCTTCCTTTTCATATAAATAGAAGCATGTTATGTAAACTCTTCTGCACTGTGGACTTCTTCACTTCATGTATTTAAGAGATGAACTTAGACACATCTGCATTCCTTTTACTGGCTGCTCAGTATTCCATTGTGTGAGTGAACCATTCATTATGTAACCATCCCTTGCTGATGGACATGTAAGTTGTTCCTTCATTTTTGTTTGTTCCCTTCATTTTGTTCTTACAAGACAGCGGTGCACTGTTTTTTTTTTTTTTTTTACATATGTCTTTCCCACATGTGTATATTTTTAGAAGTAAAATTGCTGGGTGAAAGAGCATGTATAGTTCTAATTTTAATAGATATTGCCAAATTCCATTTGATAGATACTGCCAAACTCCATTTGGCAATATCTATAAAAAAAAATCTAAAGGGGGTTGACCAATTTATACTTCCATTAGTGCTATGTGAGAGTTCCTAAATCCCACTTTCATGCCAGAGCACTGTATCTTTAAACTTTTTGATTTTTGCAAGTTGGATAAAGATGGAATCTCATTTTTCTCTCTCTCTCTCTCTCTCTCTCTCTCTCTGTGTGTGTGTGTGTGTGTGTGTGTGTGTGTATATATATATATATATATATTTTTTTTTTTTTTTTTTTTTTTTTTTTAAGACAGAGTCTCACTCTGTTGCCCAGGCTGGAGTGCAGAGACATGATCTTGGCTCACTGCAACCTCTGCCTCTCGAGTTCAAGCGATTCTTGTGCCTCAGCCTCCCAAGTAGCTGGGATTACAGGTGTGAGCCACCATGTTCAGTTAATTTTTGTATTTTTGGTAGAGACAAGGTTTTACCATGTTGGCCCGGCTGGTCTCGAACTCCTGACCTCGGGTTATCCACCTGCCTCTGCCTCCCAAAGTGCTGGGATTACAGGTGTGAGCCACTGCGCCTGGCCTAATTTTGTTTTTTAATTACGAGTAAAGTTGAACATCTTCTTATGGAATAAAAGCCATTTGGGTTTTTTTTTTTTTCCTTCCAACTTTTATTTTAGGTTCAGGGGGTACCTGTATAGGTTTGTTACATGGGTAAATTGCATGTCATGGGGGTTGGTGTATGGATTATTCCATCACCCAGGTAGTGAGCATAGTACCTAATAGGTAGTTTTTGAAATCCTCACCCTCATCCCACCCTCCATCCTCAAATAGGCCCTGGTGTCTATCGTTATCTTATTAGTGTCCATGTGTACTCAATGTTTAGCTCCTACTTATAAGTAAGAACATGCAGTATTTGGTTTTCTGTTTCTCTGTTAATTTGATTAGGATAATGGCCTCTAGCTGGATTCATGTTGCCGCAAAGGACATGATTTTGTTGTGTTTATTTTTTATGACTGTATAGTAGTCCATGTTATATAGGTACCACATTTTCTTTATTCTATCCATCATTGAGGGGCATCTAAGTTGATTCCGTGTCTTTGCTGTTGTGAATAGTGCTGCAGTCGACACACACATGCATGTGTTTTTATGGTAGAACAATTTATATTCCTTTGGGTATATACCAAGTAATGGGATTACTGGGTCGAATGGGAGTACTATGTTAAGCTCTTTGAGAAATCTCCAAACTGCTTTCCACAGTGGCTGAACTAATTTACATTTCCACCAGCAGTATATAAGAGTTCTCTTTTCTTCACAACCTCACCAGCATCTGTTAATTTTTGACTTTTTAATAATCACCATTCTGACTGGTGTGAGATAGTATCTTATTGTGGTTTTGATTTGTATTTCTTTAATGAATAGTGATGTTGAGCACTTTTTGTATGTTTTTTGGCCACATGTATGTCTTCTTTTGAAGTGTCTGTTCATGTCCTTTGCCCATTTTTTGATGGGGTTGTTTTTTGCCTAATTTATTTAAGTTCCTCATAGATTCTGGATATTAGACCTTTATTGGATGTGTAGTTTGCAAATATTTTCTCCCATCCCATAGGTTGTCTGTTTGTTTACTCTGTTGATAGTTTCTTTTGCTGTGCAGAAGCTCTTTAGTTTAACTAGGTCCCATTTGTCAATTTTTGTTTTGTTGCAATTGCTTTTGGAGTCTTTATCATGAAATCTTTGCCAGGACCTATGTCCAGAATGGTATTTCCTAGGTTTTATTCAAGGGTTTTTATAGTTTTAGGTTTTACATTTAAGTCCTTAATCTATCTTAAGTTGATTTTTGTATATGGTGAAAGGAAGGAGTCCAGTTTCAATCTTCTGCATAAAGCTAGCCAGTTATCTCAGCACCATTTATTGAATAGGGATTGAATAGGAAAATTGAATTTTCCTCATTGCTTATGATTGTTGGTGTTGTGAAACATGAGATGGTTATAGGTGTGTGGCTTTATTTCTGGGTTCTCTGTTCTGTTCCATTGGTCTATGTGTCTGTTTTTGAACCAGTACCATGCTGTTTTGGTTACTGTAGCCTTGTAATATAGTTTGAAGTCCAGTAGCATGATGCCTCTGGTTTTGTTCTTTTTGCTGAGGATTGCTTTGGCTATTGTGGGCTCTTTTTTTTGGTTCCATAGAATTTCAAAATAGTTTTTTCTATGTCTGAAAAACAACTTTGGTAGTTTGATGGGAATAGCATTGAATCTGTAAATTGCTTTGGGCAGTATGACCATTTTAATGATATTGGTTCTTTCTATCCATGAGCATGGAATGTTTTTCCATTTGTTTGTGTCATCTCTGATTTCTTTCATCAGTGTTTTGTAATTCTCGTTGTAGAGATCTTTCACCTCCATGGTTAGCTGTATTCCTAGGTATTTTATTCCTTTTGTAAAACCACTTGTTAGTATTTTTATTTTGTGAACTTCTGGTTCATGTCTTTTGCCCATTTTCCTATTGCATTGTTCTTTTTCTGATGAAGTGTAAGAGTTCTTTCTGTAGAAAGAAGATTTGCCCTTTATCATATGTGCTACCAATATATTTTGTAGTTTGTTATTTGTATTTTGATTTATGGATTTTTTTTGTAGATCAAAACAAATCTTATGCCATCACATTTAGCAATTTTATTATTTTGGGATTTTGAATTTTACTTAGAAATAACTTTCACATTTAGAAGTGATAAAGTTTATCTATTGTTTTTGTCTAGTATTTTAATGGATTCATTATTTTTACCTTTGATCAATTAGAAATGTGAGAATTGAGTTATATAAAAATTTAGTTTTATTTTTCCAGCTTGCTATAATAATCCATCTTTTCTCTGCTTTTTTGAAATGCAGTTTTATGTATACCAAATTTTTACCTGTAGGGTCTATTTCTGGACTTTTTTCTATTTTATTACTTTTCATGAAGCCAGTGTAAACAACCTGTTTTAATTACTATAACTTTACAATATTTTAACATTTAGAATGTTCTGGGCTATTTTAATATACTTTATTTTTGTAAGTGACATTTAGAATCAGCTTATCTGGTTGCAAACAATAACAGCAACAAAATTCTGTTGGTATTATTGAGATTACATTACCTTTATCATTTAATTTAGATAAACTGATAATTTTACAATATCCAGGAATAGGATACTTCTTTAATTTATTAAAGATTTCTATTATGGATTTATTAAAGTCTTAAAGTTCTTCATATAGATATTTTACATTTGTTACTAGACTTATTCTCAAGACTTTTTAATTTTAGTTACAGTCTTAGAAATGAGATCGTTTATGGCATAATGTTTTCTAATTGGTTATTTTTACATACAGGAAAGCCACTATACAGAATTCCCTTATGGTTTATAATTGTTCTTCCAATGATCCTGATAGATTTTCTTGTTGTCTAATCATATTGTAAATGCTGATAATTTTGCCTCTCACTCTTCTATTTGTATCTCTCTTATTATTTCTTTCTTCTAATTTTATTGACTTGTGCTTTTTGAATAATGTAAAATAATAATGGTGATAAATGTGCATCTTTATTTTATTCCCAAGCTTACTGGTTCTGTTTCTAGAATTTCATCTTCAATCATGACATAGATTTTGGACCCATAATATGTATATAATTATACATATGTTAATTATGTTAAGGAACTATATGTACTTTTTTGTTTTATTAAGAATTTTTCAAAATTTGTAGTTTATATTGAAGTTTATCAAATATGTTTTCAAATTTATACATATGATCATAGTTTTTTTTTCTCCTTGGACCTGCTAATGGTATAAATTACATTGGTAGATCTTCTGATATCGAACCATCTTTATTCTACTAGTATGAATCTCACATGATCATGTGTGTATAGTCTTCCCTTGGTATCTGCAGGAGATTGGTTCCAGGAGACCCCTCCCCACTGTGGATACCAAAATACATGGATGCTCAATTTCCTAATATAAAGTGGCATAGTATTTGCGTATAACCTACACACATTCTCTTGTATACTTTAAATCATCTCTAGATTACTTATAATACCTAATACAGTATAAATTATATGTAAATAGTTGTTATACTGTATTCTTTAGTGAATAATGACAAGAAAAACAGTTTTTACAAAGTTCAGTACATGAAACCATCCATTTTTTTTCCCCAAATATTTTTGATCCATGATTGGTTGAGTCTAAGGATGCAGAACACACAGATACAGAGGGCTGTGAGGTAGGACTTTGACATCTTTCTTAGTTACATGAACTGTTATTAACTAATTTTGATGATATTACGCTGATAAATGATTTGTTTATTTGACATTAATTTTGTTTGTGAGTTCAGATCATTTTTAACACTTAAATGTTTACTAATATTCTTGTTCCTCCATAGCACCTTAGAAATTAAGCATGCTTCTTTAATTGTAATGTATAAAAGTATTTTATCAGGGTATAAATGCAGCACAGTTTTTGCAAATATGTTGTATGTAAATATATAACAAGAGAAAATAAGCTGGGGAAGGCAAACTGGCCTGGCAGAGAAGCAGCAAATTCAGGGAGATGAACACCTTTTTTATACTGGGGGCTCTACTAATAGAGAGAGTCATATTTGGGAACACTGATTTTGGAAAGCAGAGGGACAGGAGGGAGAGCCTGTGTTGTAGTGGAGATACTCTGAGGGTAGGATGTATTATTGTCATGAAAACTTGACTTGCTGAGGTTACATTACTTAGGAATGCTCTGTGCAATTGTATCTTTTTTTTGGAGGTAGAACAGAGTGACAGAGTCAGGCAGCAGAGAAGTCACAGAGGGATGGCAGAGATTACCATGGGAAGACCAGCAATATCTGGGTCATTTAAGAGTTGGCATTTAGATTTATATGTAGAACAATTTTCATATTTTCTCATTCATGTTAATCTCAAAGTATGTATGTTTGACGTGGGAAGGAAATTGTTGAGGATTATGTTAGTCAGATTTAAGCTGATCTGTTAAGAGTTATTTTCAGGTTGTATTTGTACAGTGTTCATGGGAGGAGGATTCTGAGGGGGGTTAAGTCATCCTTTAGTTTAAAGAGAGATCCAGAAGGTCTTTTGACTTGTAAACATTCTCACTGGCTCCCAGTATTTTCATTCATTGTGCCAAACTCGATTAGCACTACTCTGTCTTCTGGTCTCTCACTAGTTTTATAAGGCTAAGGTCACAATGACAGTCACTGCACTAGGCATCCCAGTTTTCATGAGACCATTTAAAGAGAGACATAAAATGAACAGTGGGTTTATATGTCAAAGAAGGAGTGGAAAAGGCATAGGCTTAGAGTCAGTCAGATGCAAAATCATGTCACTTTTGCCATTGAACTCCTTATTAAACCTTTCCTAGTCTCTGTTTCTCATCTGAAAATAGTAAGTAGGGATAATAATATATCCTTTACAGAGTTTTGTTAAGCTTTAATGAGATATGTACCCAAAGAACTGGAGCAGCATAACTAGGTCTTAGTAAGTTTATTTCTCTTTCTCTTAATAGCTTATATTTTAGTCTTATTGCATAATTTTCTTTAAATCTACTTTCATTTTATCCATTCATTCAACCAAAAACCGTTCACTGAGCACTTGCTGTGTGACAGGTATTGTTCCAGGGGCTGACATTAGAACAGTGATCAAGGCAGGCAAGGGCCCTGTGCTTATGAAATTTGCTTTCCAGTGGATAGGAAGAGAGAATAAAAAGCAGATTAAACTAGAAAATAATCAGATAATGATTAGTAATGTGATAAAAATATAAACGGAGAAATAATGAGTGTTAGGAATGCTTCTTTAGATTGGATGGATGAAAAAGGCCTCTTGGATAAAATCACATTTCACTGAGCTCTGAATAACAAGAAGGAGCCAGCTGTATTAAGATCTGGAGGAGGAACAGTCTAGGCAGAGGGACGCTACTGCAAAGGTGACATGAGTTTTTTTTATTTTAGAAAGAGAAGGATGGAACTGTTTAGCCAACAACCAGATCTTGAGGGATCTCATTGGCTAGCACCTGGAGTTTGGTGTAAGGGGAGTTTGGAGTTTTTCACATGCCTAAGGTAGATGGGTGTGTGTTAACTTATGGCTGAACTACTGTGGTAATAGTCTAATGTCAGCATGCACCCAGGTAATATTCATAATACTATCCTTTGAGGGAGAACAAGAAAGAAATCCTTACTTTTATATAGTGAAGTAGGTAGATTAAAAGTCAAAGTGAGGCTAAGACACGTAACTAATTTTTTGGGTTAGCTAATCAGAGGTGATTAAAGTAATATGCTCTTAAATTAACTTTTAGTTATTTTTCTTACTATCATTTAGTTTATGATAATTCTTTGGAATTGTGGTATAATATGAAAAGTTATGACCACTTAAGTAACAACTTAGTACCAAAGATCACTTATTTCTGATGGTGATTTGGTAGCTTAGAATTCAGATAAAGGTGTATTTTTTAAAATAAGCTTTTAATTTTAGAATGGTTTTAGGTTTGCAGAGAAGTTGCAAAGATAGTACAGAGTTCCCATATGCTTTACACCCAGTTTATTATTAACATCTTAGAATGGTATATTTGTCACAATTGATGAGCCAATATTGATACACTATTATTAACTAAAGTCCATACTTGCAATGCAATCCTGAAGCTAACCACAATGAGTAGGTGCAGACTTCAGAGGCTGAGGTCACAGTCGTCCCTAAGGCTCTTCTCATTTCAGATACCAGCTGCAAACTCTGGGGTTCCCAGACTATCCAGACTATCTATGTTTCTGACCAACTAGCTACAAATTCAGTAATTTGCTAGAATGATTCACAGAACTTAGGGAAGTACCATACTTATGATTACAGTTTTATTATACAGGATACAGCCAGTGAAGGGTTACATAGGGTGAGGTCAGGAAGGGTCACAAATGAGGAGTTTCCTTGTCTTCAGGACACAATCACTCTCCCAGCACATTGATATATGATTACCAACGAGCACAGCTCATTGAGGAATGTTCCTCAATTTGGGGTTGTGTGATGTTTTTCTCATTATTAGACTGGGGTTATGGTTTTTTGAAGGAAGGTCACAGAGGTAAAGTGCCTATCATATCAAGAATATGTAACTGACATGACTTATGACTTTTGATGTTAACCTTGATCATCTGGCTGAGGTAGTGTTTGTCAGGTTTCTCACCTGTGAGATTACCCTCGCCCACCTCTTTTTCATACCTCACTATTTGGAAGGAAGTCACTACATGCTGCCCACACTTAGGTCTTTCCCTCCTTGAGAATGTAGTAAGATAAAGAGATTTTGATAGGTAGAAAGAGAAATGATTTAAAACTTATATATTATTAAAAATCTATTAACCTTTTCAAATACTAGAAAAATAGAATCATGGAGTTGGATGGGACCTTTCTTCAGATGAGCAAGTTTGAAAGAGCCATACAGAGACAGAGTTCACTGTTGGTGAGAGGGACTTTGATAATTGAAGTGCTGCATCTACACATTTCTGTCAAGTCGTTATGATCTGTGGCATGTGAGAGATGACCTATGGTTACCCTGTTGAATAATAAGTTACCCCTATGTCAGGCCTTCAAATGTGTTTTGGGATAAGAAATATGTTGAGAGCTGCACCTTTCTTTGTAGAGGATTTAAAATAAGCTCAGTAAAGTGTGCGTGTTGATTTCCATGAAATATAATTCTTCCATGGCTTGACTTTTAGAAGGTGAACTTTGGGGATATGAACAAAAGTTCTCTGAAAAGGAATTTGAATGAAAGAGACTTTATTTCAATAGACAGTTTGCAAACTGAGGAGAGGCAGCCTTAGGTGTAAAACAAAGGTGCATTCCAGAGAACAATGGCAGGGTTCCAGCAAAAGTTCTCCTCTAGGTTATCAATCAGGTTTGTTTATGCAAATGAAGGATTAAAACTTGCTCAGTTCTGATTGTCAAGACAACTGAATCCTGATTGGTTGATACAGCTGAGCCTAATTGGCTGGGGCAGTTGAGCTCTGATTGGTTGGTTTCCAAGCCAGAAACCAGAAGTCTCTGTTAGATGTTTATTTTATAAATAAGACTGAAAGGGGAGGTCCTGTGATATTTTTACATCTCTCTGAGAATAGAGTACATGACTGCTCCCTCACCGAGCTATGTCTGCCTGGTTCTGTTTTAACTTTGAGCACCTCAGCCACAGGAAATCCATTTTATCTAGGGCCTCTTTAACAGAGGTTTTGTTGTTGTTCTTATCTGTTTTATCATAGCCAACTTTTGGCTTATGGAAGGATTATTTTAGTGTATCATATATATTCAGGTTCTGTGTTCTGGAATGTCAAATTACTTGTCGACCTACTTAAAGATGATCACTATATTAAATCTGATAGTTGATGAGTGGGGAAAAGGGCATTCTGAGTTGGTTGAAGGAATTGAGAACCCTACTGTGACTAGTGTCTCTGTGTCCAATAGCTCTCCTCATGATAAAACTCTAGCTTCCAGTCATACGCAAATAACATGAAATTTTAGGCAAGAATATTCACCGAAAAGCATTTGGTATGAGAGGAAAAGATGTTCACTTTGTAGTTTGATTTGCATATTTTTATTATTACTCCTTTAACGGCTCCAAGCAGCAAGGAAGTATCATTTGTAACTTCTAAAACACTTAGCCTCTTTTGTCTTCATTGTAAAGCACGAAGTTCTTAATGGACTGATTAATCCAAACAACGCCCTCTGAGAGCAAGATTGTTATCTTCACTTTATAACAGGGTGTCCAATCTTTTGGCTTCCCTGGGCCACATTGGATGAAGAAGAATTGTCTTGGGCCACACATAAAATACGCTAACATGATAGCTGGTGAGCTTAAAAAAAATCGCAAGAAAATCTCAGAATGTTCTAAGAAAGTTTACAAATTTGTGCTTAGGCCTCATTCAAAGCTGTCCTGGGCTGCATGTGGCCCACGGGTAGAGGGTTGGACAAGCTTGCTTTAGAGAAAGAGGAAACGCAGGGGGTAATGGTGAAATGATCTGATTTGAGGCAGTGGCTGAACCTGGGAGAAGATAAACCTAGTATGGCATGACTGAGCCCATATTTGCCTGAGGAAGATAAAAGCTGCTGCTTTAACTTCAGGTGAGCCTCACCCCCATACAGGGAATAAGATTTCCAGGAAGGAAGAAATGTTACTTAAGGACTGGGAAAGATGAAAATGGGAAAGTGCCACATACATAGCAGATTGTATAATATATTGGTATGTCTTTTCTTCAAAATTCCGATCCACCAATAAGCATTTTTTTCAAAATAATTTTTCAAAGTTTGTCATTTTTAAAAAAGACAGTCCCCCCTTTTCTAAGTAACTCTAGACCAGGGTTTAGATCTGGTCTTAACACGGTTAGCATTTGGGGCTGGATATTTGTTTATTGTCGTGGAGGCTGTCTTGTGTACTGTAGGACATCCCTGGCTTCTGTCCTTTAGATGATAGTGGCAACCAAGCTTCCCACCCCCACAAACAAAACTGACTGCAGACATTGCCAAGTACCCTGCTGGGGGCAAAATTGCCCCTGGGTGAGAACCGCTGCCCTAGGGTTAGCAAAACAACCCTCAGACCCCAGTTGTGACTGTGATCCGTAAGTTGGGTGCAGTGCCTCATCACCAACCTCATTTTCTCTAGCTGTAAAATGGGAGACTTTATGGGTGCCTTTTTATCATGTTTCTAGAACCGGTTTAGAAGATAAAACATTAATAGTAACTTTATATGGCAAATTTATCTTGATACAATATCGAACAATTTAAAAGTAATACAGATCATATTTACACGTTAAGTACATTTCCCCAGGTGAGTAAATTGTCTTCAATCACTGCTTAATTTTATTCTTGTTTACCTTTTCACTTTTAGGAAGACTGCAAACTTACCCCCACTTACCTCTTCGTGAAGCCTCACAGGGCTCCCCCAGGTTTTCTCTGTAGCTCTTTGATCTCATAGTGGCTTTGCAAACCAGTGCTCAGTGCTACTGATTTCAACTAGTTATTTTCCCAGAGAAAGCCCTAATAAGGTTGATCTTAGGGAAATCCCTTAACTGATTTCCCCTAAATCTGAATCATGGAACCAACCAGCAACCAGAGAGTTCCTGATCTCAACTTCCTTCTCCTGATTCAAACCTGGGAGCCTAGGAAAACCCTGGTCTGGGAATGCTTAAAATAATAAATCTCTACTCTTTTCTTTGAACATTTTATGTACGTATATGATGTCTGGTCAAATGCCCTCATGTAAAATTGGAGTAAAGCAAAGGAAAGCATGCGAGCATGTCTTGCCTCCATCATCACCTCCTTTTGGATTTGCATATTTATAGCTCTCTTTTTTGGGAGGTTGCTTCTGCAGAGGGCTGGAGGTTAGGTGGGGTCTGGGGCAGGGTAGAATGAGCTGCCTAGTCTCTGTGACAGGTATTTCTGTGCTGCATCTCTGCTACCTTTTTTCCTGCCCTAACCATTACCCTTAATTTTTGAAAGTATCTCTTACATCAGATAGCACATTAAATGTCTTCCTTTGGGTGATCTGAAAAGAAATAAGAATCCCTGAGAAGAATGTACACATAGAAGAATCATAAGGATGTCAGTGGTGCAACTTCACTTTGCTCTTTGTGGGACCTTAATTAGTTTGAGTATTCTGCCTGTTATCTTTGGCTATCTCAGCTGTTATCTTTGGCTATCTCTGGGAAGCAGAGGAGCATGACGAAGGGCTTGAACTTTGGAGTAAGAAGGATCTGCATTTAAATTTGATTCTCCCCTTTACTAGCTTTCTCCTGGCTTCTCTGAGTCTCATCTGTGAAACAGATGTATAAATTGGTGTGAAACGCCTAATTTATAGGGTAAGAGTATGGAATAAAAGAGATAATGTGCTTTATCAGGCACTTAGTAGGAATTCAAGGAAATGTAGCTCCTGTTCTTTCACTCTCCCTTCCTGCCTGTCTTTCCCTCACTGAAGCCAGTTATTTCCAAATACCCTGGATAATCTAGGGTAAACACAATGACCTCATGTCACACCACTCTCCCATGCTCACTCTGTCACTTTTACTAATCCTCAGCACTCCAAGTACAGGTACACCTTGTTTTATTGCACTTGATTGCATTTCACAGATGCTGCAGGGTTTTTGTTTTGTTTTGTTTTGTTTTTAAACAAATTGAAGGTTCGTGGCAACCCCATGTTGAGCAAGATTATTGGCACCATTTTTCCAACAGCTTGTGCTTACTTCTTGTCTCTGTCATATTTTGGTAATTTTTGCAATATATCAGACTTTTTCATTATTATTATTATATCTGTCCTGGTGTTTTCTGGTCAGTGATACTTGATGTTACTATTGTTATTGTTTTGGGGCACCATGAATCACACCCATAGAAGACAATGAACTTAGTAAATGCTGTGTGTGTTCTGACTACTCCATTGACCCACCATTCTTCAGTCTCTCTCCCTCTCCTAGGCCTCCCTATTCCCTGAGACACAACAATATTGAAATTAGGCCAATTAGTAACTCTTCAGTAGCCTCTAAGTGTTCAAGTGAAAGGAAGAATCCCACGTCTCTCACTTTAAATCAAAAGCTAGAAATGATTAAGCTTAGTGAGGAAGGCATGTTGAAAGCTGAGACAGGTCAGAAGCTAAGGCTCTTGCAACAGACAGCCAAGTTGTGAATGCAAAAGAAAAGTTCTTGAAGGAAATCAAAAGTGCTACTCCAGTGAACACAAGAAAGACAAGAAAGTAAGACAGCCTTCTTGCCAATACGGGAAAAGTTTTAGTGGCCTGCATAGAAGATTAAACCAGCCACAACGTTCTCTTCAGCTAAAGCCTAATCCAGAGCAAGGCCCTAACTCTCTTGAATTGTATGAAACCTGAGAGAGGTGAGGAAGCTGCAGAAAAAAGTTGAAAGTTAGCAGAGATTGGTTCATGAGTTGTAAGTAAAGAAGTCATCTCTACAACGTGAAAGTGCAAGGTGGGCCGGGCACAGTGGCTCACGCCTGTAATCCCAGCACTTTGGGAGGCCAAGGCGGGCGGATCATGAGGTCAAGAGATGAAGACCGTCCTGGCCAACATGGTGAAACCCCGTCTCTACTAACAATACAAAAATTAGCTGGGCGTGGTAGTGCGTGCCTGTAGTCCTAGCTACTTGGGAGGCTGAGGCAGGAGAATCTCTTGAACCAGGGAGGTGGAGGTTGCAGTGAGCCGAGATCACGCCATTGCACTCCAGCCTGGACGACAGAGCAAGACTCCACTAAAAAAACAAAAACAAACAAACAAACAAAAATGCCAGGTGAAGCAGCAAATAATGCAGAAGATATTGCTAAAATAATTGATGAAGGTGGCTACACTAAATAACAGATTTTCATTGTAGGCAAAACAGCCTTCCTGGAGGAAGATGCCATCTAAGAATTTCGTAGGTAGAGAGAAGTAGTCAGTGCCTGGCTTCAAAACTTCAAAGGACAAGCTGACTCTCTTGTTAAGAGATAATGTAGCTGGTGACTTTAGGTTGTAGCCAATGCTTATTTGCCATTTCAAAAAAACCTATGGCCCTTAAAAATTTTGCTAGATCTAGTCTGCTTATGCTCTCGAAATGGAACAACAAAGCTTGGATGATAGCACATCTGTTCACAGCATGGTTTACTGCATATTTTAAGCTCACTATTGAGATCTATTGCTCAGAAAAAAAGATTTCTTTCAAAATATTACTGCTCATTGACAATACACCTAGTCACCCAAGAGCTCTAATGGAGATGTACAAGGAAATTAATGTTGTATTCATGCCTGCTAACACAACATCCATTCTGCAGCCCATGGATCCAGGAGTAGTTTTGACTTTCAGGTCTTATTATTTAGGAAATACATTTTGTAAGGCTGTAGCTGCCATAGATAGTGATTCCTCTGATGGATCTGGGCAAAGCACATTGAAAAACTTCTGGAAAGGATTCACCATTCTAAATGCCATTAGGAACATTTGTGATTCATGGGAGGAGGTCAAAATATCAACATTAACAGGAGTTTGGAAGAAGTTGATTCCAACCTTCATGGATGACCTTGAGAGGTTCAATAGCAAGAGAATTAGAATTAGAAGTGGAGCCTGAATTTCTGTAGCTGAATTTCTGTAATATTATGATCAAACTTTAGTAGATGAGGAGGAGTTGCTTCTTATACATGAGCAAAGAAAGTGGTTTCTTGAAATGGGATCTATCCTGGTGAAGATGCTGTGAACATTGTTGAAATGACAACAAAGGATTTAGAATGTTACATAAACTTCGTTGATAAAGCAGCGGCAGGCTGAGAGAGGACTGACTCCAATTTTTAAAGAAGTTCTACTCTGGGGAAAATGCTATCAAACAGCATCATATGCTACAGAGAAATCTTTCATGAAAGATGACAGATTTCATTGCAACCTCATTTTAAGAATTGCCACACCTACCCCAGCTTTCAGCAATCACCACCTTCATCAGTCATTGAGGCAAAACCCTCCACCAGCAAAATTGCTGAAGGCTCAGTTGATTATCAGCATTTTAAAAGCAATAAACTAGTTTTAATTAAGATATGTACATTGTTTTTATTAGACATAATGCTATTGTACACTTAATAGACTACAATATAGTGTAAACATAACTTTTATTTGCACTGGGAAACCAAGTTTGTGTGACTCTCTTTATTGTGATACTGCTTTATTGTGTTGGTCTGTAACCAAAACCTCAGTATCTTTGAGACATGCCTGCATGTTCGTATCCTGTACCTTTACACTTGCTATTCATTTTGCCTGGAACATGTTCCCCTGCTTATCCACGTGGCTTGCCCCTTTTCTTTCTTTGGGTCTCTACCTGTATGTCACCTATCAGAGAGGCCTTCTGTTACCACTATATATAAAATAGGACTTGCCCTCTATTTTCTGATACTTCCCAACACCTTACTGTGCTGGGTTTTTCTCAATGCTTCTCAGTATCTATTGACCTATTATTTATTTGTTTGTGTATTGTACGTCTCCCCTCCCTAGTATGTAAGTCTCACAAGGATAGGGACTTTTTGTTAATTGCTGTACCCTCAGTGCCTAGGACACTACTTGGTCTGCATTTGGTAGTCAATAAACATTTGTTAAATGCATGAATAAAGGAATAGTATTTTTTATTCATGCCACATTTTCCTTCAGTTTTTCAAGAAAAAAAGTGCATACTGATTTTAAAAACAGCTAAATTGTTTAAATTGTCTATTATTGTTATCTCAGGATATTATTCAATTTAGAGGTGACCATTTTTAGCCTTTAGTGTTTCATATTAAAACATGATTTCTTCTGAGGCTTTTTTCCTTTAGACAGTTTTAATTTTAGAGAACTTTTAATTGTATCATTAACATTCCTGTCTGTAGGTCACTGTTGTGTGGTGGATTGGGAAAACAGGGAGAGACCTATGTTCTACTTATATCAATTCTTCGTGACCTTCAGCTATTGTCAAAATCTTTAATACTTTTTTCCCCAAATCCCCTATTCTGAGAAGCATTAATACTTTTTTTAATGGAGAAATTGAAAATACATGATATATTGAGGTAGATTTTCTTAGTAACCTAAAATGATATCAAGAATGTTTTGGATCCATAAGCCAGTTGGCTTATGTAGGGAGAAATCTTCTGAGTTTTTTTCTTTTTTCTTTTAATTTCTTTGTTTGAATAGCATGTAATATTTTAACAGCCAAAGTTGTGGTCATTTTTATTTTAACAATTCCAATGATAATTACACTTGCAAGCCAGGTGATTTGTCATATATCTTTAAAACTCTCAACTAAGATGCTGTTTTATTTCTGCTCCATTTGGTTCTTCACCTCTGATTCTGCACCTAGGCTCTCTTGGATTAATAATGTACTCTAAGATTTGGAAGGTCTGGCATCCTTATAATTCTGTACTTTTCATGTATTTTCTGTATTGTTTTAGGTAGAAAACAATGATTAACAATTTAGGCAACATTTAAACACCCTTGGATGAGACAGATTTTTGAAATACAAGCCAGTTCACATGTTCTGTGGTTTTTAAAAATAAGACTGCATAAAGTTTTTATTTTTTATATATTACTGCATATGAAGCCTGTTCAGTGAGTGTTATGCTTTGCCATAGGTAAGCTTACAGAATTTATTTGAGAAAACGTAGATATATAAATAGGTCTATTTTTCAACAGGGGAATGGTAAGGTTTACTAAATGTTTAGTGATACACACACACACACACACACACACACACACACACACACGGGAATTTTTTGCCCTTTAATATTGATGAAGGAAAAAGCAAAGATATTTTTCATGTTTTTTGCTGTATTTACCTAGACTATTCCAAACATTGGTGATTTTTATCTAGGAGGTTTATCCATTTAAGGGCCAGAGTCAGCCTTTCCTGAATACGAACATAAAACCTTTGCTTTGAAGGACATTTTGCACTTGGGGCAAAGCGAAATTTGTTAAGTAAATGGATTTTATGTGTTGGAGGACTAGAGAAGTAGTAACCTGGGACAGAGAAACTGTCCAATTTAAGACTACCAGTCCATGGCCAGTCACAGGACGAAGAACATTTAGAGCTGAATCATCTATATTTTCTAAGTTTTGCGCACACCAGCAAATGATTCAGACTATGTTTGTTCCCATGTGCCAGGGAGCTCTTGTGCTGATGTGATGAAACTTGGCATAGCACAGTCCTCCAGCAGAGCAGTGCCTGCCTGTTTATGCTGAGATAACTTGCACTCTCTTGATTTTACTCAGGGGACTTCTGCAGTTTTTTGTTTTGTTTTGTTTTTAAAACTGTGTCCCTGCCTCTAGTGCATTTCCCTTTTAGTATTTTTCCTCTCCCACAGTGTCTCAGCCTGAGGTAATTTGACTGTCATATATGGGAGGTTTGGGGTTTATATTATCTACAGATTATATATGTTGTATAGGTTCCCATGGCTTCGTTTCATACATAGTTTGAACTTATATAGTCATTTCCAGCATTCCTTCCTGTTTCTTCTTACTTTTAGCCACCGCCTAATCTGCCGCAGAGCTATTTGTGTCGATTGCCTTGGTTGTGAAAGCAACAGCTCCCCACACCCAAGCCCTTAGCTTCAGAAGTGCTTTCCTTATGACTTTACAGAGTCATCTTGGTGGCTACGTCGGGTTCTGCCCAACATCCTCTACTTAGACATCTTGTCCTAGGAATTAACTCTATAATACTCCTCCTTTCTCAACTGCCTCCTTGCATGGGAAAGGCTCATCTTAGTCTTTTTGGTTTCACAGTGTTTCAGAAAGCTGTAGTTTTCTTTCAACTCTGCCCTCATGGTTTTACCTTCCTTTCTCTCACCCTGGGTCCCTGGGTCCCTAACCCTGGTCAGTGATCTGTGACAGTACCTGGTCATGTAATTAGGAGAGAGGGATCTGGTCATTATATAACTAGGTTGTGGAATGCCAGCTGAACAAGTGGCTAGAAACCTACAATCCGGCTTGGAACTGAGGTTTCATGGTGTTGATGTGACTCCATGCAAGTGAGCAATTTACTCTGTGTTAGAACGTTTTTATTTTGAAAAGGTAGACAACAGGGTCTCATTTGATCGTTAGGAAGAACACTAATGTTTATTGAGCGCCGGGCTGGGTACTTCATTCTCACGTTCTTTTTCAGCCCTCAGAGCATTCTTGTGGTAGGGCAAGTGAGTGGCAGATGCATTGAGGAAGACATGCATGTGGATACACACATATTCGTAGTTTATTTATACTGTAAATTTTAAATATGCCTAATAAAGTTATACTAGGAGACAGTGTGGTATAGTAGAAAGAGCATGGGCTTTGAAAATTCATGAAGACCTGAGTTTAAATTTCACTTTTATCTTGGCAAAAGCAATAAAACTCCTGGGGCAGAGTACTTTTTAAAAGGTACTTTTTTTAAAGAGGCAAATACAGTGTTTTGGTGAAAAAACCAGGCACAATTAAATATTTTTTTGAATTAAAAATCTCACTACTCATGTCACTGGTGTGGCTGTACAGAGTCTTGGGAGATAGACCATGGACTCTATTAAGATAGAGATTGGCGAAATTCCCTTCATGGATTAACTTCAAGATACCTGGATACTCCAGAAAGCTCAAAGAGGTGAAAATGGAAGAAACAGTGCTGGCCAGCTGGTCTGGCTGCAGCATTAAGGCGAATCCTAAGGTTAACTCACCATCTCAGTGTAAAATATGCATAAGGGACATTTAGGGTGCTAACTCAAAAGATAAACCAGGAGCAGTAGAAAGAGATGTTCTCCCCTCCCCCGAAAGTAGGCAGTCATATGCTCATACCATTCACTTTCCTTCTTTTCTATGTGGTGTCATTAGTCTAATCTTCTCTCTTTGACAGGACCATCCTTATTCCAGCATCTGATGATTTGCTTAATCAAAATTATTTTCTCTGAATAATAACCTCAGAAATTAAGAAATGTCATATTTTAGAGAGATCACTGGTAATTTTTGCACAAATAATTTCTGAATCAAGAAAAAATTAAAATGGTATGTCAGACAAGTTTAGATAAAACAATGAAAAGTGTTCATACTAATATATGTAGACATGCCTTATGGCTCCACTTAGAAATGTCATATTTTAGAGAGATCACTGGTAATTTTTGCACAAATAATTTCTGAATCAAGAAAAAATTAAAATGGTATGTCAGACAAGTTTAGATAAAACAATGAAAAGTGTTCATACTAATATATGTAGACATGCCTTATGGCTCCACTTAGATGACTTTGTTTATTTATTTTTTGCTAATAAACAATCTCTTCTAATAATTTTTACTGCTGTTATTTCTTTATTTAGCTATTTAATTATGCATGACAGTTGATGGATAGAGAGCAGTTTTTCAAGTTAAGCTTTGAGCCTTCACATTCAAAGGTATTTTTCCTCCTGTGTTTAGACATCTTTTTTGAGTTTACGTAGTATTTAATCTTTAAAAACTGAGACTGAGAGACACTTAGCATAGAGATTATTAAATGTAATTTATTTATTTATTTATTCATTTTTTGAGACGGAGTCTCGCTCTGTCGCCCAGGATGGAGTACAGTGGCGCAATCTCCGCTCACTGCAAGCTGCGCCTCCCAGATTCACACCATTCTCCTGCCTCAGCCTCCTGAGTATCTGGGACTACAGGCGCCCGCCACCACGCCCAGCTAATTTTTTTTCTTTTTTTTTTTTCTATTTTTAGTAGAGACGGGGTTTCACCGTGTTAGCCAGGATGGTCTCGATCTCCTGATCTCGTGATCCGCCCACCTCAGCCTCTCAAAGTGCTGGGATTACAGGCGTGAGCCACCATGCCCGGCTGAGATTGTTAACTATAATTTAACTTTTAAAAAACCTCCTCCCTGTCAAAGAAAGGATCATTGTTTTTGTTGAATTATGAATGTTATTGTTTAAGCTTCCAGAGATTTAATATTTCAAAGTTCAGTAACCCATCTTTGAAAGTCAGAATGCCTCAGAGAATCCCATTTCCATATCTAAAATTAGAAATGACATGCAGAGGCTACAGGCCTTTTACCAGACATGGTAATTATATGTTTTCTCTTTTTGAGAAAACCTGAAGAAAAAAATCAAGCATTAGTTCTTTACTGAATAAATAGTCTTTCTTTGGACAGTACCTCTGCCCATTTATTTTGTTTGAGAATTAGTTGTAGCCATGTGTCTGTGATGTATTCCTTACCATTGCTCATTTTCTTATTTAGAATTTTATTTTTCCCTAAACAAATCTATTAGGTCACTCAAATGTTATAATTTCCTAATTTTGTTTATAGATAACTATGTTTGTGAAATGTTTTGCCAAATTTACACAAATAAATACCTTTCTTTCTGTGCTCTAATTGCCATACATGGGGGCTAATGTACACTCTAGCTTTGCCTTGTGACTTTAAATGGATCCCAGTTTCTTAGAGTGTGTGGAGGATGCACATTTGTGGTTAGCCCCTATAGTACTGATGACTGATCATCACATGTAAGGGATCTGCCTCCTTCCTCACGTTTGGGAAATTGACCTTGGGGAGGAGTTTGAGGTGGGACTCAAATGGAGGAAGGGAAATACTCTCTGGAGACAGTGTGACCTTCTCCTGGCATCTGGGTTCTCCACCTCCTGCTGTCAGGCTGCCCTGCTTGGGAAGCTGGCTATGTTCCCAGCCTACAGAGGATTGCTGCTCAGGGCCTAGAGCCCTAGCCCAGCTAGGCAGATCATCTGTGATTTTTTATTACTACCTCTGTATTCCACTGGCGTATGTAATTCAGTACTGAGTGTAATTTATATCACTTTGAAGTCTAATAAGTGTGCTTTTTATCTGCATCTTAATATTTGCCAAATTGTTTTTTTCTTCTATTATTGAAAGTAATAATTCCTGTATTAAATTTGAGAAGTGAAAAAGTAGGGGACGAACTTCAGAACAGTGGTACCTCCACTAGGATTACTGGGGAAAACTTTGTACTATTATGCTTATTACACTGCTGTCTGCCACACTGCTGTTCAACTTTACATTTAAAAATGTACTTGAGGCCGGGTGCAGTGGCTCATGCCTGTAATCCCAGGACTTTGGGAAGCCGAGGCAGGTGGATCACTTGAGGTCAGGAGTTCAAGACCAGCTTGGTCAATATGGTGATATCCTGTCTCTGCTAAAAATACAAAAATTAGTCAGGTGTGGTGGCAGGTGCCTGTAATCCCAGCTACTCGGGAGGCTGAGGCAGCAGATTCGCTTGAACCCAGGAGACGGAGGTTGCAGTGAGCCGAGATCATGCCGTTGCACTCCAGCCTGGGCGACAGAGTGAGACTCCACCTCAAAAATAAAATAAAATAAAAATGAACTTGAATCTAAATTGGATTCTACCTCCCCCACCTTTAAATCTGTCAGTAGTTAAAGGTGTAGCCCATACCTGTAGCCCATAGGCAGAATCTGGCCTGCAGACTTATTTGTTCTGCTCAGCATTTAAAAACCTGTAAGTTTCACATAAGGACCAGATTCTCAGCATCTCTTGAAAATCTGCAAAATATGTCAATATTGAGCCCATATTCTTGCCATGGCTGGAAAAAAGCAACAACAAGAACCACCCCCTGCCCCCTGTGACATCCTCGGTTTGACAGTTTGCCATACCAACTGATGTCTCACACTCAGCCTGCTTGGCCCATTTGCATTACTAGTCTGAGCCCTCTAGGTACCCTGGAAAACTACTCCAGCCTTATTTCTTTCTTGTGTTTATATCCACTGTCTGCCTTATCTGTAGAACAACTTTCAGAGATCCAAGGTAGGGGCTGTGCTCTCTAGCCTCTGGACCTTTGCACATTCTAAACCTTCTTCTTGAAATGCCTTTCCCCACTTCCTTCTCCTGGTTGACTCATACTTAGCTTACAAGACCCAGCCTGATCATAGTGCTTGGGAAGCCATCCCTGACTTTCTCTGCCAGGTTGTGTAAAGATGCCCCCCTGCAGAGCACCCTTCATTGCTCTGTACATCTCAGACATGTAATAACTGTTCTATTACATGTCTTTCTTCCCCTTAGATCTAGGGTCTGGAGGGCAGAGTCTGTGCTACACTTTTCTGTTTATTCAACTATTCACAATTGTTGGTACACAGTAAGCTTGCAATACATACTTTTATTGATATGTCATAATATTGTCTAAGGCAATGAATCCCCACCTTAGCTGCATGTTAGAATCACCCGGACAGCTTTTAAAAATCGAAGTAACATCTTGGCACAGTGGCGGGCTGTAGACCCAGCTTCTTGAGAGGCTGAGCGGGGAGGATTGCCTGAGCTCAGAATTCGAATGTAGCCTGAGCAACATAGTAAGACCTCTTGGTCTCTGAAAAAGAAAGAAAGAAAGAAAGAAAGAGAGAGAGAGAGGAGGGGAGAGAGGACAGAAAGAGAGCAAAGAGAAAGAAAAAGAAAAGAAAGAAAGAAGGAAAGAAGGAAGGGAGGGAAGGAAAGGAAGGAAAGGGAGGAAGGAAGAAAGAAAGAGAGAGAGAAAGAAAGAGAAGGAAAGAAAGAGAGGGAAAGAAAGAAAGAAAGAAAAGAGAGAAAGGAAAGAAAGAGAAAGAAAGAAAAAGAAATCCTAATATCCAGGCCACGTCTAGACCAGTTACATCAGAATCTCTGAAGATGGGGCCGAGGCATCAAGTTTTTAAAACTCCTCTGGTGATTCCAGTGTGCAGCCAAAGTTGAGAGCCACTGGTCTAGGACATGTAGGATTATGTAAAGAAAAGCAATTTCCCCTGATTTGGTTTGAGATTAAAACATTTGGTGATGATTTTAGGAAAATCACTCTGGATGAACATTTTTTTACTTAACTTTGGTAGCATATGGGCATTTAAACAAGTAGGCACCCACCTTCAATGAATCAGTTCCTCCCATAACAATTCTGCAAGCTATATTGCTGACAAGTTATTAATCATCAATGTCATATGCAATTATTGACAGATTTTTATAATTTTGGTAGTTTATATTGTATAGCCATGCACCATTTCCTACCTTGCTACATTTTGATTTAAATTTCAAGTGGATTATTTTTCAGGCGCCCTACAAATTAACTTAGACATTTATTGAGTTTCCAATGCCAATTGCTTTTCTTTCTTCCATATTCTTCTTTGTTTTATATTGGGACCACTATTTGGAATAAAGACAGACAAAAACAGAACATTAACTGGTATCTGATGTGGATAACGCACCTGGAAGAAAAGCCACTATCACTTAGTGAAAGCTGTCAGCAGCTGCATTGTCCAATAAATGATCAGTCCTGAGCTCATGGTTAGTTTGGAGGGAGTTTCAGGAAAAAAAATGAAAATAGTGAAAGAGTTGAGGAAACATTTATGAATTGGGATTGCTTTTATTTTGGAGAATAATAGATTGAGGTAAAAGAATTCCTGCTTGGGCACTTTTTTTTTTTTTTGTGAATGATGACTTGACTTTGTTTCTACTGAGAATAAGGGTAGTAGACATTTGGTTTAGAATTAAGGGAGTTTTAGAAATTAATGTCTAAAGAATTTTTTTTGTTTATAAAGACTATGAGATGATAATATCAATCATGTGATCTGTTTTCTGGGAGAGTGTTATGACGAGGATTGACTACTGTCTGATCAGAAAACTTCTTTGGATTTATTTTTAACTCTTCTATTGGAAAATCTCTTTTAGTTAATCTTTTGTATCTGAAACAATTGATCTTTTTCACATTGCCTGTTTATCTTACTGAGAAAGCTGATTTATCTACACTGAATTGGCAGCAGTGCCTTGTTGGTGTAGTAATTTAGATTTTCTAAGATTTTCTGCTTAATCAACTCTGTTTTCCCCTTTGAGCTAACTGAGGCTAAGAGGGAAGAATCTGGTTGTTCCAACTGCCCTTTGCCAGGATTTTCCTCTGTGTGTGTGTGTGTGTGTGTGTGTGTGTGTGCGTGCATGTGTGGTGGGTGAGGGAAGCTGGGCTTCATAAGAGCTGCAGTGCCAGGATTTTCCTGTGTGTGTGTGTGTGTGTGTGTGTGTGTGTGTGTGTGTGGTGGGTGAGGGAAGCTGGGCTTCATAAGAGCTGCAGTGCAGGTAACATGGTAGAGTCCTGATAGTGGCAGCCTGAGGAGCCCTGGCCTATAGCTGGGGGGCCTCCCTTTCCAACCCTGCTCTTTGACCCCAGCTGGCTCATTTTCAGACTGGGAGCAGTGGCATCACTTGACCTGGGAGGAGAAGCAGCCAGCCCCAAAGAGCCAGACTCAAAGCTCTGCCCAGCCTGGCTGTCACCTTCAGGCACCTGAGGACACTCAGCATGTAATTATGTGCCTCGAGACAGTGGCTTCCCTCACAGAGCAGAGAAGGGAACTGATTAATCAGTTAGTCTAGTGCACTCAGCTGGATCTCTCTTCACAGCCTAGTGAATCAGGGGTTGAATTATGTGATCTCTTCCCTCCTCCCATCTTTGTAGAGCAGCCCCTTTCTGAAGAGGAGAGGAGGGTCACTGTGGGGCATTCTACCTTCCTGGTCACCTGTCCCTCTCCTCATTGCTCTGATGCCAGCTTTCTTCCCCTACCCCCATATGATCTGGGAACTGATTAGATGACTTGAGTAGAGAAGTGCTGGCAGTTGCCACAGAAGGGTGCGTGCACTGCCAGGCAGGGAAGGGCTGCCAGGTGCTAATGTCACTGTGCCTGGCACCAGCAAGCGTCCCAGAATCTGCTCCCGAGGTCCAGCTCTGCCAGCATGAGGCTGCTGTTTGGAAATGTAAAGTTCTGATCTAATTCTGGCAAAATATATTTTTTTTTCTTGAATTGCTTAGATTATTATCCTGATTTCCTCTTCCTTTGATTGGCCTGAAGTGAAGGCCATTAACAGTGCCATGATGGCAATTTTATAGATGAAGAAATGCCAAGGAAATTGATTATATTTGGCATGGCTCTGAAGTAAAAAAAATTCCCATCCCTACCTCATAAGTCCTGCCTTTACCTCCCTCTTCCTCCCTACATGGAGTTTCTTAACTGAAGGCTCAACTTTAGTTTTCAGGCCAATTTGGAGCCAAGACAATGTCTGGCTCCAAATGGTATTTAAATAGCTTCAACCCCTCCGTTGTGGGAGTTCAGAGTATATTTCCAGACAGATGACCTCCTGGACTCTCATGGTGCCCACGGAGCCTCAGCTCTCCCCACTCTCTACTTTGTGCCCTGACTTCTAGCTTCACTTTGATAGCAGTGGGCCTTGGGAGCTGACTTTGTGAAGGTTATTGGTACCAAGTATGACATCATTACTAGATATAGCACTTGTGTCCTTGCTTGCTCTTACCATCTCTCCAGTGGGACAGTAGAGTCCTGGCTTGAGCTTAGAGCCCTGCTGCTTACCAATGCCACCTGCTTATCTGACTTCTGAATGTTATTTACTCCATCCTGTGTTTTGGTACTTTTTTGAGGGGCATGAAGCCTGGTGGAATGAAAAAGGCAAATTTGATCCCTGACAGACCTAGCTGTAATGCTAGGCCTGGCACATCTTACTTCTAATCTTAGGTATGTTTCTCTCCAATCCTCAGTTCTTCAGAGGTAAAAAGAGGGTACTGTTTCTTATCTTACAAGTTTGTAATGGTTATATGATATACTGTATGTAAAATATCTAGCGTGCTTCTGAGCCCTTAGGAGGAATTCACATCTTAATTCCTTTCCTTTATCTGCCATCCCTGCTTGGTGTCTTGCATCATGACTGATATTACTATGCCCTTCATATACAGGAAAGCATTTCCTTGCTTGACTGCACCTCTATAATTGGCTTTTGCAGTTGGTCACTTTTCTCCCAGTCTCTGCTTAATGTGTGTTAGTAGGTCTTGGGCCAGGTCTTCATCCTGACTGTCCTGTCCCTCAAGAGGTGATTATACAAATCCAAGAAGGGAGCTGCTTTTATTGCTCTCACTCCTGTTTCAATTTGCTAGCTGTTCCTGTGATTAAAATCAGCCTGTATGTATTTGCCCCTAAGATGGGCAATGTGGTTCCACATGTAGCCTTATGAAATAAGTTACCATCCTTTGGAATCTGGAGTCTTCTGGTTTCCAACTGGTTTAGCTCAGCAATGGGAATAACATTTGTTGATATTAAATTGGTCCCTGGTGGCCACCTTCTTTTTCCACTCTGTAGTTACCAAGCAGCTGGGCATGAATCAGCAGAGTTGAAAATATTTTAACCAGAAACATTTGGACTTGGCACCAAAGTTGTATTGCCCAGACCAAGGCAATACAGAGGTCAGCCAGCCAACTGACAGGGCACATAGCTACTAGCATTTGCTTACGGATGACCTGCCAGCAAATCCTGGATGAGAGTTCAGTATCTAAAAAGAAAATTAAGGAGGTCATAAATTGTATATTATTTTGCCTTGCATAGCAAAATCTGAATGTCGTTTAAAATGCTCCTCATTATGCTCTCTCATGTTGAT
Organism: Homo sapiens; assembly: GCF_000001405.40. Classification (NCBI taxonomy): domain Eukaryota; kingdom Metazoa; phylum Chordata; class Mammalia; order Primates; family Hominidae; genus Homo; species Homo sapiens. The sequence continues at coordinate 160,810,823 of NC_000003.12, forward strand.
GACCTGGATCCAGTTTGCAACATCTGTTAGGTTGACTTGATGGTGGTTGCAGATTTCAGGGATATTCAAAAGCCTGTTTTACAAGTGTCATAAAATGAACGGAAAATATTTTCTGTAATTTCAAATAATAGAGCCCCAGAGGCCTTTGATCATACTGAAAGAGCCCATGGTCAGCTTAAATCTCCCTCAGTTTCTATTCATTATGTTATGGCCCTGTGAAGCAGTCAATTCTAATTACACTGAAGAAAGCATTTGATTTTCAGTGACAGATTAATGCCTAAGCTGGAATATGCAAAGGCATGGAAATAGTGGAAACAAATGAAATAAATGCCTGATAGCTTGTCAGACTACTCTAATGAAGGGGTCTAAGTACGGGGCCACTTTAAGAATGGAATGTATATGAAGTGACTAGACTGAATACTGATTCTCTTCTATCCCCCTCTTTTCTCCCCGTCTTGAAATGAAAGACACTGTAGTGAATCAAGATGTCTGTGAGTAATCAGCACTACAGTCCTCATCCATCAGAATCATTGAGCCTTGCTTGGATTGTGTTTTCTAACATAGGGCTTGACAAACTATGGCCTGTGGCCAGTTTTTGTATAGCCTCATGAGCTAAGAATGGTTTTTATGTTTTTAGAGAGTAAGAGAAAACAAAAATGAATATTCAACAGAAAACCTATGTGACTCAAAAAGCCTAAAATATTCTCTATCTGGCTCTTTACAGAAAAAGTTTCCCAACTCCTGTTTTAATATATTAATGAGATCAGTCTCTCTATGAGCTTAAATTGAATATTCTTAATTGTGCTCTCTGTGAGGTTAGCACAGTGGAAGTGTGGAAAAGGTATGGGCTTGAGAGCTAGATAGATATGGTTCTGAATCTTGGCTCTGTGACGTTCTACCTAGAGAACCTCAGGAAAGTAACTTAAGCTCTCTAAGCCCCAGAGTCCTCAGAGTAGACTCAGTGCCTTCCCTTCCACTTAATAGGATCATAGCAAATGATAATTCTTCAGTCAAAAAATAGTAGACCACCTATAAAGCCTGTGGGCAGCTGTAAAAACGTTGCAACAGGCTTGTGTGCAAATGGGCAAAGGGAGAAGCAAGACTTGGTGAACACCCAGGGCTTGCCAGGCACTTGGTGTGGCACTGAGTGGGCATCATTTTATTACTTCAATCCCAAAGCAGGTTCCTCTGGACTATGGCATTGCTATTCTCTAGAGCTGGCTTCTGCTTCAGATTTTGATGAGGGTGCTTTTTTCTCAGCTCACGATGTTAGCGCCTTCCATGCTCTTTAGCTGCCTAAAGATGTTCATGTCTTTGGGCCTCTGCACTGGATACTTATCCAAGTGTATGTGAGGCTTTGGCCCTTTGGTGGTAATCTGCTGCCAAGAACGGTTCTTTCTCCCCTTTTCCCACCTTCCTCTTTTCTTTCTTAAATATAATTGTGCATTAATTGGGTCAAAGAGAATTTGATCCTTCCTAACTGTTCCTTTCCTAAGTTGTCACTGTGATTTCCAAGTAACTTTAGACAAGGGATTTAAACCATTGTTCCTTTTTCTTTCTTCATAAAATGAAATTGGCAGTATTGCTGCTTTATACCAGGAGGACTCAGAAGCATTGCATTCTGGGCTGAGAACGTCTAGGTACTTTTCATAGGAGGCTGAAATTGCGGGTGTGATTTCAGAAATAGTCTTCTTTGTGCTTGCTGTTTTGAAATGACTGATCCTAGAAAGGTCTCTGGCTGTGTAGTTACACACTGCTTGATTTTAATAGAAAACGTTTAATAGGAGCATTTTTTTTTGGAGCCTTGCATTCAGTCTATGAGAGTCTGCAAGGCTTTAACCAAGAGAGTATGCAAAGACAGGGTGTTCTCCCTTTCCCTGGAAAGGTGGGATTGCTTGGCAAGTAGCCTTAGAGGAAGTGTTTAGTGTGTGACATCAGGGAGGGGGGCAGCTGGCCAGGATTTCTAACACCGTGATTACAGGTAGCACATGCTAAATTAGGGTTCTACACCGCTAGTACATGGCTGCATTTAGCAGGAAAGTGAAGAAGCCTGAATGTGAGAAAGTCCTTGCCAACCTTATAATAAAGTAGGTGATGTTTATAATGTCTATTATGTATATAGCACTTGTCCTTCCAGAACAGAATTTCTTGTTAATATGTTACTTAAATATTCTACAGGGATATTCCTTTTGTCCTCTTTGGTACTTTTTTGTTGTTGTCTAGCAGGTATTATTTTTTTGAACTGGCTAGAGAAAACCCTGTTTTCTGGATGTCAAATATTTATTTCATGTACTTAAAGCCACTGAACACTTAGAAATGGTTAAGATGGCAAATTTTATGTTATTTCTATTTTATTACAATTAGAAAATTCAATTTTACATCCCCCAAATTATGGAGAGGCAATTAGCTTTTAATATTAAAGAAATTATTTAAATAACAGCTATCTCTAGTTAAGTTTTAATTTTTTTTCTTTGGTTCTTTTACATTTTCAAGTTTAAAAAAATATGCATTACTTTATTTTATTTTATTTTTTTTGAGACAGAGCCTCACTCTGTCATCCAGGCCGGAGTGCAGTGGCACAGTCTTGGCTCACTGCAACCTCTTCCTCCTGGGTTGAAGTGATTCTTGTTCCTCAGCCTCCTGAGTAGCTGGGACTACAGGTGCGTGCCACCATGCCCAGCTAAGTTTTGTATTTTTAGTAGAGACAGGGTTTCACCATTTTGGCCAGGTTGGTCTCAAACTCCTGAACTCAGATGATCCACCTGCCTCAGCCACCCAAAGTGCTGGGATTACAGGTGTGGGCCATTGTGCCTGGCCTGCATTACTTCTATAACCAGATAAAATTTAAAAAAATTAGCGATGTTCTGTGAACACTAATAAATAATCCTCTCATACTTCTATAACAAAGTTTAGCCCATTGATTTGGTTTCATGCATGCATTTAAGCCAAAGTTTTTATTTCTGAATTCAAAAATATTACTCTCTGATAACCCTTGCCTCAGAGATTCAGAAGTGAAGTTGGTACATTTGATTCAATGGAACATTCTGCATACGTTTTACATCTACTTTATTCTAGAAAATAAGTTTTGACAACTTGACAGTACAGATCACTACATCTGAAACAAGTAAAATGCACCAATGGTATAGTCTACATATTTGGTAAATTTTGTTTATAGAGACATAGAAAAGTAAAGATCTTTTACTATTAGGCGTTTTATCTTTTAAAAACTGCAACTGACGGGATATATTAACTTGCTTAGATCAAAAGAATGTTGAGTTAAGAAAATATTTGGAAGGGGCTTACAACCTTTTATGGCCTAGAAACTGCCTTTCTTTTCCCACCTAACATCTCATTTCATTGCCTTCCCCTCATCTACAGAGCTATGTCTTCATGCCTATCTGGACAGCTGGGTCCTGATGGGATCTGAACAGTAGATACTGCCCCGGATCAGGTTAAATCTGGAGCATAGGCCAGAGTGAACTAGCTTCAGCATAAGTGAAATAGGTGGATGATTCAAAGTGACGGACTTGTCGTTATATGAAAAAGACACTCGCACATGCATGTTTATGGCAGCACAATTCACAATTGCAAAAATATGGAACCAGCCCAAATGCCTATCTATCAACGAGTGGATGAAGATGATGTGGTGTATATACACACACACACACACACACATATATGTATGTGTATATATATACACACACATATGTATGTATGTGTATATATACACACACACATATGTATGTATGTGTATATATATACACACACATATGTATGTATGTGTATATATATACACACACATATGTATGTATGTGTATATATATGTATATATACACACACGGTATATACCATATATATGGTATATACCATACGTATATGTGTATATATATGTGTATGTATACGTGTATATATGTATATATGTGTATATATATATGTATATACCATATATATACACCACATAATGGTATATAAACACATACCATGGAATACTACTCAGCCATGAAAAGGAATGAAATAATGGCATTCACAGCAACTTGGATGGAGTTGGAGACCATTATTCTAAGTGAAGTAACTCAGGAATGGAGAACCAAACATCGTATGCTCTCACTTATAAATGGGAGCTAAGCTATGAGGATGCAAAGGCATAAGAATGATACAATGGACTTTCGGGATTCAGGGGGTAGGGTAGAAGGAGGGTGAGGGATAAAAGACTACACATTGGGTGCAGTGTACACTGCTCAGTTGCACCACAATGGGTGCACCAGAATCTCAGAAATCACCACTAAGGAACTTATCTATATAATGAAATACCACCTGTTCCCCAAAAACTATTGAAATTAAAAAAGAGAGAGAGAGAGAAAAAAGTGAGGGACTTGAGACACATTTGGCATCCTTTTTGCCTTTCTTCTTATTTCTGCACAGTTAAATTTTACCTATCCTTCAGTACCTGGCTCAAATACTCTTTTACGAGGCTATATTTAATTCTTCCACTCCAGCATAAATGCTGTCTACCTGCTCTGAATTCTCCAAGCACAACTGTTCTCAGATTATTTTGTGGAGTACTAAATAGATGTTCATTGAAAGTAGTGCTGGTCAAGTAAGTTTGGGAATTCCTGTATGTCAGGGCTGCTTTTTAGGGAGCAGGTACAGGGGAGGGGGAGGGTGGTGGTACTTATTAGCATATTAAAGGTGCTGAGGAGCCTGCTTCATCCAGTGTTAAAAAACTTTTGATTACAGAATTTTTTTCTCCAGGAACAATGATTAGCATTTCAAGGAAGGTTCAAATTGTCTATAATGGTGCTTAATAAACATTATTTCAAGAAATAACTCCTTATTCCATCATAATATAGTATCTATCATTCTACCATTAGAAATTATTCCCAAGGACTGTGCAGAGTGCCAGATTTCTGCGACATATAATCAAAGAGAAGGGGAAGGGTGAAGAACATAAAGAGAAAATAGATTTTTGCCAACATAAACCAAACATTTTACATTTTGCTTAGGGCAGGGCTCTGAATAAGGGCACACATCCAGTTCTCTGGACTGGTACTGAACAGTGAAAGGTTATAAATGTTTTGAGTTCTTTTTCCCTAGGAAGGATTGGTATGTTTAAGTTAGATGCCAGAAACTGAAAGGAAGAGGAATCTAAATGGAAACACAGTTGATTTACCTGAAAGTCACCTTATACTCCTTTTCTATTTTTTGCATTCTTGCACAAATATACCATCAGCATACAAATGAGCTTCCCTTTTCCATAGATCTCTTAATTTTTCCTTCATTGAGAGAAGAGACAAAGGAAGGGAGAAGTTTTAAAATATCTAGATTTCAATTAAACTGATTCTTCTCTCCTCCTTAAGAGTAAAAAGTATTGGGGACAATGGAGAAAGGAGTGGATTGTGTCTATGTGTGTGTACATTTGCAATCAAGAGCAGTTTCATTTGTGTGTGTGTGTGTGTGTGTGTGTGTGTGTGAAACCCATAGATCTCAGGTTAAAGCTTTAAATATTTGTGAGTATAGTGAGAATTGTTGGTTTGTTTCTTTTCTGTGAAAAACAACATTTTACGAAATGGGAAAGAACATTTATTTTCCTTTGAAGATGCAAATATGGCCTAAGGAAATGCAGTTAAAATGTGAGATTTAAGAAAGACAGAGTCTGTTTTTTTTTTTTTTAACCCAGCTAAGCACAGCCTGTATAAAGACAAGATAGCCTTAGTTTGATGTTGAAAAATTTCCCAGGTTCCTTAATTTTATATTGAAGACATTAGCCAACAGAGTTCTTTTCTGTAGATATGTATCTTCAGTGGAGGAAAACCCAAGGCCCTGTGTAGCTTCTGATGAAATATAGGGGAAAAAATCTAGAAAACTATAACTGGAAGAAGTTATGTTTATGCTACTTCTATATTCCTGAATAAATGGACAGCAAGGCATCTTCACCACTCAGTGAGGCCCCCATCATAAGATTTGAGAACTTGTTTGGCCTCACTTCTAACCTTATTTTAGAATTGCACTGAGAACCTTGGACAATGGTTATTCTACAACCAACGTCTCCTTCCTTCTACTTTCCATTCTGTTATGTCTGAGTCTTTTTTGTTGGTAATTATTGATTAGAATAGTGATCAATAATCTCTTTAGTTCTTGGCGTTACTAGTGATTATAAATTCTTGCTGGTAACATTGGCATAAAGAAGAATGTGGAAAAGACAATGAGTATAAGAAAGTGGTAGAAAAGAAGAAAAGTTACAAGGAGGAAAACATGTGGAGAGAAAGAGAACAAAAAGGAAGCTGTAGATAAGTTTGGATCTACCAGTGGTCTTCTTGATCTCATACTTGCACGGGTGCTTTCAGTTTGTAAAGTGTGAGGATGTATCTGAAGTGGGAGGGCTTTCCAAAACCAGGAGTGGAATATAAGATTATATGTCAGACCAAGTAGTTTGAGGAATCCCTGAAGGTTTTTGGCTAAGTGAATGACATAATAAATGATATGCTTTAGCATGATTGATGTCAGAGGCGGAAGGACAAAATGGACTGGAAGAGAGGCAAGATTTGTTGAGATGTGAGGTAATGAAAGTGTGAACTAGAGCAGTGGTATTGGTGAGTAGAGAGGAAGGGATGTCTGTAAAGGCAAAAATGGCTAAAGATAATTGGATGTATATGATTACCAACATCTGAATTTTTACACGGCGCCTACTTCAGATATTCTGTTTTCAAATTCTAGCAACGTGGGAAATCCCAATATTTTAATCTTCAAACTATTTTTCTTTAATTGCTTTTCTATTGTGTTGGCATTTTTCTGTTTTCTTATTTTTGCAGGTCATGTCCTAATTTTGGGTGCCTAAGTAAAGATTTCAGTGCCTTAATGGACTGAAGGAGACAGAATGGGCAAAGGTGACTGAAGATCTATGCTTTAGTTGCTGAGAGAGCTGTGGTGCCATTGATAGAAGACAGAGAAGTTGAGAAAGGGAATTGGTTTGATTGAAGGGATGGTTTGAAGGAGGCAAGTTCAGCTTTGGGCATATTTAGATTGAGGTGACAATTGGCCAGATAAGTATTCTCTTTTGATGATAGCCTGGAATGGATAATAGAGACAGGGATTGGAACCAGAGATTTAAGAGTCAGCTATGTGGAGCTGTTGGTTAAAACCATGGAATACAGTCTATTCATCAGGGACTGTGTTTTGTAGAATAATCACAGTTAACAGATGGAAGGAAAAGGAGTATTTAAAGAAAAATAAAATCATAGCATGGGAAAACCCAAAAAGTACTAGTCAGGGAAGCTCAAAAAGAAAGGAATTTGAAGAAGTTTAATATTACCAGATGCTGAAAAGATATCAAAGTGAGCTAAGCACAATGGCTTTGTTGAGAAGTTTGAAGATCTTCAAGAGCAGTATCGAACACAAAAGAAAGGTTATGAAGCACAGACCAAACTACAGCTTGAGAAAGGTTAGTGGTGAAGTTGAAACCAGCGTAAACTTAACAAAAAGAATAGTGTCGGACATGGTTTCTATGAAATTAGCACCTTACTCAGATTGCTGGGACACAGTATTTGTTTGAAAGCCTTTGTTTAGTATTTGTGGCATAGTCCTAGTAAACTGGAATGCCTTGGATCTGATGTCCAACTGAGTTTTTAAGCTCACTGCCCTACATTTCTTTCAGTTCTTTACCCAACTTAGTAGCACTTCTAGTACATCAAAATATTGGCTAAAATAACCAGACGATAGGGTTTAAAACTTTGGAAAGTAAGATAGCTCACAGAAAAAAGTAGCAGTTGTGCTATTAAAAATCTGATTCCACTTGATAGAGTCATTTTCACTGTCCTTGTTTCCCACTTTCATTGGTCTTGTTAGACTACTTTCCTTCTATTGTCATTTTTAATTTTATTCATTTATTTAGTTTTTATTAACACATAATAATTATACTTATGTATGGGGTATACTGTGATGTTTTGATACATGTATATATTGTGTGAAAATCAAACCATGGTATTTAGCATATCCATTACCTCATACATTTATCATTTCTTTTTGATATGTTTTGGGACAAGCAAAAACAAGCTTGACTTTTTAAAAAATTTATTTATTTATTTATTTTTTTACTTGTGCATGGTTCTAACTTCTGTTGCCCTGTCTCCTCTTTTGGTGAGCTGCCAGAAGTCTTGCCTTGATATTTACTATTTGGTATTTGGTCAAAAGTGATTAATATATTGCTGGTTAACTTGGTGGTAAAGTTGAGCAGTAGATGAAAGGACATGGAATGGTATAAACCATAATGATGGTAGACAGTAAGCATTGAGCCTAAAATGATATTCTGAGTCTAAGAATTCTGAACTAGGCTTTAATGCATCTAACTTCAGACAGGTCACTTGATTTCACTTGGCCTAAATTTCTTTTAAATTATAGGAAAAAATGTTTAAAAATTGCACTTTGTAAGACACCCTGAAATGTGTGGAATGACATTGCCTAGCCTCATTTAATATAACATAAGAAACTGAGTAGTCCAAGTTATAAAAATCACTTGATGGAGGTCTAGACTCTAGACCTAAGTTTTTGTTTTAATTCCAGCATTGTTGAAGGCAAGGTATTTTCGCCTTTCCAAAACTCATTTTCCTGTGGACAAATGAAGCCTGCACTACAGATACAATGATAATGTCAGTAACAGTTTCCATTTATTGAGCACTATTTTGTCATGTATTGTTCATTCACTCATTCTCAGCAAATAGTTATCAATTACCTACTATGTGTCAGATTGTCTTCTAGGTGTTTTCTAAGTGGTGTTATAGGGTATCCTACAGCAATGAAAAAATTCTTGCCCTCATGGAACTTACATTCCAGAGGGGACAATTAGTCAGTAAACAAAATAAGTTTTCACTGTGTAACATACTGTATATTTTATGTATTTATTTTGTTAATTGTCCTTCTCTATCTGCTAGCATGGATAGAGGGAATGGATCCATGGGGGAAGGGAGAGTAGCCTGGAGAAGTAGGTTGGTACCATTATTGTTGTTATTTTTAAAAAAATAGATCTTAGGTATACAGAATTATATTAATCATATTTTTTGCTCCATGACATCCTTTGTCATTTTATTGTTATTTATATACTAATAATGCAAGGAAATCCTATGAACCTATCACTGACTATGACATCTAGAACACTGGCAAGAATTTTGATCTTTTAAGTTCTCCCATTCATGCCTTATTTTGACATCATATTTTAAGCCAGTAAGTGGGGACAATGTAGAGTCCAGATCGGAGGTGGGAAGAGACCAAAGGTGAGGAGACCAGTTGGAGGTGGTAGATGAGGAGAGGATGATGAGGCATAACCTTAGCAGTGATAGTGGAATGAAGAGCTGGATGAGATTGGCTTTATGAGAGAATGCAGTATTGCATTGTCATCATGGCATGGAGTTATTATTCATCAACTCTTTATGTTTAGATAAAGTACATGATGATGAAATCATCCTTGGTTTATTTGCTTTCATGCTTTCAACATGTAGTGCTACAAAGCTAGAGAATCTCAAAATTTTTATTTCAGATTTAAAATTTTGCTGTAGATTAATTAAAACATAAAAGTACATGCAAAAGGATGTAAAATTTAATGTGCTAGAACCCCATATTCACAGTACCTAGCATAAAAAGTTAAGTATATTAGTCCTCATATTACCCCTATTGATTTCATTTCTTTGTCTTCAGCCCCAGTAGTAACTCTGCTGTTTAAATATGCTGCTTCTCACTTTCTTACTTAACAACTTTTACTACATTTGCATGTTGCGCTAAGATAGATATTTATAGTATTGTATGGTCTTAAACTTCATGTAAATGATATTATACTGTATGTATTCCTTGGCAGCTCTGTTTAGCTCAAAATTGTTTGTGAGATTAATTCATGTTGATGCATGTAGCATTCACTCATTTTCACTGCTGTCCATTATGTGAATATACCATCATCTGTTTATCTCTTTTTCTGTTAATGGATATTTCATTGTTTTTAATGTTTTGGCAATATGTTGTTCCTATATGCCAATGTTCCTATGAATGTTTCTGTAAATATTTCCTTGTGTACATATGCAAGAGTTTTTTTAAGGATATATTTTTAAGAGTGGAATTTCTGAGTAATAAGATATACATACCTTAAACCTTACTAGCTATTACTAAATTGTTCTCCAAATTGTTTGAACCAGTTTATACCCCCATTTGTAGTGCAAGATAGAGAGCATCCCTGAATTTTACAGCTGGGAAGACAGCCTGTATTTTGTAGACTAGTACTTCTCAACAGGAACAAAGCGGTGTGTGCTGTATGAGAATCACCGGTCATGGCCCTTGAAAGCACACATCTTTTCCTTCCCCTATTCCTCTCTAGGTTTTCACCCCTTGGTGTGTACATGTTTTGGTGCTGGGAACTGGAACATATAATTATAAAAAACATATAATTATATGTTTATATGTTATAAAACATATAATTATAAAAATCTTACTTGTTGAGCCTAATTTGCTCTTTGATGACTGTCAGTTTAGTGGTTAATTGATTTAATAGTCTATCCTGAAAGCCTTTGTAACCCCATATTTTGTTTTGTTGGTTATGCTGCCTAACCCTAGTCATATTTTTTAATTTCTGCAGTTTAAAAAATTGAAATATATTAGAATCATTTTCTCTAACGTCGTCAAAATATTTGAAGCAATGGATTACAGTTTTCATATGTAATCCTTAAGAAATCTTTTTTGCTTAGCTGACGTTTTAAAGACAGGGATGCTTTAATGTAATAAAACCACAAAAAATAATTCAATTTTTTGGGAGTAAATTTTGGTTTAAAATGGTACAGCTAAGAGTCCTGCAGTGGACGTAGGATTCAGCTTTCTCCACTAGTTATGACATATCTATCTGTTTTCCACCTGCTAGAATTTTGTTTTTACTGATTTTTTTCCTTTTTTCCATTATATTTGTGGACTTCTTTATCTTTAATCCCATTATTTTCTAGTAGAACTTTGGGAGGGAGCAAGACTAAATAGATATTCAATGTGCCTTCTTTTAATTCCTTTTTTAAAAAAAATTAGTAATGGTATTATTAATCACTGAGTTCTTACTGTGTGTCAGGCACTGCACTAAATATATTATCTATATAATTTCGTTTAATTATCTTGATAGTCTAAGGAGTAAAGAGGCAAAGGTGGGATCAGAACTAAGGTCTTCTGGTTGCAAAGCCTGTATTCACGCTATACCATATACCCTCTAGGCCTAAAAAGAAAATTAAAAAAGATTTATAATGTGTGTACATGTTTAGTTTTTGTACTTTTTTGTAGTACCATTTATTAATTTATAAAGTATTTAAGATTAAGGATAAATTACCCAACATAATTGTCATTCTTTTGAAATATTTTCCTTTTAGCTTTTTTTTCTAAAAGCGGACTTCTTGGCAAATCACCAAATGAAATATTCTTTGTATGAAGAAATTAGTGTTTTTAAAAAGACAATATGAGATCATCCCATGATCCAGAACTCCATCATTTGAATAAACAAGATATCTTGTCTTCTCTTATCTTTGCTCCTTTAGTTATTACTGTACCTTATAGGACACCTCTCATGATTACGGTCCTTGAAGAAAAAGTTCCTAAGGATATTTTATGTTTTATATGTATTAAAATAAAAAATATGTATAACAAGAGTGTTTCTGGGTCCAAAATTTTGATATGTGTATTTGTTATTTAATATTATGTCATTGTCTTTAGGTTCTTTAAAAGTCTGTGTCTTTTAAAAAACATTGCATATTTATTTTTTGTAGATAAACTTCTTTCCTAACTCTGTTGAGCATTATGATAGTAAGTATACATGAGCGATATAGATTAGAAGGCATATTTCAATTCTGAAATATGGTCAATAGAAATGGTGAAAATATATTAGTAGCAATGACAACTAGCATGCATCCATTTGTAAGAATGTTGCAAATGGCTGGGCTGACCACAGGTGCTTTGTTACATTTATTTAACAAATAGTGGAGTATCTATTATGTTCAAGGCAGTGTCCTAGGCCCTGATGCATAAAATTGGATGTGAAATTAAGAAAAGTTGAATAAGAATATCTAAAAGGAAGAGCTAGTTAAACGACCATCTGTAAGAAAAATAAAATGAGATCAAAAGGGGAAAACATATAAACAAAAACCATGAAAGAAAAAAGCAATATGAAAAGTGAATCTTAGAAGACAAAGTAAAAAATAAAAGGTCCCTGCTCACAAAGAGATAGAACTATCTTCTGTTATCTCAAGAGGAAAAAAAAGAAGCCTGCTTTACATAAATTATTATGCATAATTTGTACAGGCACTGGACTCCTGGAAGGTTGCCAGGGTAGCTTTTGTTGAGATGAAATTCAGGGGACTTCTTATTTATAGGAAACTGGTTAATGTTGTTTCCTATTCTTTATTTACTTTCTTTGATTTTTCTTAATGTTCTTCTTGATCACTGATGACTAGAGTAGTGAGAGAATTTTCAAAAATAGTTGATATATGATATATTAGTACAAAATAATGTTAAGTTTCTTAATATATTGTGCAAATGTATAAATGATTTTTTTTTTTTTTTTGTATTTTTAGTAGAGATCGGGTTTCGCCATGTTGGCCAGGCTGGTCTCAAATTCCTGACCTCAAGTGATCTGCCCACTTTGGCCTCCCAAAGTGCTGGCATTACAGGCATGAACCACTATGCCCGGCCTAAATGATTATGTTTATACTTTTAATTTATCTTCATATATGATGATTCTTTATAAATTTCATTTTTCATTTTCCATATTTATCATTATTGGTATAGAAATGGCCAGAAATAATTACTATAATAATGCTAATTGTTACCATTTCTTAAACATTTGCCATATGCCAAATACGCTATGCTTTTTATATATTAGCTCATTTAATTCTCACAAGAATCCTATGAAGCAAGCGTATTGGTATCCCCCATTTATGGATGATGAAAGTGAGGCACAGAAAGATAATGTAATTTGTTTAAGAATCCTATAGCTACCAAGGCCAGGATTTAAATTCAGGCAGTCTTGACTCCAGAGCCCTTGACAAGAATGCTGTTCAGTATTGATGACTAGGTCTGATTTATTCTGTAAATTGGCTTATTTGAATCATTGTGGACATAATATCAAGAGACGGGAAGGACTCCTGCTTTTATTGTACATTTCATATCGAGACAAAGTTCTCACTGAATTTCAAAAAGAGATATAAATGTATGAGTGTGCAATAGATTGAATATTTGTATCCCCAAAATTCACATGTTGAACTCCAACCCCCAAGGTCACGGTATTTGGAGGCGGGACCCTTGGGACAAAATTAGATGCGGAGTGTGGAACTGTCATGAATGGGATTAGTGTGCCCTTCCTTAAAAGAAGAGGGTGGAGAGTTAGTTTGCTTTCTGCCATGAGAGGATAGAATGAGGAATAGGCAGTCTGCAACCTGGAAAAGAGTCCTAACCGAAACCTGACCATATTGGCTCCCCAGATCTTGGACTTCCAGCCACTAGAACTATGAGAAATCAATTTCTGTTGTGTGTTAGCTACCTGCCTATGGTACTTTGTTATAGCAGCCTGAACTAAGTGTGCTTATTAAAGTACTGAACCATAAGGGTGATGGTATTTTGAATACATGTTTTAGCACCATTAGTGTATGATTAGGGCAGGGAATTCCCTAATGAGGGAAAGGTCATAGGCTGGAATCCTGTGCGTGTCTGTTTGCTCATTCCGTGGCCTAAGTCTGATCTTTTAACGTGGCTCCTCACCTGACAGTTGCAGGCCCTTGGGCATGAGGGGTGCCATATGAGAGAATACGGATGGATCACCATACCTCCATCACTAGGATCATGGCCACAAATCAGAGCTCTGTCACTGATAACCTCTTTGGAAACTAATAGTTTTGCATCTGTACATACTATATGTATAGATTTATGTTTTTCAGAACACGAGCAGGAGATGGTTCTATTTTAGTATTATGAGACTAATTTTTTTTAAAACTGTATCTTCTAAGATTCATGCCTTATATATGTATGTACTTTTTTAAAGTCTCATATTTTTATACTCTCTTTCCTGCCTTGGGCCTCATTTTATTTCCTTCAGCTTAGTGTTTTTGCAATTCTTCCTTTAGGGATTTCTAAATATTCATATTTTAATTTGACTTTCCTTAATTTGGAATTCCATTTTATGCTCCAGAGCCTCAGACAGTGTCATAAATATGATGATGGCTCAAATGGTTAAACTATGTGCCAAAAAAATCTGTGGTCAGCTCAGCCACGTGTAACATCCTTATATCCTGATGTATGCTGGCTTTCTTTATTCCTGACACATCTTTTTAGAAAGGTAGACAGATAAATAGATAGATGGATAAACAGATAGCCATTTGCAATGGAGTAATTTCTATTTGTCTACATTTTGCAATTGAAATTTGAGTATTTGGGATCCTAAAATAGAACCGTAAGGTGTCAAAAATCTGTCAATAACAATATTATTAATAATATTAACAAATTGATCATGATGATTGATAAAAATTTTAGATCAAACCATATGAAATTGCCAATATTAGACCATTTTGACCTAAAAAAGTGTCATTTTCTTATGGTCTCACTTAAAATACTGTTAACAATAGCAGCTCACTTGCATTGATTGCTTACTATATCTGAGGACAATGCCAAGTGCTCCCATGCATTGCTGCATCCTCTGATCTCATGAGACAAGCATTGTTACCTCCCGCATGTTAAAGACAGTGGAACAGGTTACAGATGTTAAGTAACTTTTCCAAAGTCACTAAGGGCAACACTATTAACTAATGTTTAACTTTGTTATTATTTTGCCTGGCGGTGCTGATTAAATCAATAGAATATGACAAGATAAGAAGAAAGATAAGAATGACTTTACCGTTAAAACAGTGTCAGATTTGACAATTTTTTTGAGCCAGTGGTATTTGTAGTAATTTTAGCAACAAGAGATAAATGCACAAAGGCTCTTAGCTCCTTTTGGCTCTGGCTGATATTCGCGAACCCTCCACACTCATATCTAGTAACTGATATAAAATAGGGCAGAATGCAGCCAGCTTCAATTATATGAACAGGGATCATTGTCCCTTCTCATTCTGGTTGCTTTTGCCAATCTTTGAATTTTCTAGGCGAGAGTTTGCCTTCCTGCTCAGACTTTTGAATCATGGATGCTCCTCATTGCCTAGCTGATCCACATGGATCTGATCACTTTCTGCCTTGACTTGTTCTGCCTGCCAGACCCTGTGCTGCAAGGGGATGCTAGTTTTGTATCTCTTGGTTGGCCTGACTACCCAGGCCTTGGCATCACAGTCAGGATTCCATTATTTTCAGACACGACTTCTCTGTAGGTAAAAGTAATAGTCTTACCTCTGAGATGAGTACCATGGGAAGGCTTTCATGATAGACATTGCACTGATGTTTGGGTATTCAAACCTTAATTGTTAACAAAGAACATGATGAGTTGTAGTTTGGGCTCTAATATGGAATTTGGCCCATGGCTCAGAATGTGGTTTGGGGTCTTTGTTAGACCCTGGCTTAAAGATGCTATTTGTTTTAACTTTTTCTTTAATTATGCTTTCTAACATACTTAGAGGCCATTAGAGCAATTGATAAATTGAGTGTAGTAAATGAAATAAGATGTTTAGTAAAATTAATGAATATGGAGATATATTAATAGCAACAAAAATGTCACTGTTAAGCAGATGAATTCCATTCCTGATAGAATCTTTATTCAAAGTCCATTTAGATTTATTCTATTATTTTGTCTGTTAAAGTTCATTTTTTAAGGTAATGTGATTTTGGAGTAGGGAGTGAAACAAATTGTGGAAGTGTTATCTGCTGTTACCACTGTCTGGTTTTTCTTATTTAAAAGTACTATCTTTAAAAGAAAATGTACATTTACAACACTCATTGAAACAAATTTATTGGATAGTGGCAGCAGTCCCTGGATGAAAAACAGCATTGCAAAATTTGACTTAGTTTTATCACTACTAAGAATTTTTATTAGAACTGTACAGAATTATCAGCTATAAATAGAGATCAGCTAATTTGATGAAGAGGCTGTAGGTCTGCAGGTAATTGAACAAATATATCATGGTTTAAAAAAACACACATGAAATGACAGTAATAGTGAATAGGGCCAAGGAAAGAAAAGCAGGGGGAAAGAAAGGAGAAAATAAAATACAAAAGAACAATTATGGATTTGTGTGCGACAAAATGTGGTTCCAATACTGGCCTACTTAACACACTTTCTCACTAGGACACTGTTGTTCTTTCTCAAACTCTTTGTGCTTGGCTGCTTTCCTTCCCCATTTAGAAGCAGGATAGCCCACTCTCTCCCACTCTGGTCCTTTGACCAGAGACTAATGTTGCTGAGGTCGATAGGGAAGTAATGGAATTTTGCATCTGCAAATGTGATCAGCCTCTGCAAGCCTGGCTTCCAGCAGAAATCCTCCTGTTGTCCTCTGAGATACTTTTTTACTGGCTGATTTTTTAAAAAAATTAAAGAGCCTTCTTTAAATTGACCAATAATATTTCTTGTTACCTTCTCTTTTCCCCCTCTTGTAGGGGTGGCATGCGTTGATTTACAAAATGAACATTGGGAAAGTGTTTTGATATAAGTTTGTGTGTGTGTGTGTGTGTGTGTGTGTGTGTGTGTGTATGTATGTGTGTGTTTTAAGCTCCAAGGGTAAGAGTTACAGAACTGGGGAAAACGTGTGCATACTCTAATATCCAGAAAGACTGCTACTTTTAAAGATGACACTTGGAGAGTTAAGATAGAAAGTATAAAAACATGTGGCCAAATCATAATGCCTGACAAAGTGATAGCTATTAGACTGTGTTTTTATGCAGGCCTCTGCATACTCTATCTAATTGACTAATGACTGAAACAGATTCATGTGTGTAGAAACCAGATGGGTCAGTGGGTATATTAGGCCATTCTTGCATTGTGATAAAGGAATACTGGAGGCTAGGTAATTTATAAAGAAAGAGGTTTAATTGGCTTACAGTTCTACAGGCTGTATAAGCATGGCACTGCATCTGCTTGGCTTCTAGGGAGGCCTCATGGAACTTTTACTCAAGGCAGAAGGTGAGGCGGGAGCAGGCATGTCACAAAGTGAGAGAAAGAGCAAGAGAGGTAGGGGAGAGGCACCACACACTTTTAAACAACCAGATCTCACAAGAATTCACTTGCTATTTTGAGGAGAGTACCCAGCCTCCCTCATGAGGGATCCACCCTCATGACGCAAACACCTCCCACCAGGCCGCACCTCCAGCATTGGTGATTACATTTCAGCATGAGATTTGAGGGGTGGGGAGTGGGGAGTCATCCAAGCTCTCAGTAGGTTAATGCTTCTTGGTGCTATCTGTGTAAGGATAGTGCTTAAGCATCTTTACAAATAGCAGGTATTAAGCTACTTTACCTGCCACTTTACCATGTATGTATTCCATGCCTTGCTTGACCATATTTACCAAACCTTAAAGTCATGACAGCTGATCTAAGAATAGGGCTATGGTGTTTATATGGACAGTGTGACAGTGTTTAGAATTGGTACTATCCTATGGAATTCATACACTGAGTAGGCATTCAACAAGTCCATATTGAATGCTTACAATATACCAGGCATTAGGTGGGTGCTAAGGATGCAGTGGTGACAAAATAGGAAAAATCCCTTATTCTGTAAAACAGAGAGATAGACAATAAGTAAGTAAAAAGCAGTGGAGGTTGATAATGTTAGGTACTAGGGAGTAAGGCATAAAAAGGGGCTAGCAAGTATTGCTGGGGGTGGGTAGAGACTGCAGGTTTTGGTAGGAAGTGAGCGTCATTCACACCTGGGACACATGGTCATGGTACCACCCATATGTTCTGCCCAGGCACAGCTCTTGCGTCTCCTGCATTATTTCCTTAGACTCCATAACCTGCTCAGACCTCAAGAAAAGAGAACCTTTCAGCATATAGACATAGGTAGAGCCACTAAAAGCTAAACCAGAGCAAAACACCCCAAACACCCTTTATTTATAATAGGTTGCCAAAAATCAGCCAAAACTAAGTAGCAAATATCCAAATATTCTGAGAAAATGCATAATTTTTAAAATAAAAACTCCTAATTCAAACATTTCCACCTGGATCTCTGTACCTCCAACAGGACAGCCATTCTTAGTTAAGGAGACCAATGATTACAAGTAAGCAATAATTTCAGGGCAAGGAAATCACACAGTGAGAACATGATACATGTCGTCATTGGCACAAGGAAGAACAAGCAGTGGAAGGCTTTGGTCTCGGTATTCCAGAACGTGCCCTGTACTTGCTGCTTGCCTCTGCCTGTTGTTTCCCCTACCCCCTCCTTGGGTTTCCTTTACCTGGAATGCCCTCCTCCTTGTTTTTGTTTAGCAAAACTCCACCCTTGATAAAAAAAAAAAAAACCTAGCCTTTTATGTCTGTTTCTGTGGTATATGGCACCAATGAATACTCAATAAATGTGTAATATGTCAATGAGAGAATCGGATGAAACAAGGGAGCACAACTGGCATATACCTACTTCATTTCTCTGTCCACAAATAGCTGTCAGAAGTGACATTTCCAGGCTTTGTCCCATTTCTGACTTAAACACTCCCTCTTTTCACACTCTTCTGATTAAAACAAAGCAAAACTGTGGTTAAGGAGGCTGCTAGACAACTCACTCAACTGCCAGAGAGGGAGGCTCTTTTGCGTTCATGTTTTTGAGTGGACATCAGATACAATTTACTCTTTTCTCATCCACCTTTGAAACGTGGCTGATTTTCCCTTATCAGGGCTTTCTGTTTCCTTCTTGCCTCACTAACTCCCTTCTCATCCTGCAGGTAGACAGGCTGGAACAGGATTTCATTTGTAGCCTGTCAGCTCTTCTTGTCAGCTGGCAGAGATATGGTTGAGCATTAAGAGGGGTTGGGAGGTAAAGTTATTAAGGGAGCAGCAGCTTTGGTTTATCAGGAGGTGGGAGGTGGGGGATGAATACACAGATATTTTCCAGGTCATTAAAGAGAGCAAAAATCCTGAGCTTTTGTCCCATTGGCATGCCTTTCCTGGCCTGTTCTCTAACACATTAGGGTGTCCTTCACACATGCTGCACCTCAACTTGCAAAGGTACAGCCTGGCAGCTGCGTCTCAGCCATGGGAAACAAAGTGGATTGGTCTGTCACATAAACAGGGCTGAAATCTTTAGGGCAGTTGAGAAAACAAGAAGAAATCCCAAAGCCTTGGTATGATGAATCTTGGCCTTGTGAGCTGGCTTTGTTCTCTGCTTAGACATTTCTTTGGGTGTAGTGGTTGTAAAAACAAAACCTAAGGATTTTCTATTGTTACCATCCTTCTTATCATCCTTATAGTCATTGTTGTAGCTACTATTATGGAATGCCAACCCTGAACCAACTGTGGACCCTGTGCTTTACATGGATTAGCTCATTTAATCCACTAATAATCTTACCAAGGAAGGGTTGACCCTGAGCTTTTAACCATAATCTAGTACTACATCAGAAAGAAAAAGCATGTATATAGTTCCATCATGGTGAAAATGTATTAGTAGCAGTGACAACTAGCATGCATCCTAGTGGAGTCATTTGTTTGAGGTAGGTTAAAGCCGTGAAGGGAAGCCATTTGTAAACCGGAGTATTTTACGTTATTCCCACCGTACCCTGAAAATTTAGGATTAATTTTTCTAAATGGATTATGGAAGTTTGGATTAATGGAAGAGAAACAAGTTAAATCATAGTTATGCTTTGTTGCTCTAAAATCTGAGGATTTTCAATTTTTTGGCAAATTTTATGGTTTCAAGATTCCTGTGAGATGATAGGTCAGAGTCTATCCTCAGTCTACCATTGCACGTGCTGCAGTGGAGAAAACTATGACCTAAAAATTGTACTCAAAGCTTTCATTTTTCTGTTGAATATTGGTGTTATGTTTTCTCTTGCAATTTTAAGACTACTTTAAATAGTTTAAAAATAGTTTCATATGCTACTTATTCATACTTCGCATGAATAAGATTACAGCAGTAGTAGACTTAAGAGTATTTAAAAACTATTTAAAGCAGCTTTCTAATTGTCCACTTTAGCACAGATTGTAAATCAGCAAAAACATTTTCTGAATTCCATGCCAGGAACTCTGTTAGGTGTTGGGGATGGAATTCAGCTGAACAGTACCAACTGCAATCTGCCCATACCTTGGACAGCACCCAAGGGGGTTTAATATTGGATGCATTGGAATGCTCTTGTTTATACATGTTTCATAGTTGCTAGGGAGAACCCAGGTTTTTCACTGGTGGACACATATTTAAAAGTCAATTTATATATGGTCTGACTTAATTTTTTAACTAAAAATCAGTGATGAGTTGGATGTTCCCAACATGAAGAAATGATAAATGTTTGAGATGATGGATATGCTAATTACCCTGATCTGATCATT
The DNA here is from genome assembly GCF_000001405.40 of Homo sapiens. Classification (NCBI taxonomy): domain Eukaryota; kingdom Metazoa; phylum Chordata; class Mammalia; order Primates; family Hominidae; genus Homo; species Homo sapiens. The sequence continues at coordinate 160,831,263 of NC_000003.12, forward strand.
ATACATGATATGTATCAAAATATCAAAAAGAAATTAGTGATGAGTTGGGACAAGGGAATATGAAGTGTGATTTGAATATGAGCTGATGGCAGTAGAGGCTTTGTTCATATATATTTTATTTTTGTCAGTAACCCTTTTTAATGCCCCAGTATCATGATCTAATTTGAGTGGAATTAAGCTTAAACAGTTCAAAATTATATAGTTAAGACATTCTGTTTCAAATATTATTCCAAGTTAATCTAAGTCAACTAGCATGACCTCTGCTACACAAAGGCTGGTACAAAAAAGATTTCGAGGAGCAGGTGGCCAGGGCCCTCATGGGAGCTAATTAGATGTCTCTTCCTGTTCAGCCCTGACTACTGGGTCCCCCTAAGCCTCCCCACCGAATAATCTGTTAGGCCGTCTTCTAGAGTCTGAAAGGCTGTTTGTGAGGAGTTCAGGATTTGTGTGAAACTGTGAGCAGAGTTGTAAGAAATTTAGATTTGAGTTTCAACCATGTCCTATTTAGCACCTGTGTTATCTTAAGGAATCTTCAGCTCTCTGAGATTTGGTTTTCTCATTAGTAAAATGTATATGATATGCCTGACATGTTCCAGGCATTGCTGGCTATCTCTCTTCAGTCCCTAGTAATCCCCAGCTGAGGAATGGTGCTAGAGCAGGTACCCTGTATTGTTCTACAAGTAGTATTAATGAAGTTAATGATAGTCACTGGTTTTTGTATTGACTGCAGTTTGGAATATAGTATTTTCATTACAAGTCAGGTGTAAATTCAATCTACATTTACTTATTGAATACCATCTACGTGGTAGGCTTAGTAGAAGAGATTAGAGATGTAAAGATGAGTATGTGTTCATTTTATTCAGGGAGCTCACAGTTTATTAAGGAAAGGGGATGTTGAGTTAACTAACTAGAGTATGGTGAAATGTTTTACTCCCTGAGTGGATACACTGCTATGTACAATGGCAGTGGAGGAGAAGAAACAGGACTCTGCTTGGTGGGATGGGGAACTCAGGCCAGGCAAGGCTTCTCAGAGATGTCATTTAGCTGGGCCTTGGGATATGATGGAGTTCAGAGAAAGAAGGTGGAATGGAAGGGGATTCTAGGTGGAGGTGATAGCCTGAGGACAGGCATGGAGCTGAGAGAGTGCTTGGTATACTCTTGGAGTTATGGGGAATCTACTGTGGCTGGATTTTAAGGTATTTGGGATTGTACAGGTGAGACTGGAAATGTAGTTTGAGACATACCTTGTTCTTGTTTTTAATTTTATGAGTCCCAAAAACAATGTTAGTGCATTTTTTTAATTTTGAAATGATTGTAAATTCACAGGAAGTTGCAGAAATGGCAGATAGAGTCTCTTGAACCCTTCACTAAGCTTCCCCCAGTGATAACGTTCTGAATAATTTCAATAAAAGATTAAAACTAGATATTAGCATTGGTGCAATAATGTTAACTACATTGCAGAATTTACATTTACTTTTTACCAGTATTTTATTATTAATTTTTATTTTTATTTTAAGTTCCAAGATACATGTGCAGGATATGCAGGTTTGTTACATATGTAAATGTGTGTCATGATGGTTTGCTGCACCTATCAACCCATCCCCTAGATATTAAGCCCAGCATGCATTAGCTCTTTTTCCTAATGCTCTCCCTCCCTCGACCCCACCCCATGACAGGCCCCAGTGTGTGTTGTTCCCCTCCCTGTGTCCATGTGTTCTCATTGTTCAGCTCCCACTTATAAGTGAGAACATGCGGTGTTTGGTTTTCTGTTCCTGTGTTAGTTTGCTGAAGATAATGTCTTCCAGCTTCATCCATGTCCCTGCAAAGGACATTATCTCATTCATTTTAATGGCTGCATAGTATTCCATGGTGTGTATGTACCACATTTTCTTTATCCAGTCTATCATTGGTGGACATTTACGTTGATTGCATGTCTTTGCTATTGTGAATAGTGCTGCAATGAACATAAGTATGCATGTATCTTTGTAATAGAATGATTTAAATTCCTTTGGGTATATACCCAGTAATGGGATTGCTGGGTCAAATGGTATTTCTAGGTATTTGAGGTTCTAGGTATTTGAGGAATCACCACACCATCTTCCACGATGGTTGAACTAATTTACATTCCCACCAACAGTGTAAAAGCGTTCCTATTTCTCCACAATCTCACCAGCATCTGTTGTTTTTTGACTTTTTAATAATCACTATTCTGACTGGCGTGAGATGGTATCTCATTGTGGTTTTGATTTGCATTTCTCTAATGATCAGTGATGTTGAGCTTTTTTTCAAATGTGTATTGGCTGCATAAATGTCTTCTTTTGAGAAATGTCTGTTCATGTCCCTTGCCCACTTTTTAATGGGGTTTTTTTTTCTTGTAAATTTGTTTAAGTTCCTATATATTCTGGATATTAGACCTTTGTTAGGTAGATAGATTGCAAACATTTTCTCCCATTCTTTAGGTTTCCTGTTTGCTCTGATGATAGTTTCTTTTGCTGTGCAGAAGCTATTTAGTTTAATTAGATCTCATTTGTCAATTTTTTTTTTGTTGCAATTGCTTTTGGTGATTTTGTCTTGAAATCTTTGCCTATGCCTATGTCCTGAATGGTATTGCCCAGATTTTCTTCTAGGGTTTTTATAGTTTTGGGATTTATACTTAAGTCTTTAACCCATCTTGAGGTAATTTTTGTATAAGGTGTAAGGAAGGGGTCCAGTGTCCAGTTACAAATTTCTGCATATGGCTAGCAGTTCTCCCAGGAATTTTTTTTTTTTTTTTTTTTTTGAGACGGAGTCTTGCTGTGTAGCCTAGGCTGGAGTGCAGTGGCACAATCTCGGTTCACTGCAAGCTCCGCCTCCTGGGTTCACGCCATTCTCCTGCCTCAGCCTCCCAAGTAGCTGGGACTACAGGCACCCACCATCATGCCCAGATAATTTTTTGTATTTTTAGTAGAGATGGGGTTTCACTGTGTTAGCCAGGGTGATCTCGATCTCCTGACCTCGTGATCTGCCCGCCTTGGCCTCCCAAAGTGCTGGGATTACAGGTATGAGCCACCGTGCCCGGCCTTAAATAAGGAATTCTTTCCCCATTGCTTGTTTTTGTCAGGTTTGTCAAAGATCAGATGGTTGTAGAAGTGCCGTCTTATTTCTGAGTTCTCTTTTCTGTTCCATTGGTCTATGTTTTACCAGTTTTTACATGCATTTGTGTATGTGTATGTGTGTGTGTGTGTGTGTGTGTGTGTGTGTGTGTGTGTGTGGTTGTGTGTAGTTCCATCACCACAAAGGAACTTCCTTGTACTCTCCATTTGTATTCATATCCCCTATCTTCCTGGAATCCACTAATCTTTTCTCCATCTATATAGTTTTGTCATTTTGAGGGTGTTATTAAGTGCAATCATATAGTATGCACTTAATACTCAATATGTAACTTTTGAGATTGACTCTTTTGCCTCCACTAAACAGAATGTCCTTGAGATCCATGTAAGTTTTCTCATGTATCAATAGCTTGTTCCTTTTCATTTCCGTGTAGTATTCCATTGTATGAATGTGCCATAGTATGTTTAACCATTCACCTATTGAGTGACATTTGGGATATTTCTAGTGTTGGGTTATTATGAATAATGCTGTCATGAACATTGATGTGCAGGTTTAGTGTCGACATAGGTTTTTTTTCCTCTGGGATAAATGCACAAAAGAACAATTGTCAGGTCATAAGGTAAGTAGCGTTTAGTCTTAGGAGAAACTGACAACCTATTACTACTACTACTACTATTACTACTACTACTTCTTCTTCTTCTTCTTCTTCTTCTTCTTCTTCTTCTTCTTCTTCTTTCTTTTTTCTTTCTTCTTTCTTCCTTCTTCTTTCTTCTTTCTTCCTTCTTCCTTTTTCTTCCTTTTTTTTTTTTTTTTTTTTCAGAATGGGGTTTTGAGTGTTTGGGAGGAGTACCAAATCCATGATGTGAAGCTATTTGTAGTTTGTTTTAGACATGGATTTGCCTCCTGCTCTGAAAACGCATTGTATAGTGGTCAGTTCCTTAGCTCTTAAGCAATGAGTATCCACATCTCATTGTGTTTTCAGTATTCTCTAAAGTGACTCTTGCTTCCTTACTGAGGCTGTGATCTGTAAGAGCCAGTCATAGGGTTAAGCTATAAAGTATTTTTAGAATAACTAAATTTTTTTACTTGTGTTTCTAAAATAACATACATAGCTCACCCCAATATTTCATGTAAATTCCCTTGTTTCCTCCCTATTCAGCTGCCCTCACATCTATAGCTTTTATTCCCCTTCTCTAAGATACTCCACCATCATCCGTGCATTTTTATTTCTCCTCATCTGCTGTACCTTCTTACCAACCGATCTCTTATCTTGTCCACTCCTCTCTACCACAGACTTCTCCTAAGAATTTCCTCTTCTCATTTTTGCCTTTTTATTGTATTGACCATGTTGCCATCCCTAGCCCTACCACTTGGCCGATTCTGCATCATAGAAACTAGCTTAGCAGCATATTATCATGGATGTGAATATATTTTTGAGTAGGGAATATGATCAAGAGTTCTATAGTATCTTTCCAAAAACATTTTTTAGAGACAAATCTTTTCTCCCAAATATTCATTTAGTTTGGAACATCTCTGCTCTTACTGTAAATCACAGTGACATTATCCAGGGGGTATCTAGGGATACCCCCTGGATAGTCTGCTTTTTGATCACATCCCATGACTTCTTATCCTTCTCTGTTCTGGCCAGAAATCAATGTGTCCATTTTTTTCTAGGCCAGCTAATATTTGAGGATTGAAATATCTTTTCAGGTATCTTATTATTTGGAAATACATGATAGGCTCTAACTATGACAGATAGGAATCTGTTGCTCTCAAGCAGTCATCCTAAGGAAACTAAGCTCTGAAGGCTTCTGGAAGTATTTTTAAGAAGTAGGAAGCTGCTCTTGAATTTATTGCTTTTCTTTGGAAGGAAAGGAAGAGAGAGTATTTTTAAGAAGTAGGAAGTATTTTTAAGAAGTAGGAAGCTGCTCTTGAATTTATTACTTTTCTTTGGAAGGAAAGGAAGAGAGAGAGAGAGAGAGAGAGAGAGAAAGAGAGAGAGAGACAGACAGGTTAGCAGTGTGAATAGTGGGCAGGGGACTTCAGAGCCTTCCGCTCTGTTACTGATCTTGTGGCTCTCTAGCAAGAAGGCTCTTGTGCTTTTGAGCAAGTCATTTTACCTGATTTCCATCATCTGTAAAATGTAGCAGCTCAATTGAATTTTTCAGTCTCTAAAATTTTGGTATCACTGACTCACAGATACAGAGAAAGTAAATGAGTTGCCTAAAGTTACGTGATTTACTCATGGCGGAGCCAGCACTCATCCCCCTCCCCCATCTAGGTCCCTGTAGTTCCTGCCTTGTATATTGGTAGTAGATTATCTGAGTGTAGTTTGGACACTTTCTGTGTTTTCTGAGTGGACTCCTCATTAATCCATCTTTAGTCAATCAAGCACTCTTGGTTATTACTTAAAGTGATAACATTAGGTTCTTTAGTTGGTTTCCTGTTTTTGACCTGTTGGTGAATTTTTACCAATCTCATGTGACAAAGATCGTGGAAGCTTTAAAAAATGTTCTCTAAAATCTTAATGCAAAGTGGCATTCTCCTTCCCTTCTTAGAGACATTAGCTCCACTGGAGGAAAAAGGCACAAATGCCTATTTCATCTTAAAAATCAATTATCTTGCCTTACAACATAAAGCAGTATTTTACACATTGAATTATTTGAGTTCCACCTTGACATTTTTTCTTCTTTGATTGCCCCCCTGCTGTTATTTTCTTAACATTTTTTCTTTAAATGGACCTACTTTATTTTACTTAAGTGTATTTTCAAAATTTGATAACTGTGAACTCACAGGTTGATTTATTATGTTGTTTCCAATTCACTTTAAAGTAATAAACTATATATAAAAAAAGCTTTCTTGTACCATCTGAAACCTTCTCATGTGTATATACAGTACTTTGGGAAACTTTGCATAAGACCATCTGGGTCTACTGGTTGAATGGTAAGAGAAGGGAGTAATAAAAAAATAAGAAACAAAAATGATACTGTTATAAGCTTATAAGCCATGTGGGTAATAAATTAGAATGGAAACATGAGTTTGTAAAGACAGATAAATGAATTTCCTTGACTTCAAGCCACTGTTATTGTCAAGATAAAGTTGTGCATGTAGAGAAGGAAGTCTAACAAAATGACATTCCATTCTGGGGCTTAAATGCTTGCCCTTCCTTCTTTTTTATGACTCTTGCTTTATTGAATAGCACTGGGGTCATAAGGCCCCAGTAGATGTAAATGCTATGCTGTACATCTTGTCAGGAAGGCCAGCCTTTGTGTCTGCGGGAGGAATGCTTGTCCTTGTTGCAAGAAGGTAAAACAGTCAGAAGCAAATGAGATCAGATTTAGATTGCCAAGCCTCGGGTGGGACCCTTGGAGGTCAGAACACAGACAAAAGGAAACAGGAAAGCATGTTTAAGAGTAAGAGAAGGGTAGGGCTAGCTTCGTGGTCATGTAACCATGTGAACTTGTGGTTGCACAAGTTCCCATGCCTAGAAGGGCCCTGAACTTGGTTTAATGCTCTGCTGTCACTGTCTTGAAATTCTTATTAATTTTTAAATGAGGAAGCTTGTATTTTTATTTTGTACTGGGCCCTGCAAATTATGTAGCCAGCCCTTGGTGTGGGGTAGACAAATGCTTATAGAAGACTTTGTGGTTTAGGTTCATGGGGTAGAACTGGAAGAGTGAGAACTAGATAGTAAGTTGCAAAAAAGGAAAAAGTTTCAGCTACTAACTGGTGGTGTCTCTTCTGATTGACCTTAGTTCATAGATTAAATAATTTAACATTGGACTCCAGGATTCTTTTTGCCTTAAACTCCTAGGCTGGCTGACTAACTTCCTTCCATGGTTATGAAGTAGTAGAGGGAATGGCAAATTATATCTGGAGAACATGGATAATGAAATGAATAGATCTCTGAGAACTTGAAAAAATTATGTAGTAAGTTTGTTCCTGATGAGTTAAAGTGTAAAACCAACTCATAGTGGATTAAGTAGGGGCTTGCATGTAAATATCCACAAAGGGTGGCTATAAGACAACAGAGAGTGATGGGCAGTAGAGGTGATGGTGGGCACCCAAGGAAACATAGCATGTTTAAAGGAAAATCTGTATTGAATTTCAGCCTGTTATTGCCAAGTTATGTTCAGTCTGTTATTGTTCCTTGTAGCTCAAATCCTTCCAGGTTTTTTAGAAGTAGCTGGAAATCTGGATTTTTGACTGTAATATTTTTCAATTAAAGAAAAACAACTATGTAGACTATGTCTGAGTTGAATTCATTTTAATCCTTAAGTGGACTTTTTAAAAACCTCTTTTCTAAAGATTAATATAAGAAGTGACCATTCAAATTACTGTTTTAGGGAGGGAGTCATAGCAATGTGAGGCCATCTCTAGTAAGGAGATGGAATTAGAGTAAGAGTTGCCAGTGGATACTGAGGATTATGATACAGAAGGAGCTCTAAATTTTCTATATTGGAGGGTCTTGGGGGTTAAAAACAGGCTTGTCTTTGAGGACTTATGCTATGGCTTGAATGTGTCCCCAAATATCATGTATTGGAAACTTAATACCCAAATTTATATGTTGATGGCATTTGGAAGTGAGTCCTTTGGGAGATAATTAGGATTAGATAAGGTCATCAGGGTAGGCCTCCCATGATGGGACTGGTAGCTTTATAAGAAGAGGAAGACAGACCTACACACTACTTGCCTTCTCACCATGAGATGCCCTCTGCTCTGTTATGACATGGCAAGAAGGCCCTCACCAGATGCTGGTGCTATGCTCTTTGACTTCCCAGCCTCCAGAACCATTATCTAAATAAATCTTTATTGTTTATAAATTACCCAGTCTGTGGTAATTGGTTATAGTGACAGAAAACAGACTAAGACAACTTATTTGTAATTATGTTTGCGTAGCAAACTCACTGTTTTTACTTAGATTATATGACGTAGTCATAAGAAATAGCCAACCTTTCTAGTACATTTTTTCCCACACCTTAGATAAGATTGAAAAACCAGCAATTTCCCATCTCTAGGAGTGGGTGGGGAACTCTTAGAGCTGCTGGATTGTAAGGGGAAGTAAAAAAAAAGTTCTCACACCCCAGACCAGTCTTTTACCCACCACTCTTATGGTTTATTTTTAAAACAAGGTCATCATTATTATGGATACATCAGGCTTTCTTAGCCTGATATCATTAAACATGCAATTCATTTTGTGATTTCCCCTGAGTGTGTGCTAACCTTCTGAATATGATTTGGCTTCCCAACTGGATTGGTCAGAGGGAGGGAATGGGTAGGTCCTGCAGTTTAGAATATAGGTGTTTCTATGACTATTTATTGTTAATTATAACTTAATAAATTGACATTCTAGCATTAAACAGCAGTCTTGTGACTGTGGTCAGTGAACCTGCCAGTGAAATTTCGAATCTCTTTGGTCAGCTGACACACTCAGTTTTGAACTTGGGCAGCTCAGAACCAGATCCTAGACTATAGCAAACTGGTCAAAGTAATGAATGAAATTTTGGGAGCCCCGTTGGAAAGCCTTTCCCTAGGTGACATAAAAAATATATCTCGAATGTATGCATTTTTCCTATTTGAATTTCTTTAGTGATAGAGTTGAGACATACGGTTTATAAAAGTCATGGAGTAGGGAGGGATAGCCCCATGGAAGTGTTAATAGGATTTCAGATAATTTTGGGAAATGCTGGTTTAAGTGAAGGTAACTGATTTCTTTATGAGGACTTTTCCAGAACATTTATTCTTCTAATGAGTGATCCAGTAGGAACAAATGGTAAGTGGTGTTTCTCAACCTCATTTGCTAATGGTACTTTTAAAATGTTTCCTTGGCAGCACTTTTGGAAAGCATCGTGAAATATTTACCAAGTGCAGCCTTAAGAATACAATGAAATTGAGATATTTCTGGAATTTTCCTGGTGTCTAGTCAGTTTTGGGAAATTTGTGCTGAACCCCAGTTTGCATTGGGTTTCATAAGACCTACCAGAGAGTTCTGGAATCCACAGGAATGACCATTTGCTCACTAGGTATCTGTATTAGTGAGAGTTCTTCAGAGAAACAGAACCAATAGGATGTAGATACAGATGTACATATAGATATACGAGCTGAAATTTATTAGCGGGATTGGCTCACACAATTATGAAGGCCGAGAAGTCCTACAGTGGACGGCATGCAAGCTGAAGAACCCAGGAAGCCAGTGGCTTGGCTTAGTTCAAGTCCAAAGGCCTGAGAACCAAGGCCTGGTGTAACTCTCAATCTATGGTCAAAGACCTGACAACCTGGGGATGCTGCTGGCACAAGTCTCCAAAGGCTGGAGAACCTGGAGTTCTTATGTCCATGGGTAGAAGAAGATGGTATTCTATCTCCAGGGGAGAGAGAGAGAGAGAGAGAGAAGGAGAGAGAGAAAGAAGGAGAGAGAGAGAGAAAGAGAGAGAGAGAGGAGAGAGAGAGAGAAAGAGAGAGAAGGAGAGAGAGAGAGAAAGAGAAAGAACATATTTGCCTTTCTTTCTATCTGGGCTGTCAGCTGATTGGATGGTGCCCACCCACTTTGGGTGACGGAGGATCTTCCTTATTGAGTCGACTGATTCAAATGTCAAATCTCTTCTGGAAACACTTTCACAGACATGTGCAGAAATAATACTTTGCCAGCTCTCTGGGTATCCCTTAATCTAGTCAAGTTGACACCTAAAAGTAATCATTACAATACATGAACCTGGAATTGTCCCAGTGTGGACCCAAGGCAGAAATGGAATTTAGTAATCTGGGGTTGGGAATTTGGATGTACATATTGTGAGTCATCTTGGAATTGCCAGAGTCCAAGACTTTTTTTTTTTATCTATATATATTTTCTCCTGATAGCTTACTTCTTAAAAGGGAACTTCCCAGGTTGAATATGCAATGCTTATTAAGACCCATTCCAGAACCCGGCTGTGTTCTCACAGATAGGACTCAATGAGCACAATGGTTAAATCTTTATCTTTACAGGGATTTTTTTTTTTTTCAGAGGATTGGAGATTAGATTATAGAGTAATATGGTTTTATAGACATTCATGTTACTTTCTTTGTTTCTAGAATAAGGAAAAGGAATGCAGAGCTACATTTCTTAATATGAAATGGTGATTGCCAGTACAGCCCAACTGTATATTTTCAGTTTGTAATGACAACATTAGGAGGAAAATTGATTAGTACTTTTAAAACAGTAGGAAAATTATTTCTGCCCAAACATTGATTAGCCTTTGAATGGACTTTCTTATAATTCTTTTCTTCCACAGACTGCAGGGTGCAGCACAGTCATATTTTAGGCAGAGTCAAGCAGAGAAACCTACTTGCCGCTATTAAACTTATTACTGCCTTTTCCAGTGGGTGCAAATAACTTTGTCTCCAGTAGTTACACTCTCCTGGCTTGATAACACATAAGGACTTCTTTGTTTATTTTGATTAAAGAGACTAAAGATACTTTTGTCTTATGTGAAATGTGAATACAGTGAAATATTGAAATTTTTTGATGACATATATTCCTCCTTTTGGCTTATAAATGTCAACTTGTTTAGCTTCCTTGCATGAGTGCTTTAAAATTTATTAGCTGAAGCTCAGGTAATATTAATTTGTTCCTGGTTAAATGTTATATAAAATATAGGAATAAAGAAAACTGAGGTCCTTACCCTCAGGTAACTTATATATTTGAGGAGTTAAGACATAGAAATAAGATAAATAGGAGAGTTTATGATGAGCCCCAGATGAGTGGGTTGGAATATTACATAACCAATACAGGGTTTCAGAAGGAGAGAGATTTTGTGTGCGTGCATCCTGAAATAGTTGGGGAGGACTCATGCAGGAGCTGGAACTTGGAGATAGGAAGAATTCATGCAGGTGGAAGAGGGTAGGAGGGATGCTGGTGCCATTAGCAGAGAGGGCTAGACCAGAACATGCCTGCTTTTTCAACAGTGAGTAGATCTGTTTGGCTCTAATAGAGGACTCATGATGGGGGGTAATGAATAATGGGAAATAAAACTAGAGAGGTAGGTTGAATTCAAATTGGGAGGGGCTTTGAATGCCAGGCAAGGGAATTTGGACTTTATTCTGTAGAAAATGGATGAACAGTGAAGGTTCTTAGCCAGGAATAAGAAGAAAATTGAAGAAATTGCTTTGTAGTTTAGTTAGAGCAGAAGCAGCGTACAGCTCTGAACCCAAGTGCCTTAGATGGAAGATAAGGGCAAAAAGAACTGTATGCAAGCTCTGTCTTCACTTCTGATGAGATGCAGGAAGAAGTTAGCTGCTTAATTCTCTTTATTTTTCCTTCTCTCATTTAAGGCTTGTATTAAATCTCTTTTTCAGTCTTAAAATGCATTAATTCAAATTTGACCTTCCTTACTGTCTGATAGTTGAATATCCAAAGCTATTTTCAGTTGTTCCAGATTGTCACAGATTTTGATGTCTAGGTGCCAACTGGAAGGGCCAAACCTGGCCTGCGGAGGATTGTTTTTAAAATCTGATTCTAAATTAAGCACTTTGAGACAGAAGAAATGAGATGTGGCCTAGTTCTAACTCACCATTTAGCTAAATGTATATGTATTTTTTTCTCTGCCTAAATATTTGTCTTATTCTTTTAGACCCAAAAATCTCAGAGCCAAGAATATTTAGATTCCCTTTCACTCTTTCACTTTTTCCAATAGTTTTTGGCTTTTACTATTCTTAATAAGTTACACTTATAAAGGAATGTCTCCAAATCTAATTCTTTTTTTTAAAAAAAATTGTTTTAAATTCCTGGCCCTCCTCCTATCCTGTATCTCACAAATTATTAAAATGGAATTGAATTTATTTCTTGAAGGAGAAGCTACTGATAGGATTTAGACTTTTAAATATCTAAAATTAAGTTCTAAACAATAGTGTTCCTATTAGCAATAGAAATTGTGGTTATAGAGAAACATAGTATAGTGTAAGCTTTAGAGCACGCCTGTCCAACCCGCGGTCCATGTGCCATATGCAGCCCAGGACGGCTTTGAATGAGGCCCAACAAAAATTCGTAAACTTTCTTAAAACATTATGATTTTTTTTTTGTGTGTGTATGGCAATTCTTTTATATATATATATATATATATATATATATATATATATATATATGTTTTTTTTAATTGTACTTTAAGTTCTAGGGTACATGTGCACAACGTGCAGGTTTGTTACATATGTATACATGTGCCATGTTGGTGTGCTGCACCCATTAACTCGTCATTTACATTAGGTATATCTCCTAATGCTATGCCTCCCCTCTCCCCCCACACCACAACAGGCCCCGGTGTGTGATGTTCCCCTTCCTGTGTCCAAGTGTTCTCATTGTTCAGTTCCCCTAGTTCAACCATTGTGGAAGACAGTGTGGCGATTCCTCAGGGATCTAGAACTAGAAATACCATTTGACCCAGTCATCCCATTACTGGGTATATACCCAAAGGATTATAAATCATGCTGCTATAAAGACACATGCACACGTATGTTTATTGCGGCACTATTCACAATAGCAAAGACTTGGAACTAACCCAAATGTCCAACAATGATAGACTGGATTAAGAAAATGTGGTACATATACACCATGGAATACTATGCAGCCATAAAAAGTATTTGGCAATTCTTAAGAAAAGCTCATCAGCTATTGTTAATGTAGTTTATGTGTAACTCAAGCCAATTATTCTTCCATGTGGCCCAGAGAAGCCAAAAGACTGGATACCCCTGCTTTTGAGCCAGAAAAACCTGTTTTAAAATTCTCCCTCTGCCACTCACCACTTAGGTGATCTGAATGTATTACTGTGACTACACATCCTTATTTGGAATTCCATGGGTAGAACTTAAAGCAAGTTCTTTTCTCTTTACATAAGTGGACTCTGGTCTAATACTTACAGTGATAGAGTATGGGTAAATACACAAATAGACTTTTAAGGGTATCCTTTAGCCTTCAGACTTTCTGAGACCCGCTGAGATACAGAAGAGAAGAAGTGGAGAGATTCCATGGGCAAAAAGGGACTTGAGAGTTATGGCTCCTCAAGATCTAGGTTCTTATTCTCACTGAGCCTCGGCTTCTTCATCTCTAAAATGGAGAATATTTAACTTGTAGAGATATTATGAAGGTAAAAATAGATAATTTAGCACAATGCTATATATATATGTTTTAAATACTTGTCTTTTGCCAGATACCGGTTTGCAAATCTTTTCTTGCCATCTATGGATTATGTTTCCATCCTCTTCACATGTCTTCTGCAGAGGAAAAGTTTTTAATCTTAATGATTTACAACTTGTTAGTTTTTCCTTTTCCTGGATTATGCTTTCAATGTCATGTCTGAGAACTGTTTGTCTAGCCCTAGGTTATGAAAATTTTTTCTATGTTTTTTAAAGAGCCTTATTGAAATATAATTAACATACTGTACAATTCACCCATATAAAGTGTACAATTCAATAGTTTTTAGTTAGGTTCACAGAGTTGTGCAACTGTCATTCTGATAAGTTTTAGAACATTTTCATCACCCCAAGCAGAAGCTTTGTACCCATTAGCAATTATGCTCTATTTCTCCCCATCTTCCTTGTCCCCCCAACCTAGGCAAACACTAATCTACTTTCTGTCTCTGTAGATTTGCCTATTCTGGACATTTTATATAAATAGAATCTGTGGTCTTTTGTCACTGGCTTCTTTCACTTGAACAGTGTTTTCAAAGTTCATCCATGTTGTAGCATGTATCAGTATTTCATTCCTTTTCATTGCAGAATAATATTCCATTGTATTAATATGAATATATAAGATTTTGTTTATCTATTCATTAGTTTATGGACATTTGATTGTTCCCACTTTTTGGCTACTATGAATAATGCTGCTATGAACATTTGTGTACAATATGTGTATGGACATATGTTTCTTATATATCCAATATGTACATAAAAAGAATATGGTACATATATTGGTGTATGGTTGGTAGAAATGCCTATTCAGAGTCTTTGTCCATTTTTTGTTTTAATCTTTTTATCATTGAATTGTAAGAGTTTTAAAAGATATTCTGGATATAAGTCGTTTATTAGATATATGATTTGCAAATGTTTTTTCCATTCTTTGGGTTGTGTTTTCATCTTCTTGATGATATCATTTGTAGCACAAAGTTTTAGATTCCATTGAAGCTCAATTTCTCTATTTATTTATTATTATTATTTTTGGTCTCTTGTGTGCTGTTGTATCTAAGAATCCATTGCCTAAGCCAAGGTCACAAATTTACTCCAATGTTTTCTTTTAAAAGTTGTATAGTTTTTGCTGATACATTTAAGCCCTATTATACATTTTGACTTTTGTGTATGATGTAAAAATTTCTTATGCTTCCTTCTAAAAATTATATAGGTTTGTGTTTTTGTGTTTTACATTTAAATCTGCGATCCATTTAAGTTAATTTTTGTATAATGTATGTCAATTATGCCAGTATCATTTGTTGAATGTAAGCTAAATTTTTAGGTAAAAATTTAAGTGCCCTATATACAGTCAGACTTCAAGCTGGTTTTTCTTCAGAGAAGGAAATACATTTGAGAAGGGATCTTCCACTTTATTTAGACTTTAAAGAAGAAAAATAAATAGAAAGTAGAAATATTAAGAAACTACGAAGTAGGTGTACCACCTCCATTTTTCCAATTGCAAAAAGAAGATAGTTTTTATAAAGGTGCTTCATAATACCACTTAAAAGATTTGCAAATAGAATAGTATTTAATGAGATTATCTTCCAATAAAGAAAATGGAAAGGTTTCTCACTGAAGGTGAAAACACATATATTATTTTAAAAGTTCTGAAGTCTTCAAACTAAAATAATGTACTATAACAAAAAAACTTGGTTTTTCATATTTCAAGTCTTTTTGTCTGGATCTTTGTTCATTCATGGCTTTTATTAGGTTTGCAAACAGTTGGTGGACATGTGGTGAAGTCACACCTCATTAACAGAATATAAATTTTCCATGTGGTTTTGTTGCCTCTTTGCAGTTATTTTGCTCTAAGACAAACTTCTGTTTCATAAAAGTTGGGCCTTTCTGTCTTGGGAAATCTCTGCAGATACTTCATATTTGTTTTAAATTACACATCGTCTCTTAAGTTTTCCAGTCATGCTTTATACTTCATTGTGTGCCTTAAAAATGTTGTATTATTAGGATCCTCACCTTGAAAGATTGTTTCAAAAAATTGTTATTACATTGAAATAAGTCTTTTAAAGTACAACAGTGTCCTGTTATCTAGATTAGATGGATAACTGAGGATTAGAATATGTATGGAAGATCAGTCACCAGTTAAATTGGTTGGTTAGTTATAAAGTATATGTTGACAGTGTGCATAGTGCTTTGTGATACTCTTGAAAAAAATTTTAATTGACATATAATTTTATAATTAGCATACCATAAACTTCACCTTTTAAAGTGTACAAGTTAGTGCTTCTTTTTAATATGTTCACAAAGTTGTGCAACTGTTACCCCTATCTAATTCTACATTGTTATTTGTTAATTGCTTATTATTTATTTATTTTTTACTAGTTTTTTATGTGTAGCTTACTTCAAAATATATTTGAGGTAATTTACAGTAAGAGACTCATTATAACAGGGCCACTATGATATAAGAGGTCAAAAACAGTAGTAGAAAGGAAAGAATACCAAAAACTCAAACTGAAATTAATGTAGTATTGCTATTAGGCAAAGCATATAAATCCAGAACTCTGAATCTGGTAGCATTTTTTTCTTCTATCATGGTGCAAAATTTATTTCTCCTAAGAACTTGCTTTTCTTAAACAAGTCAAATCACACTGTTTCTTCCCTCTTTAAAGTTCCCTCTTGATTCTCACAGCCAAAAGTCATGTTTCATATTAATGTTTGAGACTTATTCAAGGTCACATATATTTGGGGGGCAAACATGGCATATCTTCTTGTAGTATCAATTTTTCCTAAAAAATTTAGAGAAGAACCAATATTTTATATTAATTTTAAAACATTGCTTAATGTAAAAAATAGATATAGAGTGGAATGAAGAATTTGCCTGAAATCAATGCAAGATTTCAAATAGATATGCTCAATTGTGATCTCAGCTGAGAAAAAATGAAGTGAAAATAGAGTAGAATAACGAATTTGCCTGAAAGGAATGCAAGACTTCAAATAAATGTTGTGCTCAATTGTGATCTCAACTGGTAAGTGTGATCTCAGGAACCCTTCTGCCCTTCCTAGTACATATTTTCTCTTTGCCAGTAGTGATGCTGCCTTGGAAATACCTGCAAAAACTGCAAAGTTCTGGCTTACCAAACCAAACACACACACCCAGGGACATACCAAAAACAAAACAAAACAAAACAAAGCAAAAACCTCAGAAACAAAACAACCCAACAAATGCCCAAGCCTTATTTCCAAATCCTAAGATTGGTATAAAACCACTCACAATATGCTAAACTTCTCTCAGATTGGGACCAATATTGGGCCTTTTCCAGATTCTTCTTGCCTGGAACACCACCATGCTTCCTGCCCAGACTATCAGATCACCACTCCTTCCTCGGGTCTCAGCTGTGAAATTTCTGTACAAGTTGCTATGTTCCCTAGGCATTGTGTTTCTGACTCTGTCCTCTGTTGCTGGAATTACCACAGTGAATTATTATGGAATGGAGGGCAGTCTGATTAGGCATAGAGTACGATGGTAATGGATGTATATTCCTTCTTAACTGCAGACTCCTCAAAAGCAGGGTTCATCTTTTACTCATCTTTATATTCTTGGTGCTTCCTATTGCTCCCGACACATAGTACATATTTAATAAATGTATTCTGGAATTAATGAATAAATTCTGAATGATAATAATTTGTGGAGTATAGTAATGCAGATAATTTTATTTGGGCTTAGTAGTTTGTTGTTGTTTTGTATTTTAGAATAAATGGTTTTCTCATATATCTTATTCCCTTCTTAGTACATCCCAGTAAGACTTCTAGCACCCATCAGTGTACTGAAACTGCTCTTGCTGGGTCAACAACAACCCAGGGTCCAAATCTAGTGGACTTTTTTTTCCCGTTGCTTTCTTAATGGAGCTTTCCATTGCATTTGACACTATTGTAACTTCTTCATTTTTGAAGCTCCTTACTCTCCTACTTCTGAAACAGTGCCCTCTCCCACATCTTCTTATATCAACTATTACATGTCAACAGGCTATTCTTCTGGCTGCTTCTTAAGTGTTTGTTAGTGTCCGCAGGTTCTATCTTCCACTCTTGTCCTTCTCTACCTTGCACTGGGGCATCTCCCTCTGTAGTCTCCCTGTGTCTGTTCTGTGACCATAATCCTTAGATTGGGGTCCTTAGTTCAGTTCTTGTGTGAATATTCTTCTCATCTCTGCAGCTGCCTCCTTGGCATTGCCACCAGAATAGTCCAAAGCTTCACAAATGTTTTATGTCTAAAATGAAATTCCCCTTCTTTCCTGCTAAACTAGTTCTTCTATTAACATATTCTTTCTCTCATTTTATGAAAGTATACCATCTACTCAATTACTGAAGCTGGAAATCTGGCAGTCCTCTAGGATCCTTCTTCTTTACTTTCCCCTTCAAATTAACCATGAAAACCTCTCATTTTTTTCCCCTGTGTATTTCACAAATTAATTTTATTATCCAAAGCGATGGCCTTCTCTCTCCAGTACTACCGCAGGGTGGAGAGTGCATATGGGGAGTGGAGAAACTGACACTATCTAGCCCAGTGACCTCATTTTGAACCTAGTAATCCAGGACTTGTCAGTTATATGGGCATATATTAAACATTAAATAATTGGTGTTTTCTGGTCCTGGCATTTCCAGAAGCACTCTGTCTTTTTTTCACAGCTACACATGCACTATTTCTTGGTTCGTGCCTCATAGTTCCCCTGCTGGCCTGTCCTGCCCTAGGATTCTTTGGATTACCCTAGACCTAGAATGACTTGGGTCTTTTCCAGAGCCACATTAGGGAATGTTCTCCAGAACTTCTTTCACATTCAGCATTCCCTGCATCCAAGTAGCAGTCAGAGGACTCTGGCATGGCCAGGAGACCTGCATTCTCTTTCTTTCTTTCTTTCTTTCTTTCTTTTTTTTTTTTAAGATGGAGTCTCGCTCTGTCGCCCAGGCTGGAGTGCAGTGACACAATCTTGGCTCATGGCTCACTGCAAGCTCCACCTCCCGGGTTCATGCCATTCTCCTGCCTCAGCCTCCCGAGTAGCTGGGACTACAGGTGCCCACCACCACGCCCGGCTAATTTTTTTTTTGTATTTTTAGTAGAGACGCAGTTTCACTGTGTGAGCCAGGATGGTCTCGATCTCCTGACCTTGTGATCCGCCCGCCTCAGCCTCCCGAGTATCTGGGACTACAGGCGCCCGCCACCACGCCCGGCTAATTTTTTGTTTTTGTATTTTTAGTAGAGATGGAATTTCACTGTGTGAGCCAGGATGGTCTCGATCTCCTGACCTCGTGATCCGCCTGCCTCAGCCTCCCAAAGTGCTGGGAACTTGGGCTGGAATCCGGGGATGATTAGGAAAAACAAGCCATGCCTTGTCTTCCATACACTCACACCCAACACTGATACTTCGCTTCTGGCCACTAAAATATGTGGAGGTTTTTCCTACACAGCCAATTCTCTGACACCAGCTGAGTGTCTTACAATTCAACGCAGTTCTGACACTATCTACCCACAGGTTAAGGGCTCAGTCCCACAAGACTGCCCTTATTTCAGACACTGATCACAAGTCCAGATTGTCACTTACACTCCTCACCTACGGCTATCAATCAGAGGTTCCCATGAGTGTGTCCTTAGGTTTGATCATTTGCTAGAATGGTGCACAGAACACAGGGAAACACTTTACTTATGTTTACCTGTTTAATACAAAGGATACAACCCAAGAACAGCCAGATGAAAGAGATTCATAGAGCAAGGTCCAGGGGAAGCACTAGATTTGGACAGTGGGTTGTTGTTGACCCAGCAAGAGCAGTTTCAGTACACTGATGGGTGCTAAAAGTCTTACTGGGATGCACTAAGAAGGTAGCATTCCTAGCACCTCCATGTGTTAGGGAAGCTCTCCAAACCCTGTCTTTTTGGGTTTTTATAGAGGTTTCATTAAATAGTCATTGTTGATTAAATCATTGGCCATTAGTGATTTAGTCAACCTCCAGTCCTGCCCCTCTCCCTGGACTTTGGGGGTTGAGGCTGAAATCCCAACCCTCTAATCACATGGCTGGTCCCTCTGGCAACCAGCCCCCATCCTGAGGCTATCCAGGAGCCTCCAGCCACCAGCCATCCAATAAGTATACAAAAAGAAACATCATTTTGGAGATTTCCAAGGGTTTTAGAAGCTGTGCACATGGATACTGGGCAGAGACCAAATATATATTTCTTATTATGTCATGGGCAATTACCATTTTCTCCTGGGCTGGCAGGGAATAGGTCTGCTTAGCCAGCTCTCAATCTGCAGCTCCATGTCATGACTCTACCATTGATTCCATAGAGGGAGAATCTTATTTCACTTTAAGGATATTGCTTCTTACTCTTTTTTTTTGGTGGGGGGGGGGTCATTATTGTTTTTCTCTCTTACAGTTTTTTGGTCATTACTGTTTTCCCATACTTGTCAGAGAGTAATCCCCCCACCCCACCTCCCTGTTTTCTCTCTCCTGTCAGTCCCAGCACTCTCTAAAAGACATGCTTGTAAATACGGTCATTTTTATACCTTTTTAATTTTCTTCCCTCTGTCACAAAAGATTTGAAATATTATACCACTGTACGACCAGATAGATGTTAAATTTCACTTACCTTATAGGCAAGAGTTTCTTTTTTAAACAGGATTGTGGGGTGATAGGATCTCATTGTTTAGAAAACCAGAGGGGTAGCTCCTGTTGTCAGCGATGATTAAAAATTAAAGGTAGTGTCTGCTTCTGATTTATCTGTATTTACTTAAGCAGATGTGTTTTTGATTGTCTATCACCTAGGGCTGAAAAAAGGGCACCAAATCAGTGATTCTATTATTTTCTTTGAAAAGTTGAGGGCTATGTCCAAACTTGAGGCCAAACTATGTTGAAAATAGGTAATTTAAATGCCTGGTTTGTTAGGAGTAAATTACCGCTGCCAGTGGATTCCGTGGCTGCTTGGCAGGGGTAATTTGCTTCATTGCAGTGTTTTCTAGTTGAGGTAAATTATTCCTTTTAGAAAGTTAAATCTTCGTAGAGAAAGTAAACATTTCATCTTTGAGAAGGAAGAATAGCTTGTTAAAATATTGAAAACATTTATTGAACATCTAACATGAAGCTTTGACGGGAAGAAAAGAGATACATTTTAGAGAACAAGACTTTTTACCGAGAGTATGCCTTGAGTAAAGCACTTAGTAGGGGCATTAGTTATCTAGAGGGAAAGATCCGATACTTGGGGAATGAAGAGAGAGGCAAGCCAGGAAATGGGAAGGAAGGAGGAAGGTGGAAAGGTACCCAAGACACATTCTGCTGTTACTCCGTAGTGACCCTTTCCGAAGCCTGTATTTCCTGAGCCAAGACCTTCCATTGTCTTTCAAATATCAGGCCTGGTTTTGCTCTTCATAGGAAATGAGTTCATTGTTTTTGACGTCCTGTCGATTTTTTCCCCTCAAAGAGTAGATAATTAGAACTTTGATGAAGAAAAGGTCCTATGTTCTGTTTTATACATAATCATTTTCTGAACCATCAAGTGTAATTCAGCTTCAATCTTCAGGGCGAATGAAGATTACTTAGGATGTATTAAACTGTGTGAATTTAATGTTCATGACAAGTGTTTCATAAAGGAAGATGCTGGCTATTATCTCTCCTCAGAAGGAAATTGTTGATAAGAAACCATTCTGAGAAGTAAGATTTATGGCAACATCAGAGGCTAGAGAAGCTGGGGCAGCTGAGCACCCAGGACGATCAGGACAACTAGGACAATTCAGTTTTTCTTGTGCTGTCTTTTGTGTTACAAAAACAAAAAAAAATAAATTTTTATATAGCCTCACTCCAAAAGCAATTAAGGAAAATATTTATTCATTAAAAGCAATGCTGTATTTTAATGAAGCATGTTAATGTTTGACAGAGATAGTTTATTAAAAAGGGATAGCAGTGAGAGAGCTTTCCCCCTTTTTATTGTTTTTCCCCTCAAATAAAATCCTTACATTTGAATAATTTATTGATTCAGGACAGAGTGGGTTGGTAATTTTATCTTGACCTCATTCATCCAAAGAACCATATAACCCAAATACAAAAAGTCAGACTCTTATGCTTCAAAAACCAATGCTATTTAAGTAAATGAAGTTAATTTAACTCATTCTCTTTAAACAAACTGGCTGGAAGGGTCAACTTTTCAATGACTGTACAATCAGCAACTATGCTTTTAATATCGTACTTTTCCAATTGTATTCTGTGGATGGTTGGTCATCTCTAAAGGTACTTCAGGTCATTTACTGTAGAATTTATGTTTATAACACTGTATTTTATTTCTTCTAGAGTTCACCAAAAGCAGTGTCATTTCATCTTTTAACTGAAAACAGATATTCTTTAAGATGTTAGTTTCCTGTGGTTGCTGATATAAATTATCGTAAACTTGGTGGCTTAAAACAGTGGAAATTTGTTTTCTCACAGCTCTGGAGGCCAAATTTCAAAAATCAAGGTGTCGACAGGGTCCCACTCCATATGAAAGCTCTAAGGAAGCATCCATTTCCTGCCTCTCCAGCTGGAGGTAGCTTCTGGCATTCCTTGGCTTGTGGTTGCATGATGCCAGTCTCTGCCTCTGTGGTCACATTGCTTCCTCCTCTTTTGTCTGAAAACACCCTCTGATTGCATTTAGGGCCAAACTTCTCAAGGCCCTTAATTTAATCACTTTTTCTTTTTGGCAGTGGGAGGGAGCATATAAAGTAATAATCACAGGTTCTGGAGATTAGGACATATACGTAATTGTTTTGGGGGCCACCATTCAGCCTACTACAAATACTTTATTCTTTTTTATTGCTCCATAGATTTAGAATGTTCACTCTACCTATCCTACCTGTATTAAGAATATATCATCATAATCTTTCTAAAATCCCATGTAGATCTAGATAGAGCAGAAAATACAAACTTTTCCCTTTCCCAGTAATCAACCTACATTTAATTATTCATGCTATGATGGACTGCATAAATTAAAGAAAAAATAGAAAATCTGAAAGGGAAGATAATGATCTCATTGTTATTTGTAGTTGACCATGGTCAACTATAAAAGTATAAAAATACTAAAATTATTAAATGTCATATTTATGATCATTTGTTCACCTGAAGAGTATTGAATAATAAGGGGTACATTTGGGTTATACTGAATGAGTGTTGAAAATGATTGAAAATCATGAAAATAATTTATTTGGGGTTGAAATTTTATCAAATAAATAATCTATAAGGTGTATACATTATGAGCAAGTTAGCAAGAGTGTCTTGATACAAAGTATTGGTAAAAGAAAAGATAGTTCACACTGAGTTTGTTTTCAATTTAATTCATTTTTGCAGATGTCAACAAAATCTTTCACCTTTTTATAGTATTTAGGAAGAAGAGAGCATGTAAGGTCAAACTTTAATTAACTTTTCTTTGCCTATACTGGACTTTCCCTACACAAGTAGGTACTTATATTCTGATCACAAGTCCCCACACGTCGGTTGTAGATAGCAATGTCAAGTTAGTGCATACCCAGCTACTAAAGTTTACTGGACTTTCAGGTGTTCTTGGCATGCCAGGCAGGTGGTACCCAGTTATTTAGAGAGATCTTTCTTTCAGACCTTAGACATGTCTTTTACATATAAATTACTTAGGTACTTTGACCGCATCATGTGGTTCAGTTTGTTTTACAATGAAGACTAGAGCTTGGGGAAGGGTGGTTTTTGTTGCCCATGCTTACCTGAAATTCAGAAAACTTATCTTGAAGGAGCCAGAGCCAGTTGGTATATCTCTGAGAACTGTCCTTAGACTCTTAGCTGGGTGGTGTTTTCCTAGTCCTTGTGTAAAAGGATAAAGATGGTGGAATGTATAAGGTAAAGTGTTTTTAGGATATACGTATCTGGGTGCCACAAAGGGCATGAGTAGGGAACAGTGAAGGATAAGGGTGAAACCATTCATTGATCCTAATCATGGAAAGCCTTGAATACCAGGCTTAGAAGTTTGGATTTTCTCAATGTGCAAAAATCGGTAGCATTTCTATATACCAACAATATCCAAGCTGAGTGCCAAATCAAGAACACAATTCAATTCACAGTAGAGACACATACACACACACACACATACACACACATACACCCCTAGGAATACGGCAGATCAGGGAGGTAAAAGATTTCAATGAGAATTACAAAACACTGTTGAAAGAAATCAGAGATAACAAACAAATGAAAAAAACATTCCATGCTCATGGATAGGAAGTACCAGTATTGTTAAAATGGCCATATTGCCCAAAGCAATTTACAGATTCAATGCTATTTCTATCAAACTACCAATGACATTGTTCAAAGAATTAGAAAAAAACTATTCTAAAATTCATGTGGAACCAAAAAAAAAAAAAAAAAAGAGTCCGAATAGCCAAAACAATCCTAAGCAAAAAAAAAACAAAGTCACAGGCATCACATTACTCAATTTCAAACTATACTACAAGGCTATAGTAGCAAAAACAGCATGGTGCTGGTTTAAAAACAGACACATAGACTAATGAAACAGAATAGAGAACCCAGAAAAAAAAGCTGCATACCTACAACCATATGATCTTCGACAAAGTCAACAAAAACAAGCAATGGAGAAAGGACTTCCTATTCAATAAATGATGCTGGGATAACTGGCTAGCCCTATGCAGAAGACTGAAACTGGACCCCTTCCTTTCACTATAGATAGAAATCAACTCAATATCAATTAAAGACTTAAATATAAAACCTAAAGCTATAAAAACCCTTGAAGAAAACCTAGGAAATACTATTCTGGACATAGGCTCTGGCAAAGATTTCTTAATGAAGACACCAAAAGTAATTGCAACAAAAAGAAAGATTGACAAATGGGACCTAATTAAATTAAAGAACTCTGCACAGTGAAAGAAACTATCCATAGAGTAAACCAACAGCCCACAGAATGGGAGAAAATATTTGCAAACTATGCATCTAGCAAAGGCTAATATCCGTAATCTGTAAGGAACTTAAATTAACAAGCAAAAAGCAAACAACCCCATTAAAAAGTGGACAAAGAGCATGAATAGACACGTTTCAAAAGACACCAATGCACGGCCAACAAGCACATAAAAAATGCTCAACATCACTAATCAGATACAAATCAAAACCACAGTGCGATACCATTTCACACAAGTCAGAATGGTGATTATTGAAAAGTCAAAAAACAACAGATGCTGGCGAGGTTGTGGAGAAAAAGGAACACTTATACACTGCTGGAGGGAACGTAAGTGTTTCAGCTACTGTGGAAAACAATTTGGTGATTTCTCAAAGAATTTAAAACAGAACTCCCATTCGACCCAGCAATTCCATTATTAGGTTGTATTAGGGTTCTCTAGAGGGACAGAACTAACAGGATAGATGTATATATAAAGGGGAGTTTATTAAGGAGTATTGGCTCACACGATCACAAAGTGAGGTCCCACAATAGGCTGTCTGCAAGCTGAGGAGTAAGGAAGCTAGTCTGAGTCCCAAAGCTGAAGAACCTGGAGTCTGATGTGTGAGGGCAGGAAGCATCCAGCATGAGAGAAAGATGTAGGCCAGAAGACTAAACCAGCTTAGTCTTTCCATGTTCCTCTGCCGGCTTTTATTCTGGCTGTACTGGCAGCTGATTAGATTGTGCCCACCGAGATTGAGAGTGGGTCTGCTTTTCCCAGTCCACTTACACAAATGTTGATCTCCTTTGGCAACACCCTCACAGGCACACCCAGGAACAATACTTTATATCCTTCAGTCCAATCAAGTTGACTCTTAATATTAACCATCACATTGGTAAACCCAAAGGAATATAAACCGTTCGAAGATACATGCATTCATATGTTAATCACAGCACTATTCACAATAGCAAGGATGTGGAATCAACTTAGATGCCCATCAACCATGGACTGGATAAAAAAATTGTGGTATATATACAGCATAGAACACGACACAGGCATAAAAAAAGAATGAGATCATGTCCTTTGTAGCAGCATGGATGGTGCTGGAGGCCATTATCCTAAGCAAACTAATGCAGAAACAGAAAACCAAATACCACATGTTCTCACTTATAAGTGGGAGCTAAACACTGAGTACACATGAACACTGAGAAAGGAGCAGACACTGGGGCATACTTGGGGGTGGAGAGTGGGAGGAGGGTGAGGATTGAAAAACTGCCTATCAGATACCATGCTTATTACCTGGTGATGAAATAATCTGTACATCAAACCTTCGTGACATGTAATTTACCTGTATAACAAACCTGCATGTGTACCCTGAACTACAATAAAAGCTAAAAAAAAAAAAGAAATTCAGATTTTCTTCTTTCTTTGATTCTGTCCCTCTCATTTAATTCTTCTCCCTATTTATTTCACCTTAGATGGCAGTGGATTTATTCAGTTTTTGTAGTTGATTGTTTAATAGTATTTTAGTCTCTATAGTTTTAACCAAATTTCTGAAACTTCTTTCCAGAAGTATATTTTGATGTTTGATTCTAACTTTCCTATCCTTTACTTGCCAAAAGCAACAAACAAAAAACCCAGATTTTAAATTGTAAGTTTCTACCACTTTAAAAGAAAGAAGTTAATATTCTTGATGTTACACTTCTTTTTAAAAAAATGCCTTTTGTTTCCAGGAAAAATACGGAAATTTTTTTTGCTTCCAAAAGGTCATGGTTTCTTCCTTCTAATTACATTCTTTAAAATTCTGACAGTGTGGGCTTTGCAAATTATACCATCATAACTCTTGAATGTGCTTTTCATAAAATTCAACACATTTTATCTTTAGCCTCCGAAGTCCTTATGACTTATACCATTATTCATACAAACTACAGGTTTAGAATCAAGTAAACAAAATTCCTGCTTTAATATACAACTACAGTTGTTTTTTGGTTGTGTTTCTGGTTGGATAATCCAGATCAGACTTTGTGACTAGGAGCTGTAAGTAAGGTGGCTGCCTTAAAATGTAATGCAAAAACAGTCCTTTTTAGTCTTTTTGTCTTGTGGCTGGGACCATATGGTTTTCTGAAGTTCATATGTATAATAGTCCTTTTTTGTGTGGGCTCCATTCATTTATATTCTACTGTTTATTGTTTATTCATTCTTTCATTTTGAGTATCTATTCTATATTAGTCTTGTGAATATAGAAATGCAAGGCATGGTGCCTGCTCTTAAAGAGGTTAAAGGCTTATGGGAGAGGCAGGCATATAAACAAATAATTACAGCCTAAAATAATAAATGCTATTGTAGCGGTAAGACAAAGTCCTTCTTGTGGCTTAAACTCTCTAGCCCACATTCCCCAGCTAATTATTTTCTTCTGTGGATTTTCATCCTTGTCTCTCAATCTCTTTTTCAGATATATGCATATCCATATTGCTTACTTAATCTTTTCTGCTTCCAGGTTCCCATTTTGGGTGTGGAAGCCTTTTGCAGTGACTGTGTCCTGTCATGACTCTTTTGGTAGCCCTCTCCAGTATTCCAGCTTTGCCTTTAAATTTTAACGGAGAGAAAAATAATGTATCTCATTCTTGGTGAAACATTTAGGCTGTTTAGTTGACATTTGAAATGGCAGAGTCTATTGTTCTAAAAGGAAAATTATCCATACTGTGTAATGTGGACTATTGATAGAATATGGAATCAGGCATATCTTTTTATGTATTTATGAAAGTAAAGCAGTGCTTCCATTTTAGCACAAATAACTTTCAAAGCAAAGTTATTTAAAATTTCTCTTTTCTTTTCTTTTTTTTCTTTTTTCTTTCTTCTCGCTCTGTCATCCAGGCTGGAGTGCAATAGCATGGTCTTGGCTCACTGCAAGAACCGCCTCCCAGATTCAATTGATTCTCCTGCCTCAGCCTCCTGAGTAGCTAGGATTGCAGGAGCCTGCCACCACGCCCAGCTAATTTTTGTATTTTTAGTAGACACAGGGTTTCACTGTGTTGGTCAGGCTGGTCCTGAACTCCTGACCTCAGGTGATCCACCCGCCTTGGCCTCCCAAAGCAAAAGTTATTCACTTCAAGTGCAGTGAATCACAATAAATCTTATTTCCTTATTTTTATATTTGTTTTTATAATGAATGGGACTACATTACCCTCAATAAAAGGTGGACAGTTTCACCCTTTACTTATTAGTTATATTTTGAGTAAAAAATACAAGAGTGTTTATAGAGTGTTTACTAAAACAATGAAGCACAGGTAAATAAAATTCAAGAGTATCTACATGGGTGGTATTAATTTACCTGTTTAAATTCTGAATGAATTACTAAAAGCTTGAGATATAGTCCTAACTCTCTGACTTCAGTTTCCTCATCTATAATAAGATGTTATTATGGTAGACACTTGTTTTTTCTGCTCAGCTTCCATTTCTCCCTGTACTTGAAAAAGTTCCTACTTTCAAGTACTGGGTCCAACCCAGTCTGTTCCCTTTTATCCAGGAGTGAGCATGTGACCCAGCCTAGGTCAATGAATCTATACTTCCCGTGGCCACTGGGGTAGTTAGGGTGGGTAGGCAACCCAGAATGGATGGATCAGAAGTCAACTTCTGGGATTTGTCTGGAACTATTAAAGAAGATGCTTTTTTCCCTATAATATTCCTAAGTAAGTAGAATGGAAAGGTGGAATTGTGGGCAATCTGCACATGGAGGTAACTAGAGATGGAGCCTATATGGAGGAAAGCAGACCCTATCTATGCATGAATCTAACACTCCCTTTTCAGGTGTTTCTCCAGTAAAGGCTTTTTTGATTGTTGTTGTTTTCTTATGCCAGTTTGAGTTGTCCTTTATTATGTCACATGCAAATGATAGGATCCAGGCTAATTCAGTTTGGTCAGTTAACCTTTAAGGTCTTTCCAGTTTCTACATTGCATGATTCCTTGCCTTCTTTTATTTCATGCAAGTTAGATTACTATGATTGAATGAGGTTAGGCAAATAATAACTGGATATTCTCAAGAGGAATAGCTTCTCTATCTGGGAAATATCAGTGTATTTCTCATAGGAGTTGTCAAGAGTAATTGTTCTACATTTTGATCTTACTTGTGTTTATTTTATGGCATAACTTCACCTTTGACTTTTGCCCACCCCTGGTCTAGCTGTATTCACTCCTACTAGGGCATATAAAGTTAAAGAAAAGAATGAAATGCAAACATTGCTTGATATTAAAATGATAAGCAAAATTTATTTCCTTCTGAATTGTGTACACAAATGACCCCTTTCTGAGCCACCCTCACCCCTGGGTCAATATGTGCATTTTGTGAGGATAACTTTTCAGAACACTACATGAAAATTGAAACAAGAAAATACCTGGGAGCTGCCTGATAAAAGTGTATTTGTGAGAAGGTTTATGAGGTGGTGATGTCAAATAAGAACTTGGATGCGGAAGCCTCTGGTGAGTCCTGGCTCCACCCTTTATTTAGCTGTAACCTCGATCAAGTTCTGTAAATTTGCCTTGTCTTTCCAATGGTTGGGTTGCTGTGAGGGTGATGTGATATGAAATGTGAAGGCAGTTTACATGTCAAACCTGATGAAGGGCTGAAATTATTTAGGAATGAATGAGCCTAACTAATTTAGTGAGTGTCATTGGTGATTTGTAGAAGAAGCAACAGACTGGGAAACATTGGGAGATAAGATTACACATGTGGATAGTTTCAGATTTTAAAATCTGGACTGAGGAGTTTAAACTTGTTTAAAAATAAAGAAGCAAGTTTTAGTCACCACGTCCAGATGCCTTCCTCCAAATCATTTTTAAAACTTTGTTCTTTTCTTTTCATTCCCACAACCAGTACAAACTCCTGACTCACCTTGTAGATTCTAATATATTCCTCAGCTAACGTCCTGTTGCCACATTTATTGTCCTAAAAATAATAGACCCTAATTACATGAAGAAGGCAACTGAATGTGGTGCCTGACAGACTCTAGAGAATGAAACATAGGGATGTGTAAAAATGTATCACAAAGACTGGGAAAATGGTGGTATTATTAACAAAAGGAAGCAGATGGTAAGGGACCCACGATGAAGTAATAAGGCATCCAGCTGGCATCATTGCACAGGAAATTGCAGATTTAGGATTAGCACTTAGACAGTGGAATCCCTGTATGGATTTGGAAGTTACAAAGCCAGGACTTTATATCTCAAAGCATCCTGCCTTAGGTTGGGCTGCTATAATGAAAGACCATAGATGAGTGGCTTAAACAACAGACATTTATTTCTCACAGTTTTGGAGGCTGGGAAGTCCAAGATCAAGGTGCTGGCAGATCTGGTGTCTGATGAGGTTCCTCTTCCTACTTTGCAGGTGGCTGCCTTCCTGCGGTATTGTACAAGGTGGAAAGAGATCATTTATCTCTTGTCTCTTCCTATAAGGGCTCTAATCCCATTCATGAGGGTTTCATCATCATGACCTAAATACCTCTAAAAAGCCCCACCTCCAAATATCATCACATTAGGGATTAGGGCTTCAATATATGAATTTTGGGGGAACACAAGCATTTAGTTCATAACAGATCCTTAAGACATTGTCTGGCTTTGACTTTTTCAGATAAGAGCTTCAAAGTAGAAAGAGGTTTTTCATATAAGAGGTTGAAAGGTTCAAA
Organism: Homo sapiens; assembly: GCF_000001405.40. Classification (NCBI taxonomy): domain Eukaryota; kingdom Metazoa; phylum Chordata; class Mammalia; order Primates; family Hominidae; genus Homo; species Homo sapiens. The sequence goes on from NC_000003.12 coordinate 160,861,096, forward strand.
GTGGAAGGTCACGTAGTGTATCATCAGTGGCGCAGCTGGGAATAAAACCTTTATTTGCTGACTCCAAGGCCAGTATTCTTTCGTTGCCACTGTGCAGCACCTCTGTGGCATTAACCCAAAGAGTACAATGGAAGTTGTATAGAGTAAGGATTATAATGAGAAGCAACTATGTGCTGGGCAGAATATAGTGTAATGTCCTACTGTTGCCTAGATACAACTCTGAAGATACTGATAGCTTTAACATGAGAAAGCCGAGATGTTAGATCATTTAGACAGGATGGATAACAGGGAAAAGCTAGATTATCAAGTGCTTGGCAGCTGATATAAATAAATACTAAATAATTCTTATGCCAATTGCTCTTAAAGGCATTATAGTGTAATTATTTATTTAGAACATGAATTTTTATGCCAAACAGTACTGTGTTCGATTTCTGGCTCTGTTACTTGCTCTCTGAGATGCCTTTGAGATTCAGTTTCCTAATCTGTATAGCGGGGGACAATAACAACCACCTAATAGGGTTGTTGTATGTATTGATGATGGTATTAATTTCCTACTGCTGCTATAAATTACAAAAAAAAATCTAGTGGTTTAAAACAACACAAGTTTGTTATTATGGCTCTGAAGGTCAGATATCTGAAAATGGGTGTTATGGCACTAACCAAGGTGTCAGCAGACATGTGTTCCTTTTGAAGGCTCTAGGGGAGAATTTGCTCGTGTTTTCCAGCTTCTAGAGACTGGCCAGTCTTTGGTGGTGTAGCCACCTTCTAGCAATGGCATCAGTTCAACTTTTGCTTCCATTGCTAGATTTCCTCTGGCTGATATTCCTGCTTCTTTCTCATAAAGACCTCTGTGCCCACCTAATACATTGGGACCACCTAAGTAATGCAGGAAAATATTCCCATCTCAAGACTCTTACCTTTATCACATCTGCAGAGTCCCGTTTGCCATGTAAGGTAATGTATTCACAGGTGTTAGGGACTAGGGCGTGGACATATTTGAGGGGGGGCCATGATTCTGCCTACCACACTGATGATGATGATGCTAATGAAGATGATGAGGAAAATTAGCTGCTGTTAGTATTTCACTCACTCCCAAAATTACTTTTAGTATTTTGTCAAAGAAAATAAGTTCTATCCCAAAACATGTAACAAGAGCAAGCCTGGCCTGATCAGGGGATTGAGCTTCTGATTTGATAAAAGCTTCCTCACCCCTTCAGTTGAAAGTGGTTTCCTTCAGATAGCTTCCTGGAAACTTCTGGGCTGTGCACATTAGTCCCTTTCAATTCAGGCACTGAAATGCTAGCAAAATGAAGGTATGTTTTCTGGAAACCAGCTATCAATCTAGCACAAGCGACTATTAGGAAAATCAAGGAGGTGCTGCGGGGATGTGGAATAGGACACCTGGGTTTTGATTTAAAGTAACTTAAAGGAATTGCTTATAGCAGAGAGTTAACATTCATATGGGAAATTTTGAGCAACCTGTTTGACTCAGGTCCCGGTGAGAGGGCAGTCTTACATAGGAGATGTACAGAAAGTTTTAGTCTCCATTCCTAATCCTAGGCACACGCACACACACACACACACACACACACACACACACACACACACAAAATTCTGAAACCCTAATACTGTCAAATCCCCAGTGAGTTTCAATTTTCAATGACAACTATGGATAAAAATGGTCATATTTAGGAGAGTAGGGGGGAAAAAAGCTTTAATAAAGTGGCAGCAGAATAAAATGATTATCAGTTTTTTAAAAGCACTAGTGTAAAGAATACCTCTCAGTTTAATTTTCCTTTTAATTTATTATAAATTATAGGTTTGCTTAGGAGAAAAATAAAAAATCAAACTGCCATTTTCTTTGAAAACACAAATCAGACAAATTGTTACACAGCAGGATCCTTTGCTAATTTTGACAGCCACTTATTCATTTACTAGCCTTTGTCCGACACAATACCTGTGTGGCTTTTATTTTTCCAGACTTTCCACTGACACATTTTCACAATTTGGGTGTTTTTGTCCAAAACGTGTCATGTATTTTGTCATATATATGACAAATATAAATTGGAATTTTTAAACTTCAAATAAAATACCACATTAAACTAGTGATTTTAAACTGAAGATGATAGAATTTTTAAAATACAGACTTGGAGACCACATTCAAAACACTTCATAGCAAATGAGAGGCCCTCAGTTATCTGGTCTTACCTCAGCTTTCTAGTCGTCTTTGTCACTTTTTCAGCCCCTGGGGTACTACTCAGTGCTGTCTGCCAGCCTGCTAAGTTCACTTTTTCCTGCTTAGCACTTGTTATTCCTCTTTTTCCACTAAATGCCTTTAGTTATTAAATTATTGTTTCCTACAGAAATTTAACTTCATCATTTTTGTTGTCTGGAGAAAGCTTTGTTGTCATCACTCAGTGGTGAGAAGGTTGACTTTCTCATGAAAGCTCCAACCCTAGGTCTTAGGTTTGATGTAAGTCATGTGCTGCTGTGGAAACTGTCTAGTGCCTGTACAGTGTGATCCGAAGTTACTGGACTGTGAGGGGGCAGTCTATCAAGTATGGACAGCTATCAAGTATGTTGTACAGTTTGATCTTTAACAATTTAAAATCAATATTGGGTTCCTTGGTCACACAAATAGCCTAGTTCTTCAAGTAAGCAGTTCTTTCTGCCTGAAACCTCATGTCCCACTGTTCTACTTGAGCACCCTTCCAGGTATCAAGGGCTTAATTATAGGGTATACATAGTCCCCTGCAAGCCCCTTATGCATCTGAAAATGCAGGTATGAACCTTCATTCTGAGAGTAAGTTAGCTAGTCTAAATGAATATTTGAGATGGAAAAAAACATCTAGATGGATATAGGTAGATGAAGTAACCCTGGGTAGGTAAAGAAGCTGATTTTAGCAGTGCCTGAAAGACTCTTGACAAAACACCTCAGAATCTACTTCCATTACTCAGAACATTTTATTAGATTTGTTACCACTCCGTATTGAATTGCTGGGGTCTCACTGAGTCCTTTTGAAAAATCTTGTCCCAAAAAGGTCTTAGAACCTCATTCTCCCTTGTCTGTCTGTTTTTCTTTTATTTTTTCTTTCATTTCTTTTTGAGACAGGGTATCACTCTGTCACCCAGGTTGGATTGCAGTGGTGTGATCACAGCTCACTGTAGCCTCCACTTCCTGGGCTCAGGTGATCCCCCGCTGACCTCAGCCTCCTGAGTAGCTGGGACTTATAGGCACTTGACTAATTTTTGTATGTTTTTTGTAATGACAGGATTTTGCCATGTTGCCCAGGCTGGTCTCAAACACCTGGGCCCAAGCAGTCTGCCCACCTCAGCTTCCCCAAATGCTGGGATTACAGGGGTGAGCCACCACGCCCAGTCACCCTTGTCTTCCTTGACTACCATCTGCTTCTATCCTAGAAGGAACATGTGAAAGGATATATAAATGAAAATTGGAGTTCCAGAGTAATTTATTTGTCTCCATTTAGTCATGTTGGCTTCAAATCTTTATCAGTTCTTTCACAGATATGTTTTTGAGCATCTGTCATTCACCAGGTGCCAGATATAAATGGATGAATAAGACATAAGTCTTGTGGTCATGGATAGCTACCACTACTGACATGGCACCATTTCCCCAAGAGATTCTTTCTGTTTCCAGAAAGGAGCCCAAGGCCCAGTCCTCATCTGGGTATTAGATAGAGTGCTTTATTTTCAACAGTAAATAAAGGGAAGATGGTTGTAGACATTTCTGGGTGAAGTGTTAGCCAAGATTTTCTAGGAAGTTTATATCCTATAAGTGGGTAGAAAAATTGGGTATCTAAACTTCAGATAAAAGTCCAACACTTTAATCTACCATGTGTTGTCTGCAGATGAATTCAAACCACTGAGGAAGTTTATACAGGTTAGTAAAAACTAGCAAAACAAGAAATGGTTTTTGAAAAAACAAAATTTAAAAATTCTATTATTTTTGTCCTGACTGTTAATTCGTTTCTAATGTATCCAGTTTTGATGCCAAATATCAGAAAACAGAGAGCTCAGGCATTCTGGGAAAGTCAATAATTGAGGCTAAATGGCTTCAGTATAATGACTAACCAGGAAGACTGACTTTCTAGAAAGATAAAGTCTCAGAGAAGACATGATCCAGATTTATGAAATCATGAAATATGCAAATAAGGCAAATATAAACATGTTCATCAAATCCTAGAAACATTTTAAAGCTTTGAAAAAGTAATTTTAGGGTAGATGGAAGGTCCCAGGAATTGTATTTTATTGTTGACCTTAAGGTCTACTCTATAGGATTGCTGAATATAAACTACTTTAAAAAATATCTTTTGCTATTATAGTAATTAGCCCCTTTGGGTTAATTTCAAAATTGTTCTGCTTAAAAAAAAATTAGTTGGCCGTGCGTGGTGGCTCACACCTGTAATCCCAGCAATTTTGGGAGGCCAAGGTGGGCAGATCACGAGGTCAAGAGATCGAGACCATCCTGGCCAACATGGTGAAACCCTGTCTCTACTAAAAATACAAAAATTAGCTGGACGTGGTGGCGTGCGCCTGTAGTCCCAGCTACTTGGGAGGCTGAGGCAAGAGAATTGCTTGAACCTGGGAGGCAGAGGTTGCAGTGAGCCGAGATCATGCCACTGCACTCTAACCAGGACGACAGAGTGAGACTCCGTCTCATAAATAAATAACTAGGTTATAAGACAAATTGGTCTTTTAGCAGAATTTTCAGATATAAGCAGGAAATTCTTTATTTCAGTGAGTGACATAGATTTATCCAGTTAATACTCATTAAGTAGTGGGGGTAGATTTATAGTAGGTTATTAAAAAACAAGTAATATTAAATATGTATCTCTTAGCATCAGAAGTTGTCAGGGAGAACAATTGTATTTTTGCCTTAGAATGTAGTTTTGTGTATCTGTCAAAGATCAAATAACCAAGTTGACAACTGACCTTACTCAGTAAGGCCTCTTAGGTTATCCTGGACCATTGAAGCTGCTGCAGTTTGTTTTTCTCCCCCTGTTAGACATAGGGAGTTTTTCTCCTGTCAGTGCTCAGAAAGGTACTTGGCTAATGCTCTTCTGAATTTCAGGAGAGGAAAGCCTCCTACTTAAAAAATATCTGCTGTATTTAGTACTATACAAAATAGTCATACAGACACACTTTCAACTTTTAATATTAATGGGGTGGTTTCACTTTATTCATTTTATAAATTATGAAGGTTATTGCAGCTGTTTGCTAGATTTTACCAGGCTCATGGTAGTAAAGCCATACATAGTCCATGAAAACATAACAAAACTTTACAATTTCATTCTGCTTTGTTGCAAAGATCCATGTCCCTTGTACATTTTATGACTTATTCACATTTCCTTTAGAAATACTCAACATTTAGGAACTTAATTCTTACTATTTTAGATAATAATGTGCTCATGATGAGAATAATAATACTAAAATAATGATATATATCATCACATAAGCATCAAATGTCTTTGAATTTGGAGATTTTCAGCTTAGAACCACTTTAATGGAGCTCTTAAAAGTCAAATGTGATTTTCATGGGACTGTACTAAGGTGTGATAATGGTAAACCATCTCTCCTAAGACAATTAACTCATTCCCCCATATATTTTAGATGCTTTATTTATGAAATATTTTGAGCAATGAATATGACATCTGATTACCTCTCTTTGTAATTCATAATCTCTTGGACTAATCTTTGGACTCAGTAGATTTCTTTCATTACCATTTTATGTATTTATTATTTTTTTGAGACAGAATCTTGTTCTGTCGCCTAGGCTGGAGTGCAGTGGTGCAATCACAGCTCACTCCAGCCTTGACCTCCTGGTCTCAAGCAATTCTACCTCAGCCTCTTGAGTAGTTGGGACCATAGGCATGTGCCACCACACCCAGCTAATTTTTATTTTTTGTAGGGACAGGGTCTCACTATCTTGCCCAGTCTGGTTTTGAACTCCTTGGCTCAAGTGGTATACCTACTTTGGCCTCCCAAAGTGCTGGGAGCCTGTATATATTCTTAGAATCAATTTATCTTACAACTTTTAAAAGAACTGAGAGGTAAGATGATCAGCAAATAATATGGAGTTACTGGAAATTATTTGATTGTTTTTTGAATTTTTAATGAACTCTTAAAATGACCTGTAGCCTTAGTTGATTTAACAGGAATCTTAAAATCAGATTCACATTTACTATTTTGGCCTGAAATGAGTTCCATGTTCTTTTTTTTTTTTTTTTTGCATTAGAGAAAACAGGCTTGTGAAGTTGTTTGTATTACTATCCTTTTTTCAGATTTTAAGGACATGTATCTAAGTGTTCATCTGGGTTCTCTAACCCCCTCCTCTATACTGTTATGGTGTTACTAAAATTTTATTAGTTATAAGTAACTTTACTTGACACTTTCTTCACATTTCCTTCCTGGCTTCCTTCCTTTCCCTCCTTTTTCCTTATATGCTTAAATCTGGAGGAAAATTTTGTTCTGAATTATATATTTTTTAATCAATATTGCAAACAGACAACTGTAAACCTCAAGTTTTTGTTAATGAAGTACTTGAAAATATGATTTTTTATTTTTTTGCTATTATGGTTAGAAAATAGCGATAATTTTTTAATGAATGGCTGGTGAAATGCAGCAGACACAGTGCAAGTTGGTGGCATGGTATCATTGTAAAGGTTAAACAGCTGTGCTGGAAAGAGTCATTTTGGTTTAGTCCTTTTAATTTGGAACTTTTTTGGCAGCTGAATTCCAGGACAGACTGTCTATGACACTTTAATATATTTAACATATTTTCAAAAACTATCAGAACTCAGGCTAAATAACCTAAACCACTTTGACTTCATACTGGGTTACATTTTGCTTGTTGAAAAAAACTTAAGTTGGTTTTTAAAAGAACAGGCTGGTCTGCAAAAAGGTGATGAAGAAATATTAGCCTTTGTTGGAAGTTGAGAAGTATTATATAAACCTTAGACTGATATTGTAGAATGGCTTCTAAGACTGAAAAATTGTAGGCATCCTGTTTTAATCCTCTGTAACCCAGCCATATGCGTCAAACTGAGCACTCCTAATACCTGATACTTAGAAAAAAGAGTAAGAGAGCTGTTTTTCTGTGTACAAATACACAAGTGACACCTAGTATCTATCCCTCTATTCCCCCAGCTCTGGTCTTAGGGAAGGGGGGTCCAGGCATTTTCCACCTGGAGAAGTAGGTGCCTGACAGCAGATGCAACATTGGTGACTTCCTGGACTGTGGCTTGTCTTCAAGGCACCCTGCCAAGACTTCGGTGTCGGGGGAACTAGAGAATTAGGGTAAAATTTCAGGGCCTCACCTGTACAACATGGTCATAACATTAACACCAGCTACTCTGACATCTGTCAGATCATTTATTTAATTAACATCCCTTTTCTCTGGGCCACCAAAGCAGGGCTGCTTTTCACTGGCCCATCTTCTTTGCATGTATTTCAATAAAAGTTTGGGGGCTATTGTTTCATTGTCATGTTTCCACCTAAAACCTAGTCTGAGGAATAGGGATCTACTTATTTTTGATGCACATGATTTATTTTAGTAAAGTGGACAGATTTTAATGACACTTAGGAACTGAGGCTTTTTTTTTTTTCAGTCATGGTTTTACTTGTAGAAAGCGATCTGTATTTTAAACAAAAAAACACTTAATCTTTGAATTGAAACACATTTAATATGACAGTTAATTTCTTCTTTTCCAAAGGAGAAAATCACAACAGAACTTTAAGAAGTCTCCTATGCAACTGGATACAAATATTGTTGATTCATGGAACGTGATGCCTCTGACATTAAGGGTAATAGTTATTGTTTTGGGTTTAAAACTTCAAGGTCTGGCTCCTCATTTTCAGGGAAGCCTCTTGTATCTGAATAGTGTTTCTGGAATTGTGCTTTGATCAGGTGTATAAGGACTCTGAACCAGGAATGCGGGCTTTACTATACCTGCTCTGAGAATTTGTTTAATTACTCAGCTTCTCTAATCCTTGCTTTCCTCATCTGCACGATGATATTAAATTCATGGGATTGTTATGAGGCTTCAGTGAATTCACGTTTGTGAAATCTAGAAGTACAATGCCTGGAACAGAGAAGATTCTTTCCTTTTCCCCTTTTCTCCAGCCTAAATTAATAACTGGACTTTTAGGAGCAGCAGCGTAGAGGTAGGACTATATGAATGTCATTACAATAATAATAACAAAACTATTTAGATATAAAATTTCCTGCCTCCTCTTTTGTAACTTTCCTATGCACATCATTATCCCTTTTCACTATTGTTTGCTCAGCTTTGGTGTGATTTGTAAAAGCTCCTGGTTATTAAGGGTATAAACCTTATGTTAGGCATAAGGCTGTAACCTTATAACCTTATGTTAGGCATAAGGTTGTAAATTTTTTAAAGTTTTCCTCTTAACAGTATATATGGTATTTTTTGTCATATAGAAATTTCAAGTTTTGTTTTTATGTTGTCAGGTCTATTGTTTTTTTCCAAAAATTGTATGACATATATTGATTTCAGAGATGTTAAAATGTGAAAAAACAAAGTCTTAGATTCAATGGAATAGAATAACAATCTTTTATAGGTTCTGCCTTTGGTGCAATGTATGTGTGTGTGTGTGTGTGTGTGTGTACAAATATTTGTAGGTATGTAAATTGGTCTCATTTTTTGTACTTAAAAGATATTATTGCAAACATGACTGGGTATGGGAATGTTCTCTCCAGCTAAGAAAACTCTAGGAAGAATGTAGTTGCATAGAGCTTAGAAGCCCTGGCATTTGCTTCAGGCATTGCTATGGGATGCTTTAGTCTTGGCTTGTCCGTTGTTGCTAGAATCACGTGCTGCCCTCACTGCTGCTCTTGTCCAGCTGCCACTGTTACTCAATCCCTCCTGATAGATATCTCTGTGGTAGCAACAATTCAAAATTTGCCCTGAGGACAAGGTTAGTATTTCTTGCCAGCACCTGCCACTTTCCCTTCCAGATCCTGACCATGGGAGAAGTGTGTGTGGGTGTGGGGGTAGGGGAGGAGGAGTTACCAAACCCTGTAAAGCAGACATCAAGGTAGAAGGCTAGAATGCCAGGTAAAGGCTCATAGGACAGAGTGCTATAACTACATCTTCACCACTATGACAAAGTTGTCCCACCCACTCTCCGGAAAAGAGTTAATGTTGGTTGAAGATCACGAAGCAGTTGTCCTCCAAAATGCCCCAAGAGTATTAGAATATGATAGAAGATTGTTTATTTGCTAATGAAGACATCAGAACTAGCCGAATGGTTCAAAAATAATTTTAAATACTTTATACATTGAAACAAATCAAGCCACTATAATAATTAGGAGCCCCTTGCTCTGGTGCAGGGCATAATAATCGCTAGCAAATCCTTAGTTGATGACATCACAGTAATCTGAGACAGAGAGGTGGGGACTGTAGTGGACACTTAAAGCAACATTGCTGTGTCTCCTTGGTAATTCATGAATGACAGTTCCCGGCAATTCATGAATGTGACACTTCTCGGTCATTTCTGTGTTTTGGCAGGTACTGGTGGCTTTAAAGCCAGGGAATCAAAGTCCTTAAAGTTGTAATTAATTTTCCTGAAGCTGATAATGAGACCTACTGCGATCCTTTCACATAAGACAGGTCTTTACACACAATTTATGAAAACAGAATAATTAATAGAAAATGATTTCAATTGTCCTCTGTAATATTTCATTGAAATAAATGTTGTAGAGTGGTTTTAGCTCTTGGCAAATCATGCAATAATAATAATAAAAGAGAAGACGGCTGTGTGGGAAAGAGTAGTTATTTTTAAATCTTGGTAGACAAATGGGACCTGCCCACTTGTCTATTGAGCACATCTCTGTAATTTCTCAGAAATTAAACAGCATGACCCTTTGATTGAATCCAAAGCTGGAAGTTTAAATAGATAACTTCAAAGTAATTGGCTTGAAATCCAAGGATCTATTCTGGGATGCTTTAGAAATTTTTATTCCCTTTTCACCTCAGCTTTAAAATATATATAAATGTCAAGGCTTCAGACTTTAAAACTGTTGCTGTTGTACTCCAAACTATTTTCTTATAATTGGCACTGTTCAAATCCTTTTTGGAACAGGATTTGAGCTTGAGTGAGAAGAGAAGGTAGTTTGGAAGAATCAAGAAGTATGTAACAGTGGGATCTAAAAATCTAAACAAAAAGAGGTTAAAGGGACAGATCTGATGTATTTCAGAGGAGCAAGAGTAGAAAGGTGATACATTATCAAAAAGGTCTTCATGCACATGAAGTGTTCTATTCCAGACTTAGGGGATTAGCTGTTCTTCATCTCTGCTAAGGGCAAAATAAAAGGAAATTATTTTGAGACAGAAGCATGAAGAGATTAAGATTAGAGAAGGAATACTTTAAAAATACATGTTTGTTAAACCAAGAACCTCAGCCATCTAAACAAGAGTAAATATGCCAATAATTCTACCATCTTCGTCTGATTAGGCTATGAAATCTTGAATCTTCCTTGGATAGCTTTTAAACTGATATGGAATGGTTAGTATGTTTTATGGTTATTTCCAGTTCTAAGATTGAGTGATCCACTTCATTTCAGCAGGCTCTGTACGTATTATGGACTTGTTTCCCTCTGTTTTTTCCTCTGTTGTCTCCTTCCTTTTTTTTTTCTTATTTTGTATAATATTTAAGAGTATTTTACATGTAGGTGTCATTTATAATTTTTTCCTTACTAAAGTATTCCTTTTTTATTATGGTTCACATTGTAATTCAAGTAGCATAATTATAACATTTTTATTGAGCAGAAAATGACCACTTTTGTATTTTAATTAAAGCATCTTTTTTTTAATTATTTATCTTATCCAGCAGTCATTGAACACTAAAGCTGTGTTATGTGCAACACAGATCTTCTCTCATTTTACCCAGAACAATCTTTTCCTGAGAAATAAGTCTTTGCCCAAAGCAAGACACTCCTGCAGTGTTGAAAGGTGATATGGGCTTTTAGTGTGCACTGTAGCTAACAGCTGGCAATCACTCACCGGTTTAAGAAGTACATGTTGGCCATTTTCTGTCAGTTTTTGGGGGCAAAGAGAAGAATTATCTAAATTTTGGAGGAGAAGGGTTTAGGGGGTTATTTATAGCATCCAGCTAGCCAGAAGAAATGAATGAACAATTCTTAGGTATCATTGACCCAAATATCTTTTCTAAAATAATCCATTACTATTTTCTTTCTTCTTTTTGCTACTTTTTTCTCCCTCTTTCATCCCTTTAAAACTTTGACAATAACAACAACTGATGCTCTCAAGCACCTCCCATATGCCCCATACTAGGAACTGGGGATATAGCAGTCAACAAGACAAACATGTCAGGTCCCCTGCTCTCAGGAAGTTTAAATTTTCTCCATTATTTTGTGCTCACTTATATAACAGGGAACAAACCAGAATTAAATTTTGATTGCATTTTAATTTATTGTTAAATGATACAAGAAAAACACTAAATACACTACTAGTTTTAGACATTCAAAATTTATATAAAGATATTAGGGCTGGGCGCGGTGGCTTACGTCTGTAATCCCAGCACTTTGGGAGGCTGAGGCGGGTGGATCATGAGGTCAGGAGTTCAAGACCAGCCTGGCCAACATAGTGAAACCCTGTCTCTACTAAAAATATAAAAAGATTAGCTGGGCGTGGTGGCAGGCGCCTCTAGTCCCAGCCACTTGGGAATCTGGGACAGGAGAATCGCTTGAACCCCGGAGGCAGAGCTTGCAGTGAGCCGAGATTGCGCCACTACACTCCAGCCTGGGCGGCACAGCGGGACTCTGTCTGGGAAAAAAAAGAAAAAAAGATATTAGTTATACTGTTTATGATGTGAGGAAAATCAAAGTTTGTCAAGTAACTTTGTATTCAGAAGTTTGTGAAGTATTTAGATTGAGTCTTTATCCTAGTATGTAGGTAATGTTAAAGATGATTTTTAAAAAAGTCACTGTGCAAAATTTCCTTGCATATGAACAGTTACCTTGGCATGGACTCTTTTCTTCCCACTGTTACAGGGTAGCTAACTTCCTATTCTCAGTAAAGCTAAGGCAAAGAGAGTCTTTCTGTCACCAAGGTATTCTAGGTTCTAACAAGCATATGGGCATCTCTCCCTTATAAAAGCCATGATATAAACACAGTACTGCTTATATTCTGTAAACAATATTAATGGCTAGAATCAGCTGCATAAATTTCTGGGCTAATTAGATGCTTATGTGCTAACCTGGAAATTTAATCATTGCTGGGAAAATTTTGTTCTGAATTCAAAACGGCTGACTTATAGGTAGACTATGGAATATTACCTGTCCTTGCCCTGGGTATATACAAACCCATTCTCTGTGAAGAGAACAAACACATTTCTATTGTGGCATGTCCATAGTGTTAGAATTGGACCTTGCTCTAGTAGAATTATTATTATTATTATTATTATTTGAGGCAGATTCTCACTCTATCGCCCAGGTTAGAGTGCAGTGGTGCAGTCTTGGCTCACTCCAACCTCTGTCCCCCGGGTTCAAGCAATTCTCCTGCCTCAGCCTCCTGAGAAGCTGGGACTACAGGCACATGCCACCAAGCCTGGCTAATTTTTGTATTTTTGTAGAGAGAGGGTTTCACCATGTTGGCTAGGCTGGTCTTGAACTCCTGACCTCAAGCAATTCACCCCCCTCAGCCTCCCAGAGTTCTAGTAGAATTGTGATCCTAATTAATTTAATACACGTCACTATGAGAAAATGGACTTGCATCATGGATTGAGGATTTGGCCTTTATTCCAAATTAAAACCTGATTATTAACCAGGCTCTAGTCTTATCCTTTGCTGACAGAAAATGGTATGGTCTTTTATATCAAAATTGTAGAGGGCTATTAATTTTCTGTCTATATCAGACATTTCCTAGGTTTTTGGCTACCCAGAGTCTGAACCTCTGTTTTTATCTGGCATGAATTCTTTGTTATGTGGGGTTTTGTGGGAGGCGGGGTTCCTTTTCCAGAAGGGGTCAGATTTTCTTGTCTTTAGAAGCTAGGCTGCAGCCATGTGAATTAGGTTCAGCCAATCACTATTACTCACCCAGAACTTTGAATCTTGAGTGCATAACTCAAAGATGCAGAGACAGTTTATTCTTTTTAGCAGTGGTGGTGTTGAGAGTCCAGCGACATCATTGTCTAGTTGCAGCAGTGGTGATGAGAAAGGTGTGTTAACCAGACTCTTTTGTGGCTGAGTCCCTGTGTCCTAGCCTCCCTTCAGCCTCCCTTGATTCTAGCTCACTTCCAGGTCAGGCTTCTAGCTTTTCCTTCAAGATATTTCTGTATCCTTCAAATATACTTTTTCCCTTTAAGTCTGCCAAAATGGATTTCTATTGCTTGTAACCAAGAACTCTGACTGATACACTGCGTGAAAACTAAGCTAACTGTGGCAGGTTATACTTTCCAAAAATTGTACCACCAATATATATCCTATCCTATATGCTCTTCTAACAGTGTGATTTCACATTCCTCCATTGAGAGGTAGAGGGCTGTGTTCCCCCTGCTTAAACCTATGTGGATGAATAGAATGTGTAGAATTAATAATGATGTGTGGGTTCCAAGGCAAGGCCCTAAAAGGTGATACAACCTCCTCCTGGTCCTCTTTCTTTCCTGTGACATGTGCCTTGGAAACTGAGTCCAGGTACCCTGAATATGCCATATTAGAGAGAGCACATGGAAAGACTATATAGAATTAGAGGGGTATGCCAGAGGAACCCCAGCTGTTCTAGCCCTCAGCTGTTTGAGTTTTCCCAGTGTAGGCAATAGGACAGACATGTGATCAAGCAAGCTGTCCCATGACTTCTCAGCCCCAGCCTTCCAGCTGGCCCAGGTGACATAGGGTAGAGCAGAAATAAACTCTGAGCCCTTCTCCAAACTGCAGATTCATGAACAAAATGAACATTGTTATTATTTTAAGCCCCTTTGCATTCATTTTGCATATATTATATGGCATATATATATTTCCAGAATGATGGCTATTATAAATATTCAAACTGTAACACCTAAATTCTAATCTCTAGCATAGAATTATGCCTTCAGACTCTTACAAGGCAGGATTATTGATATGGAATGTACTTATTTATTTAGTTTCACATTTTTGCATCTTACAGTTTAAGAGAGTGTCATTTGGGCTATTGTAAAATTACTTGGCTGGAATAACATTACAGAGCTTTATTGCTGTTAGAAACAAGGCTATCTTCCATATCAAGATGTTTAAAATACTAGTTTTCTGAATATTTATAGTTGTGTGACAGCTAAATCCATTAATTCTAAGATGTTGCTTGGTAGTCCCCTGTGCAAATAAGTCTCTAAATGTAAGTTCATTCCTTCTATTAGGATCCTAACACATCTTTTGGGAAGCAGGATGAAAATTCTACTTTTCTTTTGGATTTGATATTCCACCTAATAAGGGGATTTGGAGAGAGCTTTAGAAATTAAATAAAATAGCTAGAAGTTATTGAGGATTTACTATGTGCAAGGCACTATGCTAAGTGCCTGCAGGTCTTCTCATTTAATCATTATAACAATTGTATGAGGTAGATTTTTATTACTCTTCCTTTTTTATAGGTGAAGAAACACATTTAGGTTAAGTAAAACTTTCCCAGGTCACATAGCTGGTAGCTGGGATTTGTATCCAGGGCTATATGTGACCCTAAGGTCAGTGTGTTCATAACCGTCATGCAGAATGGCTATGAGTGATACTTCAGCATTTTATCTCCTACCTTCCTCTGACTTGTCCTGGATTATCCTTAAGACTCTTGACATTCAATGTAATACACAAATTCTCGCCCTTTTCACACATTTTTCTTTCAGAATCAAGCCTGCCTTCTCTTATTTGCTGTAAGTCCTAGTCTTGAAGAGTTTTAAGGGACTCCACCAAATCTATTAGGAAGAATATGCAAACATAAGCTTTATGCGAATCTTGATGACCTTGGTGGAACCTTCTTTCATCAATTCCTTAAATCTGCTTTTTGTAGGAAGTGTACAGGTTGTACATAAACGATTCAAAATAACCTATCCTTCATGATGACACCAACTGTTGAGTGTTTAAAGTAGAAGATTCCTACCTCTAATGCTTCAGATTTGAGTAACTTATGACAGTAAATCAAGGGTTTGAGAACTTCTGAGGGAAAAACTTGAAGACCATTCTGGCTTTGTGTGTATGTTTGTGGTTGTGCACTCTCCCTGCCACACTTGTTAGTGTGGAATGATGGCAAACTGTGCTGCTGTAGAGTTGAAGAAGAACAAAGAAAACTGTACTGATGTTGAATGAGATCCTGATTACTTCAGTGTTTTATATGTATATCATGCCTTGCTTCATCAGCATAGATAATTTATAGTAGAAAATTGGCAAACAAGATGTTAGAAGAAATTCATCTCTGTGCTCCTCAGCAAAGCCCAAATCTCTCTGAAAGTGCTCCTGTTACTGCAGACACTGTGCTATTACTATGTGAGTGGCACTACTGAATTCTACTTTAGAGGAATTGATTTACTAGAAAACAATGGGCCTCTGGAAACTCAGCACTCCCATATACTCTGCATTGAGTTACTAGAAGTCCTTTTAATACAGAGTCTCTGTGTGGGCACAACTACAATGCTACAATGGCTGGAGCACCATATTGTGGGTGGCCACGTGGGGGTGGTCATTTTCCCTAATGACACAGAAGGGAATGAAAAAAGGCTTCATGTTGTTTTAGAGTCTTGCACACAGCAGCCTGAGCCTAGCATGTGACAAAAAGCATTTGCTATTTTTATATCCTTTGGGAATGACTTCTGCACCTAGGCAACCAATCATAGGCTAAGAATCCCCAACAACAAGGAAAAGGTTAGTTTTACTAATTAGCCACAGAGAAAGGGACATTGCCACGTTCTGGAGAGTCTAGGTTTGCAGGAATCCAGCCAAGGACAAGGCTTTGCATTTTTTAAAAAGTCTAATATTTGCTTTGGTGTTTCATTGCAGAGACCTAGATTTAATTTGAATACTCTTCAAAGGTCTATTTATCATTAGCCTTGTGTGTCATGGGTATAAATATATCTTCAAACTCAGTTCTGTAAGAAATAATAATAATCAAAAATCTTTTTGAATAGCTTGATTTCCTGCAGAGAACCAGGCTGGAGAAAAATTTGGCTTTTGCCATTTTTGGAGTTCTCATCTCCAAGTTCGTGGCAAGCTAAGTTTTTCACATCTCCAATTTCATGGCAAGATGTGTGCAATTTATTTCAGCTGAGATGCTTCTTGCCTCAGTGTACACATCCTCTTCAGATCTGACAGCTTTCTGTTGCTTTCCAGTTATGCCCAGCTCATAGAAATAATTTTGTTTTTGAGGGTAGGTACCAGGTGCCATCGAAGCAGCATCATTGTCTGGTGTAAATACCTGAGGTTTGTTGTCTCATGCCAAGGAAATAGAGTATGCGGACACATGAGAAGTGGGTTTAGGAGCATAGGTTTAATAGGCAAAAGAAAGAGAAAGGAGAACAGCTCTCTCTCCTACGAGAGAGAGGCTCCCAAGTGGGACTTCCGGTCCAAAGTGAAGTACACTGGATTTTACAGACTGACCTGAGGAGGTGATGTCTGATGTACGTAGGGTCCAAAGATTGGTTGGACAGGTGTGATATTTACATAACACACGAAGGAGCTGGCCACCCCACCCTAATCTTCTTATTAAGCAAATGGGTTTTCTACTTGGCCAGTGCTCTGTTGTCTGCTCCTTACTGTACATGTGGTTGGCAAGGAAGAGGGAAGATGGAGCCACCATGTTGAACATGCCTAAGGTAGTCTTTTCCTATTGGCACAGCTGCAGGCATTCACCTGTGTAAGCTTTCCTATGTCAGCAGCTCGATTTTACAGGCTGCTCTTTGTTAGAGAAGAAATGATTTGGGGGTTGCTTTTCATTAAAAGGGAAACCTTATCGAGGACTTCCTTAACCTCACTATCTGCCTAAATAATTTCTTTTTAACTCCTATAATCACCATCTCCACCCTGCAGGCCATCACACATTGGCCCAGTTGGAGTGCATACAGATAATTCAGCTCACACATGCACTGGCATATGCAAACAAAAGGCTGTCTTAGCTTTAATAAGGATTTGGGTTCAGAGCTCTACTGAGAAGGCATGGAATAGTAGTTCAGGGTTGGTATATCAGTCCACTTGGGATGCTAGAACAAAAAATCATAGACTGGGTGGCTTACACAACAGACATTTATTTCTCATGGTTCTGGAGACTGGGAAGTCTAAAATCAAAGTGCTGGCTTATTTAGTTCCTGCTAAGGGCCCTTTTCCTAGCTTGCGGATGGTTGTTTTATGGCTGTGTCCTCACATGGTGGAGAGAGAAATCACATGAGAGCCAGCTCTCTGGTGGTGTCTTCTTATAAGGGCACTAACCTTGTCATGAGGGCCCCACCCTTGTGACCTCATCTAAACCTACTTACTTCTCAAAGGCCCCATCTCCAGATACCATCACACTGAGAGTTAGGGTTTCATCATATGAATTTTGGGGCGACACAAACATTCAGTCCATAACAGGGC
The DNA here is from genome assembly GCF_000001405.40 of Homo sapiens. Lineage (NCBI taxonomy): Eukaryota > Metazoa > Chordata > Mammalia > Primates > Hominidae > Homo > Homo sapiens. Next base: position 160,878,677 of record NC_000003.12, read on the forward strand.
CCCTTTCAGATTGGCTTGAAGAACCTACAGATATATTAATTGGAGAAGTGGGAGAAGCAGGTACTGTTAAATGTGTAGCCCCTTTTTAAAAATATCAGGTATAGATTATGGAAGGCACCAGTGATCCTTTCCATCATGATGTAGAATATCTTTGCACATTCAGTTTAATAGGATTTCTGCTGGGTGCTAACAGAACACATCTGAACACATTTCATTTATTTATGCCTGATTGAAGAATGTCCCTGTTGTTAGGTCCTCCCTAGGAACCATGACTAAGCTCCAAACATTTATTAAACTCAGAACCTGAATTATTAGCAACTGAGCAACTAGTTCTACTTTGCTTGAGGATAGTGAGGACACCTTGTGTGCAAGGAGAAACATTTGCCTTTTATGCTTTGAATGTAGCAAAGAAAGAGAAGGCAAACAGAACATTTTCATATTAAAAGTTTGAAGGTTATATCCTGCCACAGGGGTAACTAAGAAACTTTCCCATGTATATGGCCCCTACTGGGTGCTTCTGAGAAAGAAATGCTACCTTTTTTTTTCCACTCTCTGTTCAAAGTCACCAAGCATTTGGGGGAAATATTTTATAGAACTTTTAATTTGTTTTCAATTGGATTACTCAAATTCTGAAGTTGAGCAGTTCCATCCCAGGAATGAAGAGTCCTCTGTAAATAGGATTAAGGTCTTTTTACCCTAGATTATAATTAAGGGAATAGATACCTCAAGTGGAGGGAAGTGTCATTAAAAAAAGACTTTCTCCAAGGTCCCCCTCCCCAGTTGCTATCATTATAAATGCTCATTATGTTTTCTTTTTAGCGCTGCATGAGGTACTGGTGGGTGATGGACAGCAAAGAGGACAAGGGAAGAGAAAGAATTTTTGTCCCAAAGGATCCTGTGAATTAGTGAGAATATATACACATGAAAATTTTTAGTAATAATTTGGGTGACATATGGTTAAAAGCCAGAATAAATTGGCAGATAACAAATTCCTTTAGGACATTGGTCAATCAAATCAGAATCCCAGGGCATGCCTGTTAAAACACAGATTTCTATGTCCCACACCTAGAGTTTCTGATTTTGTAAGTCTAGGGTGTGTGCAGCTTGATAATTTGGATTTCTAATAAGTTTTCAGCTGGTGCTTATGCTGCTGATCTGTCCTTTTCTCCAGTCTCTCACAGTGATACAAATTGAGAACTGCTCCTGTAGGAGACCAGAGACTAGAGAGGTCTGCAGTATGATTGCCGTGTGTTGAGATGATGCTTCCTTTCATCATTCACCTGCTGCAGTTACCCATGTTTCTCTTTTCTGGCCCTCATTTTATGACAACAGCTGGTAGCACTCTTTAAAATGTCCACTTCTGTAAAAAGTGCTACCTGGTAGCACTTCTGATGTCATAAGCAGAGAGCATGCCCTTTTCTATAATTAGGTAATTCTCTACAGAGAGAGGAAATTATACCATCTTCTTGGCAGCAGTAGGAGGAGAGGAACAATATTCTTGTTTTGCTTTGACCATTTTTTTTTATCTTTTAACCATTACCTTACAGCATTCACCCCTACATTCCCTAATAGACATTAAGAATTTTTTCTGTAGCCAAAAGCAAATAGGAAACATGAGTTTTCAGATTCACAACCAATTAAGTTAAAATTAGGGAAATGGAGAGGAGAAAAATTGAGAAATGATACAGGGTGAAGAGTTCAAAAAACAAGCCTTTTGGGAAGGAGTTATTTGGTGCTTTTGAGAAGAGCATTTGCTGATTGAGTATATATATATTTCTAGAGAAGAAATGCAATAACATTTTCCCATGCTGCAGGTGAGGCTTTGTCATAATGTTTTACTGCAGTGAAGTGGGAGGTTTCATAGCTGTTAAATTAGTAGCAGTCCAAACTATCATACTCCCAAATATGTGTTCCTACCAAATCATATTACTGGTAAAATAGCATTCTGTGGTTAAAAAAAAAAAAAGTCAAGGAATCCTTACTTAAATTTCTGTTTCTATCAAATACCAATACAGGCAGAATAAAAACTTTTCCTAAAGTATCTGTCCTTTGCTGAAACCAGCTTCTCACCTGCCGAAAGTTTAACACTGACCCAATCAAATTGACTTTCAGCATCTTGAGCAGGGACAAGTTAGAATCTCCTATTTCCACCCCTCTCCACCCAGATTTTGCCACCAGTTATTCTTTTTCCCAGTCTCTCACAGTGATACACATTCAACCCTCTTTCAAATGGTATTAGGATATATAGTAGGATATAATGAAACTTAGTGGAGTTTTTGTGATATAATGAAACTCTGTTTATTTCATAGGACAGTAGATCTTTGATTTTATGGTAATGTTTTAAATGGTTGTATGTGTGATTCTTGATACAGAGAACAGCTTGTGACTTTTCCCACTTTTTCAGCAGCATTTAAAAATAAAACTCTCTAAGGTAATATTCTTCTAACTTAAAGAATATCATTGCATACCTATATTTAGGCACTAAGGAGTACTGTACTATTATGCTGCAAAGATTTTAACTACGGGGCTTGGGAAATAATCTCAATGTGAAGATACATGTTACATCATGTCAGTTATTATTGTTCTATTGTTACTTCCAAGATTCAGGACTTGGTTCTAAGGGAGGGACATTTCTTTTAAATGTTTTGTTTCATTTTTTTCATGATGGAGAGATGACTGAATTACTGTATTGTCAGTTTCTGGAAACTTGAATTATCAGTTTTTTCTAATTCAGCTTGGGAACAGGGCTAGGAGAGAGGACAGTGTGAGAAAGTATGTCAAGCCTGATTGGTATATAATACTGCTCTTGGCCAATATATTTAAAAAATAATTTTCAATACACCTCCCCCATCTTTCTTAAGATGGTGGAATCCTCCAGCATGACTCCAGTTTTCGTTATTTTAGCACTAGACTTTTAATGATTTCAGAATTTCCGTCTGCTTTTGACTATTCTCCCTGGTGTTTTAAAAATATTTATTTCTTCTATTCAGAATTCTCGATAGGGTTTTTATGACATTGACCTCACTTTCTAGTAATGTGTGTCTTATCTCCCAAGATGCTCCTCAGAGTGGTCAAGTAAGAGGTATGTATTCCGGCCGGGCGCGGTGGCTCACGCCTGTAATCCCAGCACTTTGGGAGGCCCAGGCGGGCAGATCACAAGGTCAGGAGATTGAGACCATCCTGGCTAACACAGTGAAACCCCGTCTCTACTAAAAATACAAAAAATTAGCCGGGCGTGGTAACAGGCGTCTGTAATCCCAGCTACTAGGGAGGCTGAGGCAGGAGAATGGTGTGAACTCGGGAAGCGGAGCTTGCAGTGAGCTGAGATTGCACCACTGCACTCCAGCCTAGGGGGCAGAGTGAGACTCTGTCTCAAAAAAAAAAAAAAAGTATGTATTCCATATCATTGATCTTTGAATAAAGTGAAGGAGGAAGACCTGCCTCATATACGTTGTTGAATATCACTTAAAATTTGATCTTAATATTAATTTCCCAAGATTCATGAATAACGCTTTCACTACTGGTTGATGTAATCTATTTCTTCTGCAATTATTTATTAGAGCAGACATCATCCTAGAGGACAGGAAATATCTGATTTCTGGATTATCTAGAACCTTTCCCAGGCCATCTCATCTGGCGCAGGGTAAGCACTTAGTTGAAGTTTGAATTAATGAAGGAATAAATGAAGGAACATGTAAAGCTTTGAGAACAAGTATGCATATTTTAGTTATAGGATCAAGATAGTTATTAAACTGTAATAAAAAGCAGAACTTTTACTTTATTTTAGTTTGATTAGTTTTTGAGTAGGTTCTACAATCATGTTATGTAAAATCAAAAAGATATTGGATTAGTTTCCTAGGGTTCCTAAAATCAGGCCCACTCTAATCCACTGTCATATGACCTCATCTTCACTTAATTACATCTGCAAAGACTCAATTTCCAAATAAGTTCACATTTACAGATATGAGGGTTAGGACTTAAACAGATCTCTTTTTGGGAACACAGATGTACCCACTGCAGATATAAAAGTATATAAATGAAAAGTTTCCCACTCACCGTTGTTCCCAGGTCACCCAGTTGTCCTCCTCAGAGGTCACCAATGTTATTTTACTTTATTTTAAACAACTTTAACTAGTCTAAAAATGATGTAAAGGTAAGTGATTCTCACTTTATCCTATAAGAGACAGTCTTGTTCTTATCTGTTTCATTCATCAAAACTTTTTGGGTTTTAGTCTTCAAATTTATCCCATGTCCTCAGCTGGGTTCAGGGATGGGGAGAAAAGGCAAAATGTTCAAGTAGACACTAAATATAGTAAACCTGTATTAATCATTGAGTGAAATATATTCTACATGCACGTAACTCCCTCATTAAATGTCAGGCATTATGTGGGTAGCACTTAATCACTCATTTGCTGGCACAAAGTAGATTGCTCTAGTTTTAAATCCTAGTAACATTAAGTCTTACAGCATTTTGTTGTCAGTTTTTTACTTAAATACATGTTATTAAATAGTTTGGGAATAAATTTGTTGTTATGCATGTATTATATTGCTGTTAATGATGCTGTTAAAATAAAACTTTTTTTTACCTGACAGTGCTATATGGAATTAGATGAAATTTATGAAATGTAGTTGCATTCCATGATACTTAACAAAATATATGTGATATCCTGTGTCTTAAAAATGAAATATGTGTACAAAAGCTATGTATAATGCTGCATAGTAGCAAATTAAATGATCTGAAAAGTCCTGCAGTAAGCAACCAGTTTAGGCTACATTTTCCCGTAAAGTCTTTCTTTAAAAACAACTACATCCTGCATTACTATTGTTTCCCAGAATACACTTTGAGAAATGAAGGTCTACAAACCGAAGACAGAGTTAGAACAGTGAGTCAGAAGCCAGGCAGTGAATTAGGGCAGAAAAATAGAACTTTTATGCTGCCTACCTCCAGTAGGAGATGACTTAGGTCCTTTTTGTTTCCATAGGATGTGGCACAGGACATGGGGCGAGGGAGAAAGAAGTTAGGGGAAAGAGACTGGGTTTGGGGGCCTGGGCTTTGGGGCTAGGCAGATTGGGTGTAATTCCCAGCACTGCCACTGACTAGTTATATGATCTTAGACAAGTTGCTCCATTTTTCTAAGCCTAAATTTCTTTATCCACCAGGAGTTTGAGACCAGCCTGAGCAACTTAGTGAGACCTTGTCTCTACAAAAAAAAAAAAAAAAAAATTAAAAATTAAAAAAAAAATCTATCCAGGCATGGTGGTGGGCACCTGTGGTCCCAGCTACTCTGGAGGCTGAGGTAGGAGGATTTCTTGAGCCTGGGAGTTTGAGACTGCCACGAGCTGTGATTGAGCCACTGCACTCCAGCCTGGGAGACAGAGTGAGACCCTGTCTCAAAAACCATTTTTTTTTTCTTCATCTAAATAGGGGGAAGACACAATTCCTATCCCTAAAGAATTTACCATTTAATTGGGACATGAGATTAGAAGACCTACGGTTATGTAAAGATAATATGATTATTGCTTTAAGAGATATACAATGTGATTGGGAGTTTTGAAGGAGGGAGAAGCCAGTTAGTTGTGGACAATCAAGAAAGGCTTTGTGGAGGAGCTGGCATTTAGGTGTGTAGGTCTCCATGGGTTAGTAAAGCTTCAACATTTGGAGACTTGTTAGTGGAGAGTGCATTCCAGGTATTAATAGATCAAGAAGCAAGAGCAAAGGTATGGAGATGGGAAAGGAAAGACATTTTAAAGAATAGCAAGTGGCCTCATTTCTCTGGAGACAGTAGAAATGAAGCAGCCATTAAACTTTGTGACCTATGTGCTGTAAGGGACCCAGTGGCACTGATAGTTTTAGCAGTGCTGATAGTGGCTTTTGAGTAGACTAATGTATTTAATAATCGCTTTGACACCATTACGAAGTAAACAACCTTGTACTTGAGTAGAATTTAGCTTCTGCTGGATGGTCCCTGTCCTGAGGTGCTAGTACACATATTTTAATCTGGCACAGAGCCCACATACAATGGAATGGGGCCACTTTCATAAATATTTCAGGATTTCTAAATTATCTTCCCTGAACAATGTTGAGGGAAAGCTTAGTAGATGAATAAGATTTTAAGACCACTAAATAAAATAAAACAGATTTCTTTACTCATAAACTTCTAAGAAAGTTTGCTATGCTAATGAGTAGTGTTAGTCCCATGGAGGGAGATTTAGTGTGTGGGATTCTCTGAACTTGGACCTCAGAACCTTCTGTTGTTCCCTGATCTCATACTGACACCTCCTCAAAAGATGTTCTCTTCTTATGTTTGAAGTCAGTGTTCTTATTACCTGTGGAGCTTTTTCAAAAGGCAAATTCTATAGTTCTTTTCTTTACCCTTGTCACCTTCAAGCATATTAGACTCTTGGCATGTAGGGGAGGGATAGGTACTCAGTAGGATAGTACCTCTCACTCCCTATCTCCACCCCTTCACTGACCTGACCTAAGGTATTAGAAATCATTCTGTCAATCACATGAACAATTAAGGCCCACTCTCTAAATCCCTAATTGCTTACTTTTTTTTGGGTAAGAAAACCTTTTTTAAAAGCTATGAAGAAAAATATAAATAGATTTATGTAAGCAAAGGCAAAGGTTATAGATCACCCTAGAATAGTAGCAGATCATTGGAGAAGAGTATAACATGCCTAGACTATTATGAATGCATTAGGTAGGATGTTCTTGTGTTGCTATAAAGAAATACATGAGGGGGGCAAGGCCAAGATGGCCAACTACAAACAGTGGTGATTGGAGACTCCCATTGAAAAGAACCATAATAAACATGTGAATCCTTCACTGGCAACCAAGATATCCAGGTTCTCTCATCAGAACCAACTAGACTCTGGCTGGCATGATCCACGAAGAGGAGGGAACACAGTGTGGTGTGGTGGCCCACCTGAGAGCCACACGGGGCAGAGGAGCCCCCAACCCACAGCCAAGGGAGGCAGTGAGTGAGCATGCTACCTAGCCGGGGAAACTGAGCATTATCCACAGAACTCTGTCAGCCACGGATCGGAAGATCCCACTCACCTACCCACGCCACGGGGTCTAGGGTCCCAACCCTGGAGCTGCGCAGATTCTCAACAGCCTCTCAGCTGCAATCTGCTTAAGCCTGCGGAGCTCCCCTGGGGGAGGGGCAACCAGCACCACAGCTGTGGCTGCCTGCTGTGTAAGCCATGTGAGCTCCTTGGGGGAGGGGCAGCAGCCAGCACTGGGACTCATAACTGCCTAACACACTAACCTCCCTGGGTGGGGGAAGGGCGTCATTCATCTCTATAGCTCCAGGCCACACTTTGCTTTTCCCCTGCTGGAGCCAGTGAGGCTGGATGGCTTGGTCCCAAAAGGTGTCCCCCACAGGCCAACACACCAGCTGTGGCGGACTGCAGCCAGAAAGCCTCTTCAGGCCTGACCCTGACTCATATTTCCTTACTGGGCGGGGCTCCCTGCAGTAACTCCAACAACTCCAGCCAGAGGCTCAGGGACAGAACACGGATCTCCCTGGGCCTGTGCCCCTAGTGGGAGGGATGGCTGTAGTCTCTGTGGACCAGCAGACTTAGGTTTTCTTCCTGGCAGTTCTGAGGAATCTGGGCAGCCCAGATGAGTGGGTTTCCCCCAGCAAAGCACACCCCATCCACAAAGGGACAAAGTGCTTCGTTAAATGGGTCCTGTTCCCTGTACCACCTAAATGGGTGAGACCCTCCAACAGGGGTTTTCAGACACTCTATACAGGAGCAATCCTACTGGCATCAGATTGGTGCCCCTTGAGGTCAGAGATCCCAGAAGAAGGATCAGGCACCCATCTTTGCTGTTCTGCAGCCTTTTTGAGTGACACCTCCAGGCACAGGAGCGAACCAGATGAATACGGCCTGAAGTGAATCCCCAGCAAACCGCAGCAGCCCTACAGAAGAGGGACCTGACCATTGAAAGAAAGACAACAGAAAGCCACAACATCTGCATCAACAACAACAAAAAGTCCCCACAAAAACCCCATTCAAGGGTCAGTAGCTTCAAAGATGGAAACTAGACAAACTCAAGAAGATGAGAAAAAAATCAACAAAAAAACGCAGAAAACCCAAAAGGCCAGAGGGCCTCTTTTCCTCCAAATGATTGCAACATCTCTTCAAGGAACAGAACTAGATGGAGGATGAGGTGGACAAATTCACAGAAGTAGACTTCAGAAGGTGGGTAATAAAAAACTACACTGAGCTAAAGGAGCATGTTCTAACCCAATGCAAAGAAGCTAAGAACCTTGATAAAAGGTTAGAGGAGCTGCTAACTAGAATAACCAGTTTAGAGAGGAACATAAATGACCTGATGGAGCTGAAAAATATAGCACAAGAGCTTCGTGAAGCATAGATAAGTATCAATAGCTGAATCAATCAAGCAGAAGAAAGGATATCAGAGTTTTAAGACCATCTTGCTTAAATAATGCATGCAGACAAGATTAGAGAAAAAACAATGAAAAGGAATGAACAAAGTCTCCAAGAAATATGGGACTTCATAAAAAGACTGAAACTATGATTGATTGGAGTACCTGAAGGAGACGGGGAGAATAAAAACAAGGTGGAAAACACACTTCAGGATACATCCAGGAGAACTTCCCCAACTGAGCAAGACAGGCCAACATGCAAATTCAGGAAATACAGAGAACACCACTAAGATACTCCAGAGAACACCACTAAGATACTCCATGAAAAGATCAACCTCAAGACACATAATCATAAAATTCTCCAAGGTTGAAATGAAGGAAAAAAAAGCGAGAGAGAAAGACCAGGTCACCTACAAAGGGAAGCCCATCAGATTAACAGCAGATCTCTCAGCAGAAACTCTACAAGCCAGAAGAGATTGGGGGCTAATATTCAACTTTTTTTTTTTTCTTTTTTTTTTTTGAGATGGAGTCTCGCTCTGTCACCCACGCTGGAGTGCAGTGGCGCAATCTTGGCTCACTGCAAGCTCCACCTCCCAGGTTCACCCCATTCTCCTGCCTCAGCCTCCCTAGTAGCTGGGACTATAGGCACCCACCACCATGCCCGGCTAATTTTTTTTTGTATTTTTAGTAGAGACAGGGTTTCACCATGTTAGCCAGGATGGTCTCGATTTCCTGACCTCATGATCTGCCCGCCTCCTAAAGTGCTGGGATTATAGGCGTGAGCCACTGTGCCCAGCCTCCAACATTCTTAAAGAAAAGAATTCTCAACCTAGAATTTTGTATCTAGCCAAACTAAGCTTCATAAGTGAAGGGGAAATAAAATTCTTTCCAGATAAGAAAATGCTGAGGGATTTCATTATCACTAGGCCTGCCTTGCAAGAGCTCCTGAAAGAAGCACTAAATACGAAAAGGAAAAACTGTTACTAGCCACTGCAAAAACACACAAAATATAAAGACCAATGACACTATGAAGAAACTGCATCAACTAGTGTGCAAAATAACCAGATAGCATCATGATGACAGGATCAAATTCACACATAATAATACTAACCTTAAATGTAAATGGGCTAAATGCCACAATTAAAAGACACAGACTGGCAAGTTGGATACAGAGTCAAGACCCATTAGCGTGCCATATTCAGGAGACCCATCCACATGTAGAGACACACATAGGCTCAAAATAAAGGGATGGAGGAATATTTAGCAAGCAAATGGAAAGCAAAGAAAGCAGGGGTTTCAATCCTCATCTCTGACAAAACGGACTTTAAACCAACAAAGATCAAAAAGGATAAAGAAGGGCATTACATAATGGTAAAGGAAACAATTCAACAAGAAGGGCTAACTATCCAAATCATATATGCACCCAATACAGGAGTACCCAGATTCATAAAACAAGTTCTTAGAGACCTACAAAGAGACTTAGACTCCCACACAATAATAGTGGGAGACTTTAACTCCCCACTGTCAATATTAGATCAATGAGACAGAAAATTAACAAGGATATTCAGGACTTGAACTCAGCTCTGGATCAAGTGGACCTAATAGACATCTACAGAACTCTCCACCTCAAATCAACAGAATATACATTCTTCTCAGTGGCATATGGCACTTAATCTAAAATCTACCACATAAGTAAAACATTCCTCAGCAAATGCAAAAGAACTGAAATCATAACAGACCACAGACCACAGTGCAGTTACATGGAAATTGAATAAGCTGCTTCTGAATGACTCCTGGATAAATAATGAAATTAGGGCAGAAATAAAGAAGTTCTAAATGAAGAAGAAATAAAGGAATAAAGAAGAAATAAAGGATGGAGAACAAAGAGACAATGTACCAAAATCTCTGGGACACAGCTAAAGCAGTGTTAAGAGGGAAATTTATAGCACTAAATGCCCACATCAGAAAGCTAGAAAGATTTCAAATGAACACCCTAACATTACAATTAAAAGAGCTAGAGAGGCAGGAGCAAACTAATCCAATAGCTAGCAGAAGACAAGAAATAACTAAGATCAGAGCAGAGTTGAAGTAGATAGAGACATGAAAAATTCTCCAAAAATAATCAATGAATCCAGAAGTTGGTTTTTTGAAAAAATTAATAAAATAGATAGACCACTAGCTAGACTAATAACGAAGAAAACAGAATAATCAAATAGAAACAAAAAATGATAACGGGGATATCACCACTGACACCATAGAAATACAAACTACCATCAGAGAATACTATAAACACCTCTACACAAATAAACTAGAAAATCTAGAAGAAATGGATAAATACTTGGACATATACACCCTCCCAAGACTAAGTCAGGAAGAAGTTGAATCCTTGGATGAGACCAATAAAAAGTTCTGAAATTGAGGCAGTAATTAATGGCCTACCAACCAAAAAAAGCCCAGGACCAGATGGATTCACAGCTGAATTCTATTACAGGTACAAAGAGGAGCTGGTATCATTCCTTCTGAAACTATTCCAAACAGTTGAAAAGGAGGGACTCCTCCCTAACTCATTTTGTGAAGCCAGCATCATCCTGATACCAAAACTAGGCAGAAACACACGCAAAAAAACAAAACTTCAGGCTAGTGTCTCTGATGAACATCGATGCAAAAATCCTCAATAAAATACTGGCAAACTGAGTTCAGTAGCATATCAAAAAACGTATCCACCACAATCAAGTCAGCTTCATCCCTGGGATGCAAGGCTGGTTCAACATATGCAAATCAATAAACATAATCCATCACATGAACAGAACCAAAGACAGAACCACATGATTATCTCAATAGATGCAGAAAAGGCCTTGATAAAATTCAACATCCTTTCATGTTAAAAACTCAAACTGGGTTTTGATAGAACATATCTCAAAATAATAAGAGCAATTTATGACAAACCCACAGCCAATATAATATTTAATGGGCAAAAGTTGGAAGCATTTCCTTTGAAAACTGGTACAAGGCAAGGATCCCCACTCTCACCACTCCTGTTCAACATAGTATTGGAAGTTTTGGCCAGAGCTATCAGGCAAGAGAAAGAAGTAAAGGGTATTCACATAGGAAGACAGGAGGTCAAATTGTCTGTTTGCAGACAACATGTTTTTATATTTAGAAAACCCCATCATCTCAGCCCAAAACTCCTTTAGCTTATACGCAACTTCAGCAGTCTCAGGATACAAAATCAATGTGCAAAAATCACAAGCATGCCTTTACACCAACAATAGACAAGCAGCGAGCCAAATCATGAACTCCTATTCACAAATTGCTACAAAGAGAATAAAATACCTAGGAATACAGCTAACGAGATGTGAAGGACCTCTTCAAAATACACCACACTACTCAAGGAAATAAGACAGGACACAAAGGGAAAAACATTTCATCCTCATGGATAGTAAGAATCAATATTGTGAAAATGGCCATAGTGCCCAAAGTAATTCATATATTCAATGCTATTCCTATCAAACTACCATTGACATTCTTCACAGAGTTAGAAAAAACTACTTTAAATTTCATGTGGAATCAAAGAAGACCCCATATAGCCAAGACAATCCTAAGCAAAAAGAACAACCTGGAGGCATCATGCTACCTGACTTCAAATTATACTACAAGACTACAGTAACAAAAACAGCATGGTACTGTTACCAAAACAGACATATAGACCTATGGTACAGAGGAGACCTCAGAAATAACGCCACACATCTACAACCATCTGAGCTTCGACAAACCTGACAAAAATAAGCAATGGGGAAAGGATCTCCTATTCAATAAATGGTGCTAGGAAAACTGGCCAGCCATATGCAGAAAACTGAAACTGGACCCCTTCTTTACACCTTATACAAAAATTAACTCAGGATGGATTAAAGACTTAAATGTAAAACCCAAAACCATAAATCCCCTAGAAGAAAACGTAGGCAGTACCATTGAGGACATAGGCATGGGCAAAGACTTCATGATGGAAACACCAAAAGTAATTGCAACAAAAGCCAAAATTGACAAATGTGATCTAATTAAACTAAAGAGCTTCTGCACAGCAAAAGAAACTATCATCAGAGTGAACAGGTAACCTTCAGAATGGGAGAAAATGTTTGCCATCTACCCATCTGACAGAGGTCTAATATCCAAAATTTACAAGGAGCTTAAACAAATTTACAAAGAAAATTTAAAGAAAAAAAACAACCCCATCAAAAAGTGGGCAAAGAATATGAACAGAATATTTCAAGAATGTCTTCTTGAAAGAAGACATTCATGCAGCCAACAACTATGAAAAAAAGCTCAGCATCACTGATCATTAGAGAAATGCAAATCAAAACCATAATGAGATACCATCTCACACCAGTCAGAATGGTGATTATTAAAAAGTCAGGAAACAATAGATGCTGGCAAGGCTGTGGAGAACAAAGGAATGCTTTTACACTGTTGGTGGGAGGGTAAATTAGTTCAACCATTGTGCAAGACAGCATGGCGATTCCTCAAGGATCTAGAACCAGAAATACCATTTGACCCAGCAATCCCATTACTGGGTATATACCCAAAGGAATATTAATCATTCTACTATAAAGACACATGCACACGTATGTTTATTGCAGCACTATTTACAACAGCAAAGTCATGGAACCAACACAAATGCCCATCAGTGATAGACTGGATAAAGAAAATGTGGTACATGTACACCATGGAATACTATGCAGTCATAAAAAGGATGAAATTATGTCCTTTGCAGGAATGTGGATGAAGCTGGAAGCCATCATCCTCAGGAAACTAATACAGGAACAGAAAACCAAACGCCACATGTTCTCACTCATAACTGGGAGTTGAATAATGAGAACATATGGACACAGGGAGGGGAACATCACACACCGGGGCCTGTCAGGGGGTGGAGGGCTAGGGGAGGGATAGCATTAGGAGAAATATCTAATGTTGATGACGGGTTGATGGGTGCAGCAAACCACCACGTCACATGTATACCTATGTAACAAACCTGCGCGTTCTTCACATGTATCCCGGAACTTAAAATAAAATAAAATGGAAATATATGAGGCTGGATAATTTATAAAGAAAAGTTTAATTGGCTCACAGTTCTGTAGGCTATACAGGCATGGTGCTGGCATCTGCTTGGCTTCTGGGGAAGCCTCAGGGAGCTTTTATTCGTGGCAAAAGGTGAAGAGGGAGCAGGCACATCACATGGCGAGAGCAGGAGCAAGGCTGGGGGAGATACCACACATTTTTAAATGACCAGATCTCATGAGGTCTCACTCACTATGGCAAGGACAGAACTAAGACATGAGGAATCCACCCCCATGACCCACACATCTCCAACCAGGCCCTACCTCCAACACTGGGGATTAAATTTCAACATGAGATTTGGACTGGACAAATATCCAAACCATGTCAGTGAATATATTTTAGAGTTTAAAAGTCTGTTTCTAAGCTTAACTTTGATATGAATAATTTAAACACACATGAATGTGCCTTCAAACCAAACTATACAATGTGTAAAAACCCCTTCGTTCCACATTGGGGTTTCGTATTATGAAATATAAAAAAGAAAAAAAAAAGAAATACGTTATTTGGCTCAGAATTATCAAGAATCTGCTCTGCAACTAATATTACTTCTCACTACACATTTCTTTTTATTTCTCAGATTCTTAGCACTTTTTGAGAGATCAGAGAAAAGATAAATTTAAAGATTTTACTACTTGTTATCATCTCTAGATGCGAAGGAGATTACAATTAATCATTAGATTCACAGAATTCATTGATAATAAAAATTATTATTCTTTTGGCCATATAACAGGATTTCTGTTTCTAATGTAGGTGTTTGATATTTTAACAAAGATCCCTATGTTACTTTTTCTTAATAGTTTTCAGTTGGAATGATATACATGTCATATATATATAACTGGAGTTAGAATGTTATATTGTACAATCATTGCATATATAAAGGTAATATAAGGTAGACCTAAGAAGGCCATTTGCAGTAATACTTGGAAGCAAAATTTCTTAACTTCCTGATGAAGAACCTTAAAATATGTTGAACTTGCTTTCCTCTCATCATCAAATTGCACATACTTCCTGTTAGAAATGTTAACATCTCTCCTTATTTTTGTGAGGGACAAATATTTTCTCTGTATAGAAGGCAGGGAACCAATATAGGGAAATTCCTAAAGGAATGTGTGTAAGTTGCCAGCATTCATACCTCCTGAGATGTTTCTAAAAGCATCATGAATAGTATATAGTGAACATCTTCCCTCCAGCTGAGCTTTTGAAATAGCTCACTCAGCATTTTTGTTTAACAATATCCCTGGGACATAAACCAAATAGCATTTCCTATTCAGTCTCATCTGTCATTTTCCTGATTTCACAACCAGCCTCCAGATGTCAAAATATGAAGGTGAATGTGAATGAAATTGTTTTTCTATCAGAGCTCCCTAAATGAAATAGACCAAGATTATCCTGTACCCCTGATGCCCCAATAAATTGGTCAGTCGTCCCAAAGTAAAAGCTTGACCCCATGAGTTTCTAAATCATTTCCAACGTGTATTGTAGTTTAAAACAAAAAATTATGCTATACTTGAAGGCCATTTTAGCTGAGTTATAAAATTTGCTTCTATAAATCTTGCCAGAGTAAAATGGGCCTTGGATAATCATCAAAACAAATACAGATGGTCCCTGACTTATGATGGTTCAACTTATAATTTTTCTACTTTGTGGTGGTACAAAAGCAATACCATTTAGTAGAAACCAAGCTTCAAATTTTGAATTTTGATTTTTTCCTAGACTAGGGATATGTGGTATGATACTTTTACATGAGATAGTCAACACTTTTTTATAAAATAGGGTTTGTGTTAGATGATCTTGCTCAACTAGGCTAATGTAAGTGTTCTGAGCACATTTAAGGTAGGCTAGGCTAGACTATGTTGTTCAGTAGGTTAGGTATATTAAATACATTTTTGACTTATGATATTTTCAATGTATGATGGGTTTATCAGGATGTAACTGCATCGTGAGTTAAGGTGCAGTTGTATTCTAAGACCTCTACAAAAAACATTGACAGCCTATTGCTGTTTTAATATCTGTGGGATTGCATTCTTACAATTTAGATGTAGATTTAGATTAGATTTAGACCATTGGTTTCTGTTTCCATTACAACCACTTAATATATAATATGAATCTGGCTCCAAGGCATGGGAGAAACATGTAAAAGTGCACTGTCAAACACCATATGTAACTGTTGGCTATATTGATTTTGTGGCACTTATCTATTCTGTGTGCATTTAGGTTTTTGAAGTATGCAAGTTTTATCATATTCTACTGGGAAAAATGGCTGATGTAGTCTTTTGAATGGCCCCTCACACACCACAAAGCTTGGGAATTCTAGATTCAAATAATTTTTAGGAAAGAAGGACTCCTAAATATTACCTATTTGAGTTGTTTGTTTTTTCAGAGGCCTGGAAAGGTAAGATGCCTTGCCCAAGATCACAAAGCCAGTTAGTGGCAGAGCTGAGTTAGGAACCCTGTAATTCCCAGATACTCAGTTTATTATTTATTCTTCAATTCATTCTTTAGGAATCTTTATTAGCAATAGCATCAACAATCACAAAACATGCTTGTTTTGCCCATTTTGGTTGGTGTACTCTTTCAGTTTTTTCCATAAAAAGTATACTCAGTAACAAATCTGCCTTCAGCATAATTTCCCATAATCAAACATCATGATTAATTTTAAAGTATGAATCTAATGATTTTGGCACTCTAGATTCTTGTGATATTTTACTTCACTTTGTATAAACTTAATTTATTTATCTGTTTTGATTCCTTTTTACTGAGTTATATATCTTCCACCTTTTTTCCTATACCTTTTATTAAACTGTGCCTTGGAGAAGAAAATGGATTTTTCATAGCTTGTATTCTGTGTTACAGTCACATTATTGCTTAAAAATAGAGGTTAGATGTAACCAGGGACATTACTGTAGTATAGCCAACTTGGAATTTCTTCCTCCTTTGGTGAGCTGATGGGAAAAGCTCTTGACTTGCCATTGGAAGACCTGGCTAAATTCCTGCAGTGCCACATTTCACCCATTTGTGGGGTTTTTTTGTTTGTTTTTTAGAGACAGGATCTCATTCTGTTACCCAGGCTGGGGTGCAGTGGCATAATAATAGCTCATTGGAGCTTTAAACTCTTGGGCTCAAGCAATCCTCCCACCTCAATCTCCTGAGTAGCTGGGACTACAGGTGTGCACCACTGTGCCTGGCTAATTTTTTTTGTTTGTTTTTTATAGAGACCAGGTCTTGCTATATTGCCCAGGCTGGTCTCAAACTCCTGGCTTCAAGCAATCCTCCCACCTTGGCCTCCCAAAGTAATGGGATTACAGGCATGAACCACCATGCCCAGCCCACCTGCTGTTTTAATTTGGGTCATCACTAACCCCTCTGAACCTTTTTCATGATAGATAGAATGGGAATAATACTTGTCTATTTTGTGTCTTGGAATGTGACCCTCATAGCAATTCTGAGAAATTTATAAAGGAGTACTTTGTTTTGTTTGTGGTTCTTGATCCTTTGGTTATCTTCTTTTAATAGGGACATCAAGAGTGTCACCTCAAACCCCCAATATCTGTTGGTGAATAAAAAGGTGATGATGGAGAAAATGTTTTATAAATTGAAAAATGCAGTCTAAAGTGGTCTAATATTGTTACCAAGTAATCCCCAAAAGTTTTTAAATTGGTACCTAGGGATCAAGAAACTGCTTCACTCTATTTGCTGTGCTTTCTTATCTTTCAAAATTTTACCCTTCCATAAAGACACCTTTCAAATGCTTGATTTCTCTTTTGTCTTTTCTGATTCACCTTCTCCCTACCCCAACATTAGCTTGGATCTCATGTTCATTTATTTTTTACTTAGTCCAGAACTAGAATGATAGCAACTTTAGGGACTGCTCTCATGAAGCATTTGAAGGAGGAGAAGGCCTTGCATATGATAGTTGCTTAGTAATATCTCTTAAAGTGAGATTTAGGGAAAATGCATTTTTTAGCGTTATCAATTTCTTCCTTATAATTTTACTTTGAATTACTTATTTAAAGTTTAAATAATAGTGTATGGGAAAAAAATCTTTATTTTTAAACGCCTTCTAGTATGTATTCTTTTATGGGCTGGAATTTGAATGGTTGAAAACAGTAGCATTTTAGAGGATTAAAATTTATAAATTAATTTATCTAAACATCTTTTTTGAAAACCTTCATTTAAAAAATCTATTTTCCATTTATATTTTTCATTTCTCTCTAGGTGATCATATTTAAGTATTGTAAGTTAAGGACCTGGGCAAATAATTCCTCAAAAATTATATTAATTTATTTTTAAAAGGAAGTTTATTCACTTACTCACGGCAAACCAACTTTAAAGATAAAAATGTGTTGCCTTAAAGACTGAAGACATGTTCAAGATGGCAAAAAGAGTCTTCCTACCCCTTTTAAAAAGTAAATGCAGAAGCCGTTGTGAGCAGTGATACTTCATGTTTTGTTTTCCAGTAGTAGAAGTGTTTTAAAATGATAAGTGTTCTTTAAAATGTTATGGTCAAAAAGAAAAGATATTTATTGGCTGGGAGACTTGGGCTTCTGATAGCTTTGCCTGGAATTATGATGGAAATTTTGACAGAATCATAACTCAAGTTGACATTAATGGGAATCACTTCCTTATGATTTTGTGTAGCCTAATAAAAAGGTCATTTGAAAATTTTAGATAATCAGATGGTTTAATGGCCAAGTAGAAATAGCACTTTATTTTTTGTGTGTTAATCTTTGGGTGCTTCCACTAAATGTAGATTTAGTGTGTGTCTTTCCTTTGACTGTTAACACCTCTTACAGCTATAGTGATTGCTAGTCTAGTCACAGTCAGTGGCTGACATTTCTATGACTACTGACTCTTTTTTTTTTTTTTTTTTTGAGATGGAGTCTTGCTCTTTCACCAGGCTGGAGTGCAGTGGTGTGATCTTGGCTCACTGCAACCTCCACCTCCCGGGTTCAAGTGATTCGCCTGCCTCAGCCTCCCGAGCAGCCAGGATTACAGGCGCCTGCCACCACACCCAGCTAATATTTGTATTTTTAGTAGAGATGGGGTTTCACCATGTTGGCCAGGATGGTCTCGATCTCTTGACCTCGTGATCCACCCGACTTGGCCTCCCAAAGTGCTGGGATTACAGGTGTGAGCCACCGTGCCTGGCCAACTACTGACTCTTATAAAGATTTATTACCAGATGATGACATTGCTCCTGATGTCTCTAACTAGGTGGTCCCCCTTCACTTTTCTTAGTCTTCTGCCATGACCCCTCCCTGTACCTCTATAGTGGAAGTGGTTCACATTAGTTCGTCCTTAACCTTAATTCTAACATAAATGAATGTGGAATACCGCAAAGAGACCAAAAGAGCTAGCTGTATGCTAGCACTGGCTCTGACAGCTAACAAGCTTTAAGGCTTTGAGCAAAGGACTTCTCCTCTCCAGATTTCTTTTTCCTGATTTGTAATATGTGCATTGGATTAGGTGATCTCAAAGATACCTCTCCCTTCTAAGATTTTATATTCATCAAAATTCATCTGCCAGAATGGCACTGTGATAATTAGATAGACTGCCAGCTGGATGCAGGGAAATAGCAGAGCTAAAAGCTCCAGTCTAAACTATCCCTGGTGAATATTCATTTTTGCATATTTTAATAACAATACTCTCAGTGTCTCACCTCCACCCAGTCACTCTTGCACCCTGTCACTCACTTAGCAAGACCCTTTCTTTTCCTTCACGTTTTACAACTCTGTAATTTAACAAAATCCATTAGTACCAACAAAATGGAGTAACAGTGATGTTTTAATATATGGCATGTACCCTTAATATCATTACTAGTATTTGAGAAACTAAATGAAAGATTTTTAACTTTGACTTTTAAGGAAGAAAAAAAAATCACCTTTCTTTATTTAATGAGTAAAAAGGACCTCCAGTAAAGAGTAATGCACCATAATTGTTATTCACTTCACACTCATTCCTTTTTTTGGCATGCAGAGCCTCATATATTCTTAAGCATAAAATGCTGGATGACATATTAAATGAAGGGTCATTCTGGAAAATAAAATAGACAAAATGGCTTTACTCTCAAAGATAATTGTGAAGTAAAAACCAAAATAATAGCTTATTCATAACTATTTGGAGGCCTTTCTTAAGTCCAGAAAGGTCAGAGGGAAATTGAATAAATGTCAACACTGTCAGGTGGGGAGACTCTCAGCGTCTCCTGAGGAATTTAATTTATATTAATGAGAAGTGAGACCTGCTTAGGGCCCTCTCAGAGACTGCTCTGGTGTCAAATTTTAATGATTTAACTTCATGAAAAGGATTCCTAACAAGTTATCCAACAAGATAACCTCACATAAGATTGCTTTTTAATTGTGAGGCCTCAATTGCTCTGACCTCCCCAAACCACAGGCACATGTTGGGGCTTCTTGAGGACTTGCCTCACCAAGTCGATAACTTGCCGTCAGTTCTGGCCCTTCTAGGGGACCAGGTGAACCAAGTGAGATTCTGACGATAAAGTTCTAATTCAATTCAGCAGACATTCATGAAGACCTATCACTGGGGCAATGTGTGAGTGACAATAGTAGGTGCCACTTATGAACACTTAATGTGTGTCAGGCTCCCTGCTCAACGTTTTATGTTCCCAATTTCTAATCTTCATAGCAACGTTACAGAATTACAGATGTGGAGAAGGAGACTCAGAGACATTAAGTTAACATGCTCAAGATTATAAGTATTGCCAAGTAGCTAGCAGAACCAGGATTCGTTAGGTCAGTTTGCCTCCCAAATCCATGGCTTTCTGCTACTCACCTATGTCTTAGGTTTTTTTCTTTACTCATCTAACGTTCCAGTGTTCATAATAGCTTTCCTTTGTCTAGCTATGTTCCAGATACTGTGCTGGGTGTTTTATTATGTAAACCTACTGAATAGATGATAGTAGCCCCACTAATGAAAAAGGAGGGATGGAGGATTCAGCAGCTTGCCCCAGATCACACAGGTAGAAAATGGCAGGGCTAAAATTCTAACTGAGATCTAACTGATCTTCCAAACCTATGCTCTTACGATTAGAGAACAGTGACTTTAACAGTGCTGTGCCCTGAGGTGATACAGAAGTGTTAAAGCAGGCCTGTTCACTCTGATAGCTGAAAAGTCCACTGGGTTGAGATGGACTTGGACTCAAGTGTCTGTAAAGCCAAGCAGAATAAATGTGAAATGAAGTGATTTTGAAAAGATGTTGGGGAAGTACAGGGGTAAGGAAGATTAATTCCAAATAGAAGGCACAGAATGGTTTTGCCAATGAATTGGATTTTAAAATACAAAGAATGAAAGAAAACACATTTCAGGCAGAGAAACTAGTTTTCCCTTGAGTAAGTACAGCTTTGGTCACTTCACTTAGGTTTGGATGTATAGTGTTTTTGTTGTAATTTCAAGTAATTAGTAACTTTAGTTTTAATTTTCTCATTGGCTCATGACTTATTTAATAGTTGTCAGAATCTTTAATTTGTTAGTTTTGTGTTATTTAATAAGTTATTTTTATTTGTACTGCCTTTGGGTTGGAGAAAATAACTGAGTCATTAGTTTATGAATTTATTAAGGTTTTCTATGTGGCCTGTGAAATGACTGATTTTTATAAATGTTTCATGGATATTTGAAGTGAATATTTAAATGTAGATGAATTTTCTAAAGAGTGAGTGTGAAGGTAGAAACTTGTTTATTAGATTATTTGAATCTTCACATATTTTTTCATTGTCTGATGAGCTAACAAATTATCACACAAGAATCTCCTACTTGTATTTTGGGTTCAAAGGCTTTTTCTCATATTCTTGGTTTTTACTTCATGTAATTGATGATGTGTGTTTTGGTATATATAACTTTGTGATTATTATG
This sequence comes from Homo sapiens, assembly GCF_000001405.40. Lineage (NCBI taxonomy): Eukaryota > Metazoa > Chordata > Mammalia > Primates > Hominidae > Homo > Homo sapiens. Next base: position 160,900,060 of record NC_000003.12, read on the forward strand.
TCTTCTTGGATTATACCTATTATCAATATAAAATATCCATCTTTGCTGTATTTTTTTTGCTTTAAATTCACTCTGTTATGAATATTGTTAGAGCGAATTCAGTTTATATAACAGATAAATTGTTGCCCACATTTTTCTTTAGAGTTGTCTTTTATATTAACAGGTTTCTACTCCATCAGATGGTCTTTTAAACAATTTTACCAACAAACATTTATTTTGATTGCTCATATGATTGATTTTATTCCTGACATTTTATTTTGTGTTTTCTGATGCTTTTTTGGTATGTTTTCTTTTAGCCTCCTTTTCTTTCTTTGACTTTATTGATTTTTTAAAAATGCTTTAAAACTATATTTTCTTTCCTACTAGCAGCAGCCTTTTAATCAATACCTACATACTTTATCAATATTAAAAATGAAAATATCCATGGGCTCCAACCGAACAAGAAAACATATTTAACATGCTTTGATTTATCCTTTTTATTCCCCTTCCTTCAGTGCTTCAAGTGTTTTATGGAAATAATATGAGATTTTATTTCCACATCATTATCTATATAGGTGTACTTTACCTATACGTTTTGTCTCTTAAAAATATTATAATGTGGCTATATTTATAGCCACATTATAATAATTACATGTATTTAACTTTGAGTTTTACTGAGTTCATTGTTCACTACCATTTCTTGCCTGCTATACACTCCTTTCTTGAGTTTTTGTTTGAGTTAATTTCTCATTTCATCGCAGTATTTCAAGTAATTTTTCCAGAAAATGTAAATGGGTGAACAGTATGATGATACTGTGTCATCAGTGACCTGCATATTGCTAAATCTAAATGATCAGTTCTTTGTCCTCACCTTTCTTAAGCTCTCAGTAGCAACTGGCAAATGATTACTTTCTTGTCTTCATTTGGCTTTTAAGATACCAGTTTCTTTTGGTTCTTTTAGCTCAATGGACACTATTTCTTGACTTGCTTTTGTTCATCTCCCCAGTTTCTTAATGTTAGGCTATCCCAGGGCTCGTTCCTCAACTCTCTTTTCTTCTGTTTACTTGTGTTCTCTAGGTGATTCCATCTAGGTTCGTGGCTTTGCATGTCATCGGTATAAATCCAAAGTTTACATCTTTAGCTCAGACCTCTCCTGTGACTGCATGTTTCCCATTGTATACTTTATATCTGAGACTTAACATGCTCCAAAATGAAGTCCTGGTCTCCCCACCCAAACCTGAACTTTCCTAAATATTATTATCCATCTATTACTATTATAACATAGCCTCCTAGTTGGTTTCTCTACTTCCATCTTTGACCCTCCACACCCCATTCTCTGACACAGCAGCCAGTCAGCATCCATTTCTTCAAAGGTTCATGTTTTTATAAGGGTCTACAGGATCTGCATCGACCTCACACTCTAAACTCATCTTCCCCTAAAATTCTCCTCCTCACCCAGTCATATTGGTCTACTTGCTATTCTTCCCTCACAGCAAGTGTTTATTTAAATGTCTTCACACATGCTGTTTCTTCTATCTGAATGCCTTCCCCCAGATTTCTACACGGCTTCCTCCCCCACTTACTTCAGGACCCTGCGCATAGGTCACCTTATCTCAAGCGCTTGAATATGCCTCATATGATGTAGCTCCTTGGTACATACTTGTTGATGTCTGTGGGGATAGGCAAAATGCCTTTTGTCATGTTTGGGTCTAGTATTTTACATCCTCATTCTTTTTTCTTAGAATTCTGATCAGACCAATTATTGAGAAGCTTTTGGGAAACACTGTTTATCTTTCCTCATAGGGTGTGGAAAATCTCTTCTGTGCTAGTTTTGGGTGCCAGGCAGCTTTGCATTATTTGTTTTTGCGTAAGTTGGTCTCATTTGTTCATTTTGTCAAAAAAATCCTTTTAAATTTCTGATTTATGGTTTCCTAATTTTTCAATGCTATATTTCTTTTTATAATTATTTTTGTTATTTCCATAGGATTTTTGAGAAGGATGGGAGGTAAATGTGTAGGGCCAATTCTGAATCTTTAAAATAGAAATGCATAAAATGTGCTTGGCTCTGTTCATTCACAACCATACCTATCCATTTGAAAAATTAAGCATTTTTCTGTTTGTGTGTGTGTACGTATGTTTTAATTTATTGAGTCTGATTACAATGCCCACTTCTACATATGAATTTTCAGAGCCTCTTGTAATAGTTCCACAGCCCTAAAATTGGGAAACTATCTGCTATGAATATATAGCAGAAACATAGTCATTGGAAATGGTGGGCACATTGGTATCCCTAAAGAGTAGAGTAAAATTCATTTTCATCTAAAGGAACCCAATCCTCTTGTTTCACATTTAGAAATCATCTTATGTCATTCCCTGTTACTCTCACAGAAAATTCAGAGTAAGGAACACAGGTGGAGAAGAAATGGGCAGGCAGCTTTGCAGAGATGTTATCAAGATAACATTTTTCTTCACATTCTGTAGACTCTAGAGAAATGGTTTACAAGAGAGCTTTAAAGGTATTGTTTTAACATACATATGAGCTGTACTTATGTATGACACCTATTTTACTTTTTCATTTTTGTTGTTATTGTCAAAACAAGGCCAGTGTTTTTCTACATCGACTGAATTTCTGGACCCACTTCCCATTCAAACTGTTTTTTTGAAAAACAGTCTTATTAATTTTCTGTATATTTTGTTTTCTTTCCAACATTTTTAGATTCAACCATCAGACACAAATTTCTTTTTATATCTGCTTTGTTAGTTGTGGACATGCCTTTCTACCGTGTCCCTTGATACATACACCCATTAAGATGTTTATCTAGCTCGACTAACACTGAGTGCTGGAATCTGCAAAGTTACAGAATTGAGAGGATTTAGATCACATATCATTTACTCTGAAAAGAAAGAAAGGGCACAGATTCTGGAAACAGACAAGTTTGAACCCAGCCCTGCTACCTATAAACTGACTTGTGGGACCTTAGATAAGGTACATATCTTTAAAAAGGTGGATAGTAATACACACCTTGTTAGATTGTTGTAGAGACAGTGATACGAAATCATTGCCCAAGGTTAGGTGTGGAATAGTAGCTGTGTCAGTCAGGGTTGTCCAAAGAAATAGAAGCAATAGTGTGTGTGTGTGTGTGTGTGTGTGTGTGGTATGTGTGTATGTTTGTGTGTGTGTGTGTGTGTGTGTGTGTGTGTGTATTAAGAGACTTATTCTAAGGAATTGGCTTATGTGATTGCAGGAGCTGGCAGATCAAATTCTGTGGGGCAGGCCAGCAGGCTGGAAATTCAAGTGGGATTTCTTTGTTACAGTCTTGAGTAAGAATTCCTTCTTCCCTAGGAAAACTCAATTTTTGCTGTTAATGTCTCCAACTGATGGATAAGACTCACCCATATTATGGAAAGTAATAACTTTTACTTAAAATCATCTGATTGTGATATTGATCACATTCTCAAAATACCTTAAAAGCAACATCTAGACTAATATTTGACCAAAACAACTGATCACCGTAGCCTTACCAAGTTTACATATAAAATATACCATCAAAATATTTAATAAATGGTAGCTATTATTTTTAAAGATGGTATTTTCTATTACTTCAATTATTATTATTTTATTCCATAAACATCTCTTGAGGATCTACCACATACCAGGCACTGTGCTAGGTATGTGTGTGTGCACACATGGAGGTGGGGGAAAGGGAGAGGGATAAAGGTGGATAAGTTATACCACTTGTTCTCTAGGCGTCTATATTCCAATGGAAGAGACAAGTCAAAGGGAAATGATAATGTATTAGGAATTATGGATAGATATATAATACTGTAAATTATATATTTATGCTTTTGTATTGTATTTATTTATATTGATACCTATATTTATCTTGGTAAAATTCTGTCCATCTCTTCATCCTTCCATCCATTTATCCATCTAATCTGCAGGACCTTGTTTCCATTTTTGCCTTGAGTTGAAGGGAAGAGAAAAATTGTCTTGGATGAAACTACTCTGAATAAGCATTGGTTGATGTCAAGCAGGGGAATGAACCTCTACCATGATTATAATGAGTCAGGTAGCTTTGTTGTTTTATAAAGGTATTTCTAAAACCCTCTTCAGAAGCAATGCATAAGTAAAATAAGTTTTCTACGTGAACCAAGGCTAAAGCTCCACTCCCCTGCAGGTTTTGCGATTTTACTCTAGATAATATGTACTGTTTAATTATGGTTCATCCATATAATAAAATATTATGGGTCTGTTAAGTACTTTTAAAAGCATATATGATGTTCTTTCAATTTGTTAGGTAGAGGACATGACTGTAAAATATTACTTAGTATAATCTTTATATGCATTGAAAAAGACTGGAAGAAAATACACCAAAAACTTTACAGTAACTATTTTTGGACAGAGGGATTATGGTTGGTTTTGATTGATTGCTGTATATGTTTCTGTATTTCTCAAGTTTTCTAATTTGAATGTCCAAGTGTGGAAGAGGAACAGATGGTAAAGAGTATGGCTGTAGACTCTTGTATTGGGAAGATGAACTCAAGCAGGTGGGCCAAATTCTTATTGACCTTGCCTTGTTAAGGTATCAGTGCTACATTATTGATAGCTGCACTTATAACTAGATCTTCTATCATGTTCAATTGCAGTGTCTTATTATCATAGGCACATTATATTATGGGGGGAAGAGGGAGAGAGAGAAAGAGAGAGGGAGGGAGTGAAGGAAGGAGAGATAGAGAGAGAGAGAGGGAGAGAGAAAATGAAATTATCTTTCACAATATGAGAATCTATCTTTCACGATATGAGTGGCTCCCTATGCTATTCCTGGAGCCAGCCTGAGATGTGAGATGTGAACCTGCTGTTCCTCAGTTATATTGGTTGCCTTGTGTGTCTCATGTTGTGAGCCTCTTGCCATGCTGGGTGTGATTTTGGTGTTGAAAGATAAATGATTTTATAAAATATGATCCAACTTATTCATTTGGTTCACAGCAGAAAAATAAAGATCTGCTCTAGTACTGGAGGAGGGACTGGCTGAGTTGGACTCATTGAGCGATGTTACAATCTTTGTTTCCATGAACTTTTCTAAGGAATGTTAAGGGTAGTTTTGACTGTATGATTTGCTAATCCAACCTCATATATCTTTATTATACGAAATTTATTTTTGCATTTCCCTACCAGTTCCAATATATAAGTGTCTCTCTGAATAAATGTTCTTCCCATTGTGGCCCTACTTTGATACCACTATCTAATTATAGAGAGCATATTTTGCCAATGGTAATTCTTAATCTCATTATACTCTAACCTGAATTTGTTCATCTTGGAACATTATATTCTTACAGGTTGACACTGATTTATTGATAAGCTCTGAATATTAGCTTTCCAGTCTTTCAAATGCCCGTCTAATAGTTCTGAGATATATACTTTATTTAACTAGTTTTTTTGGTGATAGCCCCATCATTAAAGTTAAGCTTATATTAGATCAGTAAGTTTTAGGTCTAGGACTATCTTTGTTTAATACTTGTAATCAGAATCATAATCATAATATACTGATACTTTATATACATTGGAAGTGCCTTGTTTTAAGCGATTATAACAAGTGATTTTCGAGAGACAGATGCAGTTTATTTTAGTATACCAAAAGGAAGTCATCAAAATCTACAGATTGAAATACATCTAGCTTTTTATGTTATCTTTCATTAGTTCTTTCCCTTCCTTAGTTTAACACAGTTTTCTGTTCTTAAAATTCTAGTATTGGTTGACCCTATTCTCATTTGATTTTTGATGGGAAAAGTAGAACTAGACAAAACATTTTTTTAAAAATCACATTTTTTTCTAAGACTTTTTTCTTTTTATTTGAATGCTTTACATTTTAATTGCTCATTTAAACCTTTTAAAATCTTAGCCCTAGTTTTCCTTTATCCATCAGTTTTAGCCTTTCATTTCTATTGCTTCCTTTTGGGCTTCTATTCATTGAACAATTTCTAATTTTTACTAGTTTTCTTTCTTTCTATTTCCTGCCCTTTCTTAACATTATTATTATTATTTTTTTAGGAAAGACCATGTGTTCTGATTCTTTAAAATTTTATATTTTTCCCTCGGTGCTTTTCTATTGGATTCTACAAATTGTATTTCTATAGGAGTGTTCATTTTAAAAAACAAGGTGAGGTGTCTGGATCAGTATGTCTATTAGGTTATCTATTGCTGCATAACAACATACCCTAAAAATTAGCAGCTTAAAACAGCAAATATTTGTATAATAATTGTTGTGGATTAAGGACCCAGGCAGGCCAGGTGCAGTGGCTCACGCCTGTAATCCCAGCATTTTGGGAGGCCAAGGTGGGTGGATCACGAGGTCAAGAGATGGAGACCATCCTGGCCAACATCATGAAACCCCATCTCTACTAAAAATACAAAAATTAGCTGGGTGTGATGGCACATGCCTGTAGTCCCAGCTACTCAGGAGGCTGAGGCAGGAGAATTGCTTGAACCTGGGAGGCGGCGGTTGCAGTGAGCCAAGATCATGCCACTGCACTCCAGCCTGACAACAGAGTGAGACTCTGTCTCATAAAGAAAAGAAAAGAAAAGAAAAGAAAAGAACCCAGGCACAATTTACCTGGGTGCTTCTGACTCAATAGCTCTGATGAAGTTACAGTCAGGATGGTGGCTATGGCTGAATGCTCATCTGAAGGTTTGATGGGGTGGATTCACTTTCAAGCTCACTCATGTGGTTGTTGGCAGAAAAAATTTAATTCCTTGTGGGATATTGGACAGAGAGCCTGAATTTCTCACTGTTTGTTGGCTGGGGGCCTCCCTTGGTTCCTTGCCACATAAGCTTCCACAGAGCAGCTTACAACATGGCAGCTGATTTCCTTTAGAACAAGCAAATGTGAGAGCAAGACAGAGTACTTAAGATGGAAGCCATAGTCTTTTTATAACTCCAGAATAATCACTTTATCCATGCTTTATTTGTTAGAGGCAAGTCACTTGGTCCAGCCCATATGCAAGGAAGCAATTACATAAATAGCAGGGGCTCAGATTATTGGGGACTATTTTAGGGGCTGCTTACCATTATATGTGTTTTAGAAGCAGAATATGATACATACTTTAAAGCAACAAAAGCAGAGCTCCCTGGAACATGGAAGGCATGGAATATGGAAGGCAGTAGAAATACAAGTTTGAGATAATATCTCAGACTACAAGAGTAGAACAGTAGCAGGGCTTTGTAAAAATATAGATAGTGAGAAATAAATAGTTTAGGATGAAGATTAAAGAAAACTTTCTTATCAATATTAATTCTGGTCTACGTATTTTCTGTTCATTGAAGCTACCTAGCTTTTTGAAAGTAGTTAAAACAAATCACATCCAAAACTAAGAATAACTATGCAATTTATGTTCAGGAATTTATCATAACATTATTTTTAAAAATTTATGTGCATACATTTTTCTTTTTCTCTCAAGTTTATTTTTTATTTTCTGTGTACTTCTTCATTTCTCTTGGCAATATAGTGTTTTCCCTCTTGTATATATAAGTGTTTTGCTTTTAATTGCTGAGATTTTATCATAAACTATCTAGCCAAATTCCTTTTTAAGTATTGTCACTATGTTTAATGAATACTAAAGCGTGGCAGAGTTAAGGATAATCAAAAAGGGATGATAAAGTGTTCCTGGGCTAGCAACAGTGGGAAACTATCACTACCCCAAGCATGTAAGGGCAAGAGGAGGGAATCATGTTCCTGGAAACTAGCAGGAGCTGAACATATGACGGAGGGAATGCCCAGCTGGAGCAGGAATGCAGCCGCTGCTTGTGGTCTGTCAGGGAAGAATCCAAGGAGATGAATACCCCAACTTTGCTCTCCTCTTACCCTCTGATCTCTTGCCTCCCCTTGGCCAAACCTACGAGAATCCAGAAGGTAAGTGAGCCCAGTTGATGCAGGCTGTGCAGGTCAGCCTCTCAGGGCAGAGCCCAGCAGAGAAGAGAAAGGGAGAGAATGATTCTGAAGGGGCAAAAGGAGAATATTCAGCAAAGAAAGAAGTTTTTTTAATTCTTTGTATTGTCTGTGTTTGGCTATTAGCCTATTTGAATGTATCCACTGTCTAACTGTAAAAGTTTTGAGTTTTGGTTAGTCTTTCTACTCAAATGGCCCCATAATGGTTACAATCAAGTCTTCAAGAAACTTTGTTGTTGGTTTTCTTTTTTAAGTAGTAGGCTATATTTATATTATGTTTTATTTATGATCACAAGCATGGTGTAAGAGTGCTTTTACTGTGGAAGTTTGACTTTAAAATGGCCTACCAAGAAGGAATATGCATCCTCGTTACATTTGGAACTATAAAAATAAATACAGTGTTGTTCACACAAACAAATAATTTTTGCTGGATAGTTGTTTATCAGTTTCCTGGAGCCTTGTTTTATAAATACTCATAAACTTGGAGAAAAAGTCTACTTGAGAGAAGTTGACACTATATGTAGTCTGCTTATTACTACTTTCTTTTTTTTTAAAGTGTATCTTACATTTAGAAACAGATACTATAACATAGAAGCAAAGATGACTGATGAGATTTTTTCACCAAATATTTATGGAAACCTTCCACTTAATATGAACACACAGAGATAAATAGTGTAGGCGTATGGTGATTACCAAGACAGAGTCCTTGCTCTAAAACAGTTTACCACCAAGTAGGGTATTTAAGTGCATAAACAACTAACTGTAATGATGAGTAGTGTCCCATAAATACTGTCTTACAGGGACAGGTAATAGTATAGGAGTGCACAGAGTGATTTCAGAGAAGCTAGTGTTTGAGCTAAACCTTGAGTGGTGAATACAATTATGGTAGAGGAGAGGAGAATTCATTTTGGGCTTAGGGAATGGCATGAATAAGGCACAACTCAATAAAAATACAAATATGAAGGTGGGGTAAGAATTATTCAAGACCGAACCTTGGTGAACAACATATACAAGCAATGGCAAGAGTGAAGGGTGTTCAGAAACATGGTAGAAGATTAGGTTGCCAAGAGAGAACAGGGCTAAATTGTCAAGGTCCTGAGTGCTTTGCTAATAATTTTATGTTTTCTACATAGACCTTAGAAACGTTTTTGTAAAGGGGAGATAAATAATGGTAAGGTAAGGGATCAGCTCAAGATGGAAGAGAATGGGGCAGAGAGGCTTTTGGTGATAGTGTAGGAGGAATGAGGAGGAATTTGCATGAAGGAGGAAGAGGATTTGCCTGAAGGCCATGGCATGGGAAGGAAATGGAGAACATAGATATAAGACATCATAAGTGCTGATAATAGACTTGGGGGTTTCTTGATTTCTGTTTGGAGTAATTGGTAGAAGGTGAAGCTGTTACCTAAGAGACAGTAGAAAAGAAAGAGCCGGCTCTGGAAGGAAGTTAACAAATTCGATTTTAGACTTATTAAGTTTGAGGTATTAGCACTGGTCTAATGTAGATGTCCATTTAGATCCACTGGAAATTTTGTCTAGAGCTCAGGAGTTGCCTGGGTTCAGAATAGAAATCTGGGAACATAAGCCTGAAGATATTTTTAAAGCCATGAAAGTAAGCGAGCCCTCTCTTAAGGAGGGAGTTTAGCGTGAAAAAAGGACCAAACAGAGAACTGCCTACAGAGAGGTTGGACAAAAGTCCATTTAAAAAGACTGAGAAGAAGAAATCAAAGAACTAAGAGGAAAATCAGGGAACTGCAGTTGTCATAGAAGCCAAGGAGTCGGGGAGTTTTTAGAAGATTTTAGAACAATGCGACATTAAGAACTATGTTTATAGCAACTTGTAAATTAGTCCTTTCTTTTTCCCCCAGGAGCTTTAAATTCTGCCCATGTGGGTGGGTTGAGGGAGTCTTCAGAGTTTGTAGAAGTAGCTCTGGGTTTCTGAAAAATGTGAAGGTGATGTACTGACCTAGTTAATACCCCGTAATCCTGGGAGGAAGGAAGGGGCTGTGGCTGGAGTATTTATTTCTTGTCATGATAGGTCTTGTCATGAATATTAACTATTTACTCTTTGAAGTCACAAGTGAAAGAAGGGTCTGGCTGTTCTGTTTAAGCATGTCAGAAGAACAATAATGCTTACTATGATGACTTCTCAATCTTGAAATATATTCAGCGCTTGAAACTTTCTTTCCCTCCCTGTCCCCTTCCCCTTCCCCTTCCCCTTCCCTGTCCCTTTCCCCTTCCCCTTTCCTTTCCCCTTCCCCTTTCCTTTCCCCTTCCCCTTTCCCCTTCCCCTTCCCCTTCCCTTTCCCCTTCCCCGTTCCCTTCCCCTTCCCCTCCCCTCCCCTCCCCTTTTTGACAGAGTCTCACTGGTCACCCAGTCTGGAGTGCACTGGCACAATCTTGGCTCACTGCAACCTCCGCCTCCCAGGTTCCGGTGATTGTCATGCCTCAGCCTCCCCAGTAGCTGGGATTAAGGCATGCGCCACCACACCTGGCTAATTTTTGTATTTTTAGTAGAGACGGGGTTTTGCCATGTTGACCAGCCTCAAGTGAACTTCTGGCCTCAAGTGATCAGCCCACCTCGGCCTCCCAAAGTGTTGGGATTACAGGCGTGAGCTATCGCGCCTGGCCGGAGCCTGAAACTTTCAAGCTTTCAGTTTAATTCCATGGCTTTTATTTTCTTTTCCATTTTAAACCCAGTTATTTCCTGAATCTAATTTATTTATTTTTGTGTATATGTCTTTAAAAGGTTTCCTAACAATTACATTTGGTAAATAAGTTCTTATTAAGTGTTTCTTTTAGTTGTTGTGCTTTTGTTTATTGAGAGAAATTGAAATTTTTAAATTTTGCACCTTTATTGCAGGCTGCCACAGGTAATCAAGATGATATGCACCATGGTAAACAATTTCTTTGGAAATCCAAGATATTTCTTGAACTCGGGGATTCAGGAACTGAAGTTTGACCTTATCTTATTGTATAAATTACTTTAACATTATGGTACTTTTGTACCTCATTTGGAGATTAAAGAGCTTGACCAAACAAGATAGGTTAGCATCCAGTCACCTGTAATGAGGAAGGAGTTAGTTTTCATGTGTGATGCTTTGGGTATCAGGGATATGCATAGCTTCATAAATAACTGGGATTTTCATTGGTATTTTCCTACCGCAGGTGTACTATTTTGATATTAATAGTCTCATCCTTTGGATCTCTTACGTTTGGCAGAATATAAGTAAGAAATCTGAATAAAGGTGAATGTTCTTACATGTGTTCTTGGTAGAAGTATATGTCACTGTCAGAGTAATGAGATTGAGGGTGAGGTTGTATGTTATGTATCTCTGATGGAGATTTTGAGGGGTAGCCAGACAGGTCACCAATCCTCAACCATAGCTGTCTAGCACTGCCATAGGTTCTGCAGAGAGTTCTGCAGAGCAGACCTTCTTAGCAAATGCACCTTCTTCCTTGTGCTGGGCTTTGACCCCAGAGCCTTCCATGGAAGCTATAGGTCTAGTGGGTTGGCCTCAACCACTTGTGAGTGAGTATTCCCTTTATCCTTCTGGCCTATGACTTAGACTAAAAGAAGTCTGCCTGGGCTCCTTTTACTGAGGTCTAATTTTTATCCTTGGATTCCTGCCATTCCTATGCAATGAGAAAAACAAACCCCAGGGGGAGAGAAAGAGAGTGTACTAGCATTGCCTTCTAGCCTAGACCCTCACAAGACAGGAGTCCTGCCAAGCAAGACACAGCCTTTTCACATATGGGAGTAGGCAATTCAAAGGAGGACCAGTAACTTCTAGTGATGCAGATAGAGGAATCCAAAAGGAGCACACAGAGTGGATCCAAGAAATTTAACTGTACCACTTCCTAACATGTAAACCATTTGGCATTGGTTCCATACTAATGCCAATTCATCTGCTTCTCGGAGTGATGGAGGAGGAGTGTTGAACCCTGAGAGTAGTTTGTATCTCTGCATTCAAGAGAGAAAACAAGAGAAGCTGGTAGAAAAGGCTTCTCAATTTGTGAGATTAATCTGTGTTACATCAGAAGTAGTGAGAAAGGAGAGTTAGGATTTAGAAGGCTTGGGAAGACCTGAATAATGTGGATAATGGTATGTGCAAAGCCATAAAATGTGTGGTTTTGATGAGGTTAGAATCATGCCTGAAAGCTGAATGGGGATTTAGACATCATGTGGGGTATGTAATCTGCAAGCTCCGTCCTGGGCCCAGTGAAAACCTTTCTGTGAGCTTTCCCTAAGGCTGTACTTCAGGCAAATTATTATACAAGGGGGAATCTATTTGCCATCTCTGAGCAAATCCATGCCTCCCTACCTACTATAGGTTAGGAAATAATCTTTTATATCTGTTGGTGTTGCATTTACAAAGGGCTTCCCCGTATATTATCACATCTAACTCTGCCTGTTAATCACAGAGGAATAAATCATGGCATCTGCAGAGTAGAGCCTCTACCAGGGTGTGTACTCTTCATACAACCATGGACCTGCCCTCTGTTAACAGGATTCTGTATTGGGAGAGCAAACCCTTAAAAGCAGGGATAAAGATATTAAGAGGTCTTCCTGTCTTTTACTAAGGTCTGAAATGCCACCAATTCTAGCAATTGATTTATCTGGATCCCCTAAGACCTTCTATTAGAGTGTGAATATCCATGCAAAAGAGTTATGGGCTCAGATTGAAGTGTGTCATGTAGAAATTGATGAAGAAGCGATAATTATAGCAGATTCATTGATAGTTTTATGTATGTACTAATTTACTTGATGTTATTAAGAAATTATGAAGTTTAGAGCATTGCTATAGTCACTGTGAGGATTAAAATGCTGAAAAATAAATGATCCCTTCCCCAAAGATTTTACAGTGTAGTAGGAGGTCCTCCAGTGAAGAAAGGGGGAGACTTTGGAAACAGAATGGCTGTAGGAAGTGATGAAGAATGATGTAGATAACCCTAAGCTTTCTTTTGTAAAAGTTACATTTGATAACCTCTTTGAGTTGTTCATTTGGTGGCATTACATACTGTGATGGGGTAAGATGAATATGAAACAGGTTATCATGGGATAGATGGGATGCCCTGTGGACAAAATCCATGAAGATGGTATATGAATTTTTGAAAATAGATGAGGTGTTCCTGGAGACATGATTAAAAGGAAGAAGAACAGAGGCTCAAGTAATAGCTCAAAGAGTTTTAGGCCCCCCAACAGGTAGAAGAGTTGGATTAATGGGTTTTGAAGGAGATAATGCACAAAAAGTTAAATTATGAGGTCACAGAATAGGTAAATTCTGTATTCTGGACAACAAGCAGGAAATCTAGCCCACCTTGGTGTAGACAGTGAACCCTGATGTCAGAGGTCGAAGAAAATCTGATTTCACCTATATTTTTTAGTTTTGTTAGCATGAAACTACTTTTTAAAATCACTTTATTGAGGCATAATTTATCCACAGTAAAACAAACCCATTTTAAGTACATTTCAGTGAGTTTTGATAAATGTATATAGCTGTATAAATACCACCACTATCAAGATCTAGACTTCAATTACTCCAAAATGTTTCTTGTGCCCCTTCCCAGTTATTCTCTACCCTGATCCTTGGCCCCAGGCAATCACTGCCCTCTGTCATTATAGATGTAAATTTGTCTTCTCTAGAATTTCATATTAATGAGATCGTATAATATGTACTCTTATATCTGGCTTTTTGGGGGATTCAGCATAATGTTTTTGAGATTCATCCATGTCGTTTTATATGTCAGTAGTTCATTCCTTTTCATTTCTGACTAGTATTCCATTGAATATACTACAATTCGTGTATTCATTCAGATACTGATGGACATTTGAGTTGTTTCCAGTTTTCTGACTACCATTAATTTCCAGTTTTTGACTACCATTAATCAAAGATATACATATCTTTGAGTACTCAAATATGTACATCTGAGTAGAAATATGTTTTCATTTTTCTTGGGTGAATAGGAGTGGGATTGCTAGATTGTATGTTAAGTATATGTTTAGCTTTATAACAAACTGACAAACTGTTTTCCAAAATGGTTGTATCATTTTTTTCTTATTCCTACCAGTAGTGTATGAAATTTCAAGTTCTTCCACATCTTTGCCAACACTTGGCGTAGACATTCTTTTTAATTTTAGTCATTCTAATAGGTGTGTATTGGTATATCATTGTGTTTTATTTTTCATTTCTTTGGTGACTACTAATATGCTTGGTGGCCATTCATACATGTATTTTTGTGAAGCATCTGTTCAAATCTTTGATTTTTTTTACTGTGTTATTTGACTTCTTAGTATTGAGTTGAAGGAGTTCTTTTTTTTATTATACTTTAAGTTTTAGGGTACATGTGCACAACGTGCAGGTTAGTTACATATGTATACATGTGCCATGTTGGTGTGCTGCACCCATTAACTCCTCATTTAACATTAGGTATATCTCCTAATGCTATACCTCCCCCCTCCCCCCACCCCACAACAGGTCCCGGTGTGTGACGTTCCCTTTCCTGTGTCCATGTATTCTCATTGTTCAATTCCCACCTATGAGTGAGAACATACAGTGTTTGGTTTTCTGTCCTTGCGATAGTTTGCTGAGAATGATGGTTTCCAGCTTCATCTGTGTCCCTACAAAGGACATGAACTCATCATTTTTTATGGCTGCATAGTATTCCATGGTGTATATGTGCCACATTTTCTTGATCCAGTCTATCATTGTTGGACATTTGGCTTGGTTCCAAGTCTTTGCTATTGTGAATAGTGCCGCACTAAACATATGTGTGCATGTGTCTTTATAGCAGCATGATTTATAATCCTTTGGGTATATACCCAGTAATGGGATTGCTGGGTCAAATGGTATTTCTAGTTCTAGATCCCTGAGGAATTGCCACACTGACTTCCACAATGGTTGAACTAGTTTACAGTCCCACCAACAGTGTAAAAGTGTTCCTATTTCTCCACATCCTCTCCAGCACCTGTTGTTTCCTGACTTTTTAATGATCGCCATTCTAACTGGTGTGAGATGGTATCTCTTTATGGTTTTGATTTGCATTTATCTGATGGCCAGTTGGAAGTTCTGGCCAGGGCAATCAGGCAGGAGAAGGAAATAAAGGGTATTCAATTAGGAAAAGAGGAAGTCAAATTGTCCCTGTTTGCAGGTGATATGATTGTATATCTAGAAAACCCCATCGTCTCAGCCCAAAATCTCCTTAAGCTGATATGCAATTTCAGCAAAGTCTCAGGATACAAAATCAATGTGCAAAAATCACGAGCATTCTTATACTCCAATAATAGACAAACAGAGAGCCAAATCATGAGTGAATTCCCATTCACAATTGCTTCAAAGAGAATAAAATACCTAGGAATCCAACTTACAAGGGACGTGAAGGACCTCTTCAAGGAGAACTACAAACCACTGCTCAATGAGATAAAAGAGGGATACAAACAAATGGAAGAACATTCCATGTTCATGGGTAGGAAGAATCAGTATCATGAAAATGGCCATACTACCCAAGGTAATTTATAGATTCAATGCCATCCCCATCAAGCTGCCAATGACTTTCTTCACAGAATTGGAAAAAGCTACTTTAAAGTTCATATGGAACCAAAAAGGAGCCCGCATTGCCAAGTCAATCCTAAGCCAAAAGAACAAAGCTGGGGGCATCATGCTACCTGACTTCAAACTATACTACAAGGCTACAGTAACCAAACAGCATGGTACTGGTACCAAAACAGAGATATAGACCAATGGAACAGAACAGAGCCCTCAGAAATAATGCTGCATATCTACAACCATCTGATCTTTGATAAACCTGACAAAAACAAGAAATGGGGAAATGATTCCCTATTTAATAAATGGTGCTGGGAAAACTGGCTAGCCATATGTAGAAAGCTGAAACTGGATCCCTTCCTTACACCTTATACAAAAATTAATTCAAGATGGATTAAAGACTTAAATGTTAGACCTAAAACCATAAAAACCCTTGAAGAAAACCTAGGCAATACCATTCAGGACATAGGCATGGGCAAAGACTTCATGTCTAAAACACCAAAAGCAATGGCAACAAAAGCCAAAATAGACAAATGGGATCTAATTAAACTCAGGAGCTTCTGCACAGCCAAAGAAACTACCATCGGAGTGAACAGGCAACCTACAGAATGGGAGAAAATTTTTGCAACCTACTCATCTGACAAAGGGCTAATATCCAGAATCTACAATGAACTCAAACAAATTTACAAGAAAAAAACAAACAACCCCATCAAAAAGTGGGCGAAGGATATGAACAGACACTTCTCAAAAGAAGACATTTATGCAGTGAAAACACACATGAAAAAATGCTCATCATCACTGGCCATCAGAGAAATGCAAATCAAAACCACAATAAGAAGGAGCTCTTATATATCCTAGATATAATTTTTGACCACCGGAAATTATTAAAAATCTTGCCATGATAGTGCTTTCAGTGCATTACTGTAATAAAAATAATGGTCTAGATGCTAAAATGTAACACATCTGCTATGATATAGCTCATTTGAGGATAATAGAAAAATATCGATAAAAATATTCTTTTTGTCATCTTCAACGTGCATGATCTCAGATTTCAAAAAGGATGCCTGCCTACATATCTCTTCTTCCAGTACACTCTGCAATCTACTTAAAAAAAATTTTTTTTAAGATAGCTGCTAGATGAGTGCCAGTTTTATATTCTTTTTTTTTTCTGGCAACTCCTTTGAGAAACATATGTTTCTAACTTAAGTTACTGCTTTTTCCTCCATATGCTTCTTATTCCATTTCTAGGTATCAGAAAGGCATTTGGGTTGAATACGTGCATGATTAAGTCCATGGAGCTTATTGGTGGAGTCAGGCCCTCCAAATAGGAAAGAAAAGAGAACCTGATCACCACCAATTTAAAAGTAACTTAGAAACAAAACATCAAACTCTTTTTCTGCCAGTGACTTTAATTTTTAAACTATATAAACACTTGCTCATCAGCTATTTTTTGTGCTATTTTATGCATTGTTCCAAGCTAAACTTCCTGGGGAAGAACACAGGCACTACTTTCAAGAGCTCAGAGAACAAATGCTGGAGGACAAGAGAGGGAATTAGGATTCTTGAATGCTACTTATACTATTTACTTCTGGTCTTCCACAACTTCATGTAATTTATCATCTGCCCTTATTGACTTAGAAGCTTACATGATAGTATTTGGTTCAATGACATTGAGTAAGCATTCTGCAAATTAATTAGTGGGACAAATTTGGTCTCATAATTCCACTGCTGCTTAAAGTTATTAAAGAAATCTCTCAATCTGCTAGCATTGTAAATAGCCTATTCTAGCTAGTTATATAGATTCAAAACTTACTTTATTATGTAAACTATAGAGTGACAGGTCAGTGAAAGTGTTTCAACTTTTAGAAATTGTTGACTTTCCAGGACTTGCATTTCTGGCCTTAATTATCTTGAATATAACAAATCAGTGTACGGTAAGCAAAGTGATCTCTGGATGACTAAAATAGATATTATATCTCATATCTCATATGGTTCAGGCACAGCATAATTCCTCCAATATCACTCAGAGCTTATGTATTCTTATATTAGGCATGATTTTCATAAGACTGGTTATTTGTTTCCCCTGCCTGCAGCTATTAAAAGCAAAAAAGGTGGGAGTTGTGGGGAGGTGGTGGTAAAGAGGGACTCCTATATGCAAAAACACTGATAGCAGATTAGAGAAGGAGAGAATCATATTTTAAAAAAAACATGATTTCAAAGGAAGGCCAATTTGGGACCGTTTAGTACATGTATGGCAAAGCCCAGTGGATCTTAAGGGCATCCCTGTGTCATAGGGTACACCAACAATGTGATGGCCCATGAGTTACAAAGACTTTACATTGTGATTAATATTCCTTTTCTTTGTTCGTAATAAAATTCAAGATAGATTTCAAACCAAAATGATAAACAAAACAATTATGTGTCAAGATTTAGCACCTTGACCACCTGGAAAACTTTGTCCTGTTCCTTGCCCTAATGCCTTTGTGCCCTCCCTCTCCCCAGCTGCACATGCACACTTGCACGCGAATCCTTCTCACTCACAGGAGTCACCCACCGATGGAATTTTCTCTGGGAAAAACTGGTTGAGCTGCCCTTCCTTTGAGCTCCCTTTGCTTATAATATCATGGCACTAACAACCCCATATGGTGATTACCTGTTTATTTGCTCTTCTTTCCGATGAGACTGAAAGCTATTTGAGGGCAAAAGCTTGTCTTATCCACTGTTATATAAGCCTATCACTTAGGACAGTTGTACCTGGCACATGGTATAGAGTTAATACATAATTCTTAAATAAAGGAATGGTTGAATGAATGTTGAATAAATCCAGAATAACTTCTGAGGAACCAAGATTTGTCTGCACAGTACTTTGGAAAAGCAGCATGCTAAAACCTTTGGAAAATTTGCGCTCTAATCTGTTTGGAAATTTCTATTAGAAACCATCACATGGATAAGAGTTTAGAGTAAGGTGTCTTTAAGTTAGATGTCTTTAAGCTGTGAAAAATAAAACTGAATCTGAAAAATGAAACTATGCATAAATATTCTAGCATAATAAAGAAGTTATGGATTTTGTCTTTCCTTAAGAGTTCTTATTTGATATAAAAATATCCTCCATAGCAAAATGAAAAATTGAATATGCTATATTTCTATAATTTTAAAAAATACTTTTGCAAGTGATACTTTAAGAACCATTAATAGTTCACCAGTGATTTGGCTGAAAGAGAACAATCAGAAGCATGTTGTTTCATGGATCTAGTAACTAATAAAATACCCTTGCCTGGAATAATTTAAATCCAGAAAAGAGAAAAAGCTCATTACTGACAAGTTTGCTAATGATAAAAAATTAGATGGCAGTAAATAACATTAGGCAATAACATTAAAGTTCAAAAATGCCATGTTGAAGTTATTAGACTTGTAAGTACAATGATACATACAAATGAAGGAGACCGGGTTTAAAGTGCAGTACCAGGAATAAAACAGAGATTAAAGAGAAGGGTTATTTAACACTGGGATGGTTAGTGAAAAAGCTCGTGAAATCTCCTCAGACTGGGATAATGTCTTTGAAATCCTTTTTATATGAATGAGTAAAAATCATAATCATTAATATTATTTAGTTTTAGAATAAAATTGGGGAAGCCCACTAAATACATGAAGTGTTGGATTAGACAGGTATTTTAATGGTCTTTGATTCAGGAGGCTGACTGCTCTACAAGCCTTTTCTGAGAGATTCTTTTTCCTTCTGCCTTTTCCTCTCCATCTGGCCTCTGTGACAACTATGTTCTTCTACTTTTTCATTTATCTAGGATCATAGTTGGGCCACTTAAGAACTGGGCTTTCTTCCAAAATAGGATATTTGATTGTGGCCATTTTGACAATGTTGTCTTAAATATAAAAAGGCACACAAAAATTTTTCTTAATAACCAATGGGCATTATAGGCATGCGTGGGTGTCATCCTCATGCTACCTTACAGTACCTGGTAGGCTGATGGATGGAGGAAGGCTCTTGGAGCGAGAGAGGACGTCTGTTGCAAATATTGCATTACTTGTTATGTATACAAAAGCTAAGAACGCGTAGCTTTTTTGTTAGTTTGTTTTAGACTGAATAGTCTAATATATATAGTTATAATGTTAGTTATGTTTTGACACAAAAGTTATAACATTATAACTGACATAGTTTGTCAGCTTAGTTTGTTTTAGACTGAAGAAAAATATCCCCCTTTCAGAAAAAAAGCTACATCAAAATGTCATATACCTGCTTATTTCTGTTTTGCATTAGGAAGTTAATAAGCAAGTAGGTGGGTGAATTGCTCTGTGAAACCTGGGCTCAATAAAACATTTTGTTTTCTTTTTATTACTTAAATTGGTTTTTGAGCCCTGCTTGCTGGTGAGGTATCTGATGTCGCCCATTGTTGGGATTCCTTCCCCAGCTTTCTCCCCACAATGCCCTCTCCCCTGCAACACTGTATTGCCTTGGACTCCCAGGGCTTAAATGGGTCCTGGGAACATGGGCAGATGTCTGGTCCTGAGCCATCACTATGGTCACCATGGCTCCTTCTATCCACTTTACCACGTCTGAAATGGCACTTCACTCCTTGGGGGTGGGGAGCTCTCAAAAGTGTCTCTCCACAGCTCTTGTCTCTGCAGGCGGGCTCCAGAGTGTCAGCCAAGGGCAGGATATTCTGAAGCCAGCCAGTGCCCACAGCCATTTGTGGGTACCCTGCTCAGAAGTCTGCCACCTCTGGGAGCTCTATGGCAATAAGGGCCAGGCCTCTAAGACTCTAGGGCCCAACTGCACTCCCAGCTTGCCCCTTCTCCTCCCCAGGCTCCCAGTATCTCAACCATGCAAGGGCCTTTCTTGGCCTTTTCTTTCACAATGGGGTTTAATGACCCATGTGGAATTTCTAAATGGATAAAACCTGAAGACCACCAAAGCCTGTTTACTTTTCCTGCACATAAGAAGGACTTGATTTTTAGGAGTGCGGTGTATGGTCTCCCATCTACCAAGGATAGACGGTATATTTCTTTGAGGCAGCTGAAACCCAGCAACTGCACTTATGCATTTAGTTTCTCTCTCTCTCTCTCTCTCTCTCTCTCTCACACACACACACACACACACACTCACACACACACACACACACACACACACATATTAAAGATCTGAGAGTATTTGTTTCGGACAATCCCTTTTAGCAGTAGGAGGGTGGTGATGAGGGAAGCTTTATTTCAAAATGCTAATACTGTAAAGTTATTTTACTCATCTCCTTGACTGTCTTCATATACTAGAAACTGACTATAACATGATCCAATTGTAGTGTGAAATTTAGCATAACCAGGTTCCCCTGGCAGCTAAGAAGGTATAGTTACTAGAAGGCCTGCATTATAAGATGGCCACAATGTGAGACAGCAGCACAGTAGTGACTATCTCACCATTTTCTTACATTTTTATTCAGTTTTCTCGGTATCAGAAATTTACAAAACCCTTTTCTCTTACTTTCCATCTTTGCCAAAAACATAGAAATCTGACCAGATTTCACCAGTCAAAACTCATTGAAACTCCTGAAATTTAAGTTAGGCAATTCCTGCTTTTCACTATAGTATGTTCCTGTAAAGAATAACAGAAAACAAAGACAGCAAAAAATTAGTATTTAATCTTTCCTCCTGCGTAACTGTGGAGCCTGCAGTTACCCTTTTAAATCACTAGATGACGCTTCGGCATTAAGGCCAGCTGTGGGGACTGGCCAGTCAGCAGGCTGAATATTAGGATGGTAAAGACACAGGCAGTGAGTGATATGAGATTTTTTTATGTTATCCAGGGTGATTTTTATATGTGACAAAAAGACTATTAATAAGGTTTAATTTTGATTTTAAAAACTGACATTTACTTTTTAAAAACTACTTTAGGCTTTTCAGTTCAGCTTCCAACTCTAGTTTCTTCTTTTTTATGTATAAGTCAGACAGAAGTTAGTAATAATTTCAAAGGGCCTTTGAATAACGTTTAGTCCCATTTACAAAATTAATTAAACATTTAAACTGTCCTTATACATTTAATATATGTATTTCTTTTTAAAAACTTAAATTATCTTATTTAAAATGTCACTGGATAGTAAATAATAACTTCACATTTAATAAATCAAATCTATAAATACAGTGATCCTCAAATTTTCTCAAATGTTCCAAATATATAAAATGTCAAAAATTAATAGATTCTTGAAAAATAATTATTTTATTCTTAAAAATCTTTACATACTTACACTTAACTTTCTAAACTTCTGAGGTATAAAAGATACAACCCCATTTGAGGAAGGCAGTTAAAAATTCAGTTAACTAAGGTTACTTATGACCAGGGATTTCAGTATTAAGACCTAGAGTTGCAGAGACCCAGAGCACTTTGTCTCATCACCAACTAAGGAAACTACCAAATATCAAGTAATTCAGGGCATTTCTCAGTATACAAAGGTTACTAATGACCAGAAATTCCCATCTGGATGCTGATTAGATTCCTGCTGACGGCTGGGCACGGTGGCTCACACCTGTAATCCCAGCACTTTGGGAGGCCAAGGCGGGCAGATCACGAGGTCAGGAGATCAAGACCATCCTGGCTAACACGGTGAAACCCCATCTCTGCTAAAAATACAAAAAATTAGCCGGGCGTGGTGGCAGGCACCTGTAGTCCCAGCTACTTGGGAGGCTGAGGCAGGAGAATGGCGTGAACCTGGGAGGTGGAGCTTGCAGTGAGCCGAGATCACACCACTGCACTCCAGCCTGGGTGACAAAGCGAGACTCCGTCTAAAAAAAATATATTACATATATTCCTGCTGACTAGATTCCAGGAGATCTGGATGATGATAGTAGAACCCATTTTATAGTTACTTTCTCAGGGATTTCAAAACAGGCATTGAGTCTTATATGTTCCTCTGTCCCTGGGTCTAGATTATTTACACATTACTAAGTCCTCCCGATTACTCATATAATTCTCCATCACCCACCAGGTTCATCACTTATATCTTTTTGGTTCCCAAGTTATACAAATGATTCATCTAAGTCTAAGGTCTTTTGAACTAGATGGCATCTTATATTCTTTCATATTCTCAGGACCATACAACTCTAACAGATACTTACAATGAGATAGATTGAATTTGGATATCTCAGTATCTACTTTGAAGTCACCTGTCATGAAGTAATGGTTCCCACAGCAGTGAAAAGTAAAAGGATTTATACACTTTTGGTACTTGCAGATAAGCAAAATTATGTAATAAAACTTTTGTCTTTTTAAGGAACCATCTATATGTCAGGTACTGTGCTAGGCAAAAGAATATAATCATAGTTAACACAGACATGGGTTCTCTTCTCATAAAGGGTATGATAAAGTGAGGTTGACCATATCCTAATATTGAAATTTGGATAATAAAAGGGCAGGTACCTAAATATTGGACCTGATTTCTGCCAACGAATAAACTACTAATGTACTTAATTTCCTCTTTTCTGGAGTGAAACTAATGCCTATTCAGCTGGAGTTGCTGTAGAATTAACATGGAGATTATTACTAGCAATGTAGCTAGAACTTGTGGCAATTTACATTAAGAATGACCTCATGGAACAAAGAAAAAAGTTCAGTTTTAAGAGTAATTTATTTATTCCCTATTCACTGATGAGGTTTATTTTTAAATGAAACTACTCTACCTTTTAGGATCTCACTATAGATATCATAGTAAAGCTTGATCATGAGACTTTGGGCAGCTCCTGTTGAAGCCAGTAAGGAAATTGGAATGAGTCACGTGTTATAGAAACCAGTTCATCTGATTTTTGCCTTATTTCCATTTGACGGTACTTTCTGAATTAATATTTTATTGTTCTGAAGAGCTTCATAAAAACCATATGTGTTATTTCCTGATTCTTAAGAAAGGGCTTTAGAAGTTGTTCTAGTCCCTCAAGATAACTTAGAAAATATGGCCTTATTTTAGCAAGTTTTAGGCCATTGAGTGGCATATGCAACTGGTTTCTGAAATGGGCTCAACCCATGGCAACACTTGGGAAATAGCTTTATTCTTCTCTCACTATTGCTCTCAAATCACGTCACATCAAAGAATATTGAAATGGTGTCCAGAATATTAAATAGAAAAGTAGTTAACCGTAAGAAAATATCAGTTTCCTCTTCAGTCATCCCTTGCTTTTAAATGAGTAGTAAGGCTGGGTTGGAAATTCAGACAGTGTAGGATGCTACTGCATTTGATATGCCCCAAGAATGATTCTCTGACTGGCAAAATAGTGTTTTCAGTAGAGCATGTGGCGGTGCATTTGAAGCCTTAAGAGTAATAAAGTCTCAGGACAGTCCTCTCCTTGGGCTCTGGGACTCCTGATACCTTCACAAAATGTTTTTTATTTTTCTTCTCAGGGGAAGCAGATGGAATGAACAACTTCTGTCTATTATCTGCTATTTTTAGGCAAGGTAAACCATCATCTGTGTGCCCCCTTTAGAGAAGTTGAGCTAATTTAGCAAAAACAAACAACAAACAAAAACAGTACAACAAATGTCCTGTTAAAAGTCTGTTTTCATTAGAAATTATATTCACTTGTTTCTGTTTGTTTTAGAAAAGAGGTAAATGCTGAAAGAGGGTGCGATTTGGTGTTGCCATTGAGCCACAATTTCTGTCCCAGGGAAATAATTATCCTCTTTGGAATTGTCAGTCAGTTGCTCCCACAGAGCTTGGCTATGGGCTGTGAGCAAAACCCAGCTATACCAGCTTGAAGCCTAGAAATTTTGGATACATTGAAGAATCCAATCTTCTGCAAAGGGTCGGAAGCAGTGTGGGTAATAGTTAAATATTGTATTGGATAGGGACATTAAAACGTTTGGCTGTTCTCTCTCTTTTTATCTGAAACTTCCAGAATCAAAAGGTCTAGCCAAGAAAGGAAATCATTCCTAATTTTGGCAGGTTCTGTAATAGGAAGAAAGAATCAAGTCTAGCTAGCCAAATCTAGCCTAATAACCAATGGGACAACTTCCAAATGTGGAAGTCAGTGCCTACCTACCATTGTTCTCCAGGACAATATAAAATAGTTCAATAAGCCATTTAGCTTAGGTGTTAGAAAAACGCAGCATCCTTAGTATAGTTGGTACCTGAAAAACATTTGCTATTTCAAGGCTTGATAGAGATACTGGCATATGCCTTCCTCAATCTCAATGTAATATATAGTACCTCATGGCCTATCAAAGAGAAAAATCTCCAGAGTAAAGGGAGCACTTGTGTAATAGGGTATTCTTCTCCATATAGGACAGAGATAGGTCAGTTATGGTACTTTTGCAAAGTGAACCTGAAATTACAAGCTAAATTCTGACTTATATCTAATGATAGGAAACAATTCGCATTTAGATTTCCTTTCTGGTATGTTGTCCTTTTGTCAGCTCTTTACTGACATAAAACCTCATTGCAGACATGCTAGAGGTTCATTTTTTGCCTAGCTTAGCAAAAATATGTAAAAAGACTATTCTCTCCTATTTGTTTTATATTTCCTTTCAGAATAAACTGCATCTGCCCAAACAAATTCAAGTTGTAAAAAGCAGAAAATCAAGAAGCTATACCTAATCATTGAAATCAGCTTCTAGAATTATAAATATGGAAACTGCTTGTTGTTATCAAACAAGAAATGGTCATGACCATTTACAACAGCCGCTGCTCTACAACTCTGATTTACCAGTCACTAAAACCCCTGTTTATAAGTGTCACATTTATATGCGCAGAATTGAACTTCTCATTCCAGTTTATACTGCCAGTGAGTTTTGGAAATGGGAATCATGAATTTTTTGAGAGGTTTTTTATTTATTTAGCATGGTATGTTACAGAGTAAATGGTAAATAGATGGAAATAAAATGTAGTTTTACTTTAAGTTAGCCATTTAGGTGATCAAAACATCAATTCAATTGAGTTTGGCATATTGTTCTAATGTGATTATTATTAACAAAATTTAGAGTCTTGGATTTTTACACTAGTTGTAAAGTGTTTAGTGAGTCCTCGTGTTCTCAGGAGGCTGTTTTACTGGAAACTAACCCGCCATTACTGGAAGTAGAAGACCAACTCTTAATTCATTATCTCAACAAATCATAACAAGGATGAAAATAACTCTACCATATGTTTTGAGAATACCTTATGGTTTAATTATACCTATTATTTCATGTATAAGAGATACATGAGATCCTTAGATGAAATCAGTGATATAAGTAAGACAGATATTTTGGAGGAGGAAAATGAAGTCTAAAGAGTAAGTGGCTAGTCCAGAGCTGAAGAACTAATTAGGGGTAGGGCCAGAGAAAGGACAGAAACCCCATCTTTCTAGTTCTACTCATTGCACTCTTATAGGGTGCTGACATTCTTTAAAGGATCTTCTTGAGAGAGGTGATGGTGGTGGATATTCTAGCTGTAGTATAAGCTAATCTCACAGCCACAAACCTCTGGATTCAGAATTCTAGCACCAAGGAATATTACTGAGAGAAGGAGAAGAGGCAGCGTTGAGGGTAGCTGAATGAGAGAGACGGGTCTTGTATCTAGGAACTTTGAGACTAGGGTCCTGGCAGAGGGTCTCCTTCAGGAACCTATGTAAATACAGCCAGAAAGTCTGGTTGTATACCTACCTGCCCCTTTGCCCCTTTCCTCTAGCGTCTTTTTCTCTGTGGATTCATAATGTAATTCAATTGAAACCTTTCTTTCTGGAGGGCTGCAGCAGCAGCCTCTCTTAAAGATTTCTGAGCCATAATAGGTTGTTCCATGCATTTTGATGCTTGATTAGAATCTTAGAATGTGGGAACTGCAGTTTACAGACAATCTAGCTAGGTCCTTGTTTGAAAATGAATGCAGTGAGAAGACTGCTGTGTTGATATGAAAGCTGATAAATAGTAAACCTGGAACCAGAACCCCTAATTCAGATCTCTTTCCACTGCATGATTGCTCTTTTGTTTCATTTCGATAAGGCAGTCAGCACACCAAGAGTTTAAGCTTTTTAAAGCCAAGGACTTCTTAGAACCTCCCCCCCTTAATGCCTACCCCATGCTGAATATGTTCCAGGGTAACAAAAGTGTACATTGAATTGACTTTGGAGCAAAAGAATCTGTTAGCTGTGCTGACTATGGCTCCCTCTGATTAAGTAGGGGGATGTTTGTTTCAATGTGAGAAATTCCTTTTCTGGGCTCTGCTATGAATATGCTATGCCAGTGGTGGCTGTGGGTGGTGGGTACAAAGTCAAGATACTAAGCCACAGGACTGCATTCTGACCCAGAATAGTTAGTTGGTCATTATGATAGCATTCACCTGAGCTCTCCTGACTTGCTTGGGTTATTGGATATGTAAAACATACATTGATAAAGGAACCTCTTTAAGAGGCAAGGCACTTGTGCGTGTTTTATTTCAAGTATATTCCAAGGAGCTTGTTTAGTCCTATAAATAATCATTGATCCTCAGTGCCTCACAGCATGTATTATTTCCATTTTGCAGATGAATCAAGAAAGTCAGACTTGTTAGGTTTTCCACCTAAGGCAAATGTGTTAATATTGTGTAAATAGAAGCTCTGAAAGACAATGGGATAGGAGGCCTTTTTCTGCACCTTTACCTTTGCCAGACATATGTACAAGGAACATCCCATGACTTAAAGATAGAAAACCCTAACCTGTATTACTTTAATACACCAACGTCAACAAAGGCCCAGAATCAAAGCTGGGCTGTGTTATCTTTTCTAACCAGAAGCTCTCTCAAGAAAGTACAGCTGGAAAAGCAAAGTAATTTCCAGTTGTGTCTTTGAAGTTGTCTGGTGTGATATGATGGATGTTTAATACATGCTGTGGATATTTTTAAAATAGGGAGCAATCATAAAATCATAACATAGAGCAACTTTTGAACAACAACATTTAAGGTCTAAAAAAAAACCCTACATAGCATTTTTTTTCTTCCTTTACTTTATAGCTGTGTCTGTAGTCTGATGCTGATGAATTTTCTTTTTAAACTAGAGATTTAGACTCATTGGTAGTGAAACTGTTACATATTATGTGATTTTTATACCATGAAAAATTTCTCGATTTCATGAGATCTTTCATTTCCCTATGTGTGTGTGTGTGTGTGTGTGCGTGCGTGTGCGTGCGCGCGCATGCACGTAAATGCGTGTTAGTGGTTAACATGTCTATAAGAAAAGCTATTTGCCTCTCTCCCTCTGGTAGCTGGTCGAACGAAACTTGTCACTAATGGCTACTTTTAAGCAGTGACTATATGAATTTATTGTTCTATTTTTGGTCAGGCAGTTGCTATGTGGTTTAGTGGCTTTGTTTAGTATTAGGGCTCCTAGATGAGCAATACAGCAAGAGAAGAGTGTCTGGCACATAGTGTGTAGTAGGTACCCAGTAAATGTGTATTGAATGAATTAATTAAATAGAGAATGAATGACTCCAGATCATACCACAAAGCCTGGACTAAACCAGTTAGTGAACAATTTTAGAATGTTAGAGGTAAGTGACATTAGAAGTCACTTAATCTACTTTCCTGTTGGGAGATATCAAATGAATTAGATCTATTTGCTCTAGAAAATATTTTAAAGGAGAGATTTAGAGTATTGGAAAGGATACCAGATTTATAGTTCGATGATCTGGCTTCCATAGACAGCTAAACTCTTGCTTTTTTGTATGACCTTGGATACGTTCCTTAGTTTTTCGCTTCTAAAGTATGGATAAAATGAGATAATGGATGTAAAATTGTGGGGTGGGGTTCAAGTATTTAATCTGCCTAGCACCCTTCTTCACTTCTAGCAACAGACTGCACACCCATCCTGACCACAGGGCATATGGCCTGGTACCTCACCTCATCTGAACACAGTGATTGGCTCAGGAGGTGGTCACATGATTGAAACAGGGCCAACTAGAGTCTTCCTGTGGGATTTTTCAATGCCATCCTGACAGGCGTTTTTCTCTAGTATGGTATTGCTGTAAGGATCAGCGTTTGGAGCTACTGGTAGCCAATTGCTACCTTCCGACTCCCTCTATTGGAGAGAATATGATAGCATACAAAGAGTATCAGTGCTATGTTTGAATATTTATGTACTCACCACAGTTTGTGTTGAAACTTAATCCCCAGTGAACAGTATTATGAGGTAGGGCCTTTAGGAGATGATTAAGTCACCAGGGCAGAGCCCTCAAGAATGGGACTAGTGACCTTATAAGAGGGCTGGAGGGAACTAGCTAGGTCCTTTTGTCCCTCTTTCTCTCCTACCATGCGAGGACACCTAGATGGTGCCATCTATGAGAACAGGCCTTCGCCGGAGACTGAACCTGCGAATACCTCGATGTTGGGCCTCCCAGTTTCCAGAACTATGAGATAATAAATTTGATTTATAAAATGCTCACTCTGTCGTATATTGTTATAGCAGCACAAATCGATGAAGACAAGCAGATCTAAGGCAGAGATGCAAGGCAGATGGGGTCTAAGTTTCTGATTTAGTTTTCTTTGAGGCAAACCTAACTCCTATGTTTACAGCAGTTTTTTGTTTTGTTTTGCTTTGCTTAAGGTAGCTTGTCAGGTTTCTATGATTTGCTGACTGAAAGAGTTTCAACTCATCTAGTAACCAGTGAATTGAAAAAAACAAGATTCAAGGGGTCTAACCAGAAAGCATTTTTATTTTCCTATTTTCCAATTAGAGTGTATTCAGTAGAGGAAGCTCCTCCCTACCCCAAAATGAAAACTTGGGTGGTCCTATGATTTTTCTCTTAATTTTAAGTAATATACTTTATTACAATGACTTTTAGTTGGAAATTATCAGAGTAGAATGGCCAATTCCATGAGGTACTCAAAACTTCAAAGTTGATATGAGTTAAATCTTCTCCCAGTTTCCCTTCCCCAGTTAAGACCTTTGACAGTTAGAAACTCTGTCTTCCTTAAGTTTCCACTTGCTAGTTGCTGATCCTGCAGGGTCTAAGCTGGAAAAGGAAGGAAAAGAGGGAGAGGAAAAGAGAGGGGGCAGGAAAGTGCTTACTTGGCTGATAGTGACACATGGCTTCATGCTTCAGTGTCTAGTTAAGTGTTTAAAGCTGACTCTTCCTGCTGGTCACTGTGAGTTTCTGCCATGCCTACCCTCTTCATTTTATTTACTTGTAGTGTAGTCAGTGCATTTTCCCCATATCCTGGTTTTCAGCAATCTGTTCCATAAATGCTCCATTGTGAGGTCCTTTCACTGCTCCAGGCAGTCCTCTGGCAGGATCGAAGTGGCTTCAGGCCAGCTCTCTCCCCCTTGTGGCTCGCATCTGTCCACAGGGAGCACTCATGATCCTGGACAGACAAGCACTGGGAGTGCAGGCCAGTCTAGCACAGTCCCCACCACCTTCCCACCTCTCCTTCAGCTTCTGCTCTTCCAGCTTTTCCAGGCAGGAGTCACACACATATCCCCTCCAAACTGTAGGGGCACATGCCAGGCTTCCTGAACAGCCCTTTTGAGGCCCCTCTCTCCTGACTTGCCCACGTCACCATCACTCATCCCTCTGTGTTACATGTGAGAAGGGGGACACTGTGCTCCCAAGAAACCTTCCTCAGAAACTCTCCCTTGATTTCCATACTTTTGACTCTTTCATTTTGAATGTGGGTTAGGGCTTTTTAGAACCACAAAACAGGTCGCAAAGTGTTTCTTTTACAAATGTACACGTGGGCCTGGAACTTCAGAGTGGAATTTCATGAACATGTCTTGGTATCTGTGTTGAAATTTCTAATTTAGCAGTCCCTTAAAAAAAAAAAAGTGTTTTGTAAACTGTGAAGTGCTACACAAATGTGGGGAATTAACTCCCTTTGCCCTGAAGACATACAAGGACTGAATGAAACAAAAGAGAGAATAAAATGTGGTTGTACTTCTTGAAGAAGAAAACACTTGCAAGAGATTTATGGGGGCTAGCCTGAGTGACTTGTTTCTGTATCTCGTTAGTTCATACTTTATTACTTAGTTGAGGTAGTATTGTTCATAATACACAGCTTCCAATTTGTACTGCTTGTAACCGAATTCCGGTTTAGCTGCTCCCCACCTGAAAAACCAAATACATGAGAGGTGAGATATGGTGCAAGGAAGGCAGTTTTATTCAAATGCCAACAGAAGACATGACCAGGCTGAAGCCTCAAAGGAACCATCTCAAAATTTTAGGCGGAGTGAAGGAGTTTAAGAGGGAAGCTTCGTATGGGAAACACGCAGGAGTGGTGCATGCTGTGGGTCTGCATGTCACTTTCTGATGGCCGTCTTCAGTTCTTACACGCCTGGAGTGAGAGCTGGTGCCATTTTGGTTGCGGCTGGGTTGTAGATTCACTGCCTTGAGGTACCTCTAACTGGGGGAGAATTCCATACCTAAGTCTTCATGCCTGGTTCATTTCAAGATTACCCCTTGAATTTCTAAGCAAGCATATGGTTAGATAAGTGCAGAGTGCCAGGGAGTGGGAAAGAGAGGGAAACAGTGAATTTTAAGGTACATTTTAAGGCTGTAGTTTAAGACAGGGGACAAAAAAAGTTTTAAAATGCATTTCTAAGCTGAGAGGTTCAGTTACATGCTCTTCTAACTAAATGTATAAATGACACTAATTAAGACAGTAGGGGACAAACATTTGAAATAAAAAATATGAGTTGCTCAGGCAGCCAGTATTTCTCTGCTTTTTGGTTTAGGCAGCCTGAAGTTTGTACAGACACATACCATGTCCACATACTCAGTGTAGGTTTTTGTGGTTATGGTATTTTGCCTGTGTGCACAAGCTGATTGACCATCCTGTACCACACCAGAAAAGTACTTTCTCCACTCAAAGGTTGGAGAAATTGCTAGAGAACAGGAGAGATCAAATGGGAAGCTGCACCCATCACCTGGAATCCACACGTCCTCATTTATCCATTTAGTTCATTCAGCAATTATTTACTGAACACCTACTATTTTTCCAAGGCACTATGCTAGCCAGTAGGGCTATAGTGGTGAAATAGAGTTTGCTATCTAATGGGGGAAACAAGACATCACACATTGTCATGCCCAATTATAAATTGTGCTAAGTGGCAAGAAGAAAAAGAAAAAGATGGGAGAAGAGCAGGGATCTCCTAACTTAGTTTGGTATGTGTGGGGAAGGCATTCTTGGCAGAGGATACATAAAGGGTGGGTCTCACTATTTGTCCTTGTTTTCAGTTCACATATGTTCCTAATTAAAATTAAATACCATTAGTCAGTATCTAAATATCCTTAGGTTAGGATGTAGTATTTTCCAGGGTTTTGATGCAAACCTATTCTTCCAAAATGTTTTCTTCTTCAGATGGTGCTTTATACTTTTCTTAAGTAGAGCTAAGAATTTGTTTTAAAAAGGCTACTTTGAGAAACATCACTGTTTATTGGAATATAAATTTGTGTATAATACTTTCTCTAAGTAGTCAATTCTGCCTTCTCAGAGACTTTTTTAATGCCAAACTTGAAGAGCTCTTGCAGAGGAGTCATTCTTTTGTTTTTTTGCTCTTTCTCATTCTTTATGGTCAGTTCTTCCACTAATTTATTTTATTTCAAAGCAGGGATCCAAGGGAAGGAGGAGTGAGGAAAACCTTTTTAGCTATGTATGTTTTCTCAAAAAAAAATTTACCTAAGGTTTTCTTCAAGAAAGCAATAAAGTGAATATGGTTTTGAGCATGTTATGAACACAGAGCAATTTGACTTGACTGAAATAGGATGGATTGAGAAAAGCCTGTATTTCCACTGTGATATAATATCTGCTTAAAGTATGGGCTACAGGGAATGCTTGGCACCTCTTCAAGCTATCAGAAGTTTTATTTTGATACAAATTATTTCCCAAATGCTGCATGACATAGGAGACATAGTGCTGGACAGTGCATTAAGAAACTTTGTTTCTGACTTCTATTTTGTCACCTATAGTCTTATTTGGGTAAGTTGTTTAGTTGCTGTATGCCTCAGTTGCCTTAGCTACAAGCTGAGGGTGGTGATAATACCTGCCTCACTGCTTCTCAGAATTGTTGGGGAAATACATGAAGTAATCTTATAGGATGAAGACTCCTTTAAATGATCAAAATCTTCACATTTGATAAATGATTATTATTGCCATTTGTCTGTTTTTGGGTATGATATTCATGGCTGATCTTAGTCTATCAAATCATTTTCCCCAAGTTCATTTATCCTTAGACCAAGATTCATGGCATCTTACCTGTGTGTCTAGCTGGGTAAATGTTTTATGACATGGCTGCCACTAATACAGATATTCCAGGAGGTCATGTATATTAGAAAAACGTGTCTTTTGAAATAGAACTGAATTTGAATTTCAGCCTCATCATTCACTGCTAAACGACCTGGGGAATTTAATCTTTTTGTGCTTCAGTTTTCTCATTGGGAAATGGCTGTGATAATTAAATGATAAACACTGTGAAAATGCTTAACACACTGCCAGGTGTTATGGTAGGCTTTTAATATGTGCTAGTTCTCTTTCCCTTTAAAACAAGCAGAATGGAATCCAGTATTTGCAACACAGGTTATTTTCTTTATAAGAGATCCATGAAGGGAGTATGATTAACACAAATTCAGTTTCTATTTACATTTTGCTGTAGTTGAGAAAGTGAGGCACATCTGTACTTGTTTTCTGATAAAATCATAATTTCTTAGATAAAATTGCCTTGTATTATATGCCATTTTTTTTAGAGAACTGAGTATTAGCTGTTTGTTGATAGAAATGGCACAGAAAGCAATTTGTTGTTTTTATTTTATTATAATTTGAAATGCTATATTTTGAGTGAATTTTTTTTTTGTTATTTACGTAGGACTTATATCTACCTATTTCTAGAAAAGTTTTTGAACTGTTCACAAAATTAAGCCCAATAGAAAACAAGGCAATTAAAAATGAAATTGAAACAAAAATAGGGTAAGCATAAAGGTATCTTCAGACACCTGATGATAAGTGGTATAAAATGGAAGGACAAGAGCTCTTCTTGTTTGTTGCATTTCTTGTTGTTCATTATCATTTTTCATTATCCCTGTTTGAGCATCCCCCACCTCCCTCTCTTCCTTGCCTCCTCATTATTTGGAGGAATGGGAGACATGGGAGCTAGGGAAGTTGGTGGGTAATAAGCCACAGCTGACCAAGAATTTGCAGCATGCAAATAGAAAGCATACATTCTTTTTGTTGCCTTGACTTTTTTTTTTTTAATTCACAGCTTCAAATATTGCATCTGCAAATATATTGTCTCTTGCCTGGGGTATAACCTTTCTTCCTGTCTTTATTTGAAATGTTTCTGAGCCAGGAATGATGGAATGAATGACTCAATCTGATTACATAAAAAAAGATTTTGATACATAGCTTTGTATTTGTGAATTTAAAATGACTGAATTTATCTTTAATAAAAGTGCCTCCTGAGAAATGTGTTTAATGGAGGTTTATGCTGTTATGGATATTTCAACCTAATAGTGTAATTACCATATGTCATTAATCCTATTTCTACAGGGAATTTGTCCCCTTGTTTCTTTTAAAGCTAGAGGGTAACAAGAGCAAATGTTTTTAACTTTAGCACATTATTCATTTTAGATGTAAGTTGACAAGTTGAAGATATGAAAATAAGAAATCTGGATGATCAATTTTTTAAAAAGTGGCAACCATTAAGCTGTGTTCAAAAAGAATGCCTCATGGCATCCCCCTCCTGTGCTGATATTAGTGTAAAACACTTATTTTTAGCTTTTGATTTTCTGTGCTCCCCACCCCAAATACTTTTTTGGTAGGCCTCCTGCTGTGACCAAAGTCAAATAAGTGGAAATGAGGGAAGGTTAACATTTAAGTGATAAATTTAAGAGAAGATTACACATTCAGTGTTTGCTTGCTCAGTCTTCTGAGAGAAAGAGGTGGTGTGATCTGTTGTTTTTTTCTCTTCCCTTCTTTCCATTATTCCCATCCAACATTATGTTATAATGAAAGTAATATATGTTCATTGTAGAAATCCTTAAAAATACAGAAAACTTAGAGAAGGAAAAAAATGTCTCATGTAATTCCTTCACTCCAAAAGAACAACTATTGCTAGAGGTTCTGTAATGATATACATCATTATTTTATGCATATATGGATTCAGGCTGTAGGACAGCTTGGTGAACTTTTTTTTTCCAGTTACCAATATACTATAAATATTTTACATCATTGGCCGGGTGCAGTGGCTCACACCTGTAATCCCAGCACTTTGGGAGGCCGAAGTGGGTGGATCACTTGAGCCTAGGAGTTTGAGACACGCCTGGGCAATGTGGTGAAACCCTGTCTCCACAAAAAGTACAAAAATTTGCTGGATATGGTGGTGCATGCCTGTAGTCCCAGCTGCTTGGGAGGCTGAGGCAGGAGGACCACTTGAGTCCAGGGGGGTTGCAGTGAGCTGAGATTGTGCCATCACACTCCAGCCTGGGCAACAACAGAGTGACACTCTGTCTCAAAAAAAAAAGATCACATCATTAAATCATGTTTTAATGGCTGTATGATGTTTTCTCTACAATATAAATGTATCTAGATATGGACAAAACATAGTTACATGAAAACAAAAGCCTTTAAGCCCCAAACCCTGAAGGTAAGTCACAAATCATATAACCCTGGCATGAGTGAAGACCTGTGTGTTACTCAGCAGTGGCTGAGCTGCTTGGGACCATCCAGAGAGCTTGTAGAACCAAATATGTAGTCGTCAGGGACTGCTCAACTTCTTTTGATTATAAATAATAACTCCTGTTAACTTTATATTGGCAATTGTTTAATTCTGTCACCCTGAAGATGTAGTTTCGATTCTGATCTGTTGCTCTTATCTCCACCCTAACTTAATCTTCTTTAAAGAATGGTATAATTTACAACAGTCAGGGTAACCTTTCTGGAGGTAAGGAGGCTAGGAGAGTGACTGGGTGCGTACATCTGTATGTGTATATAAATGCCCCCTTCTTGTTTGGTTTAGCATAGTTAAAAAAGTAGTGATCCATCAGATAGAGTTTGCTGGGCCAGAAATACTGCAGTGCAGCAGAGACCTTGGAAAAAGTGAGATAGCATATGCTTAAGCAATACTGCACTAGTGTTGCATAAATGGTGGAGGCTGCGGCTCCCCTGTTTGTTTTTCCCAGCAGACTTGTCCTGAGGCGAAGCTGTGCTACCTGAAAGGAGAAGCTTCAGTGATGGAGTCCTAATTGTACCAAATCAAAGTTCATTGAGTCAGCTAGGTCATTAACTCGTTGATATTTAATTACTAGCTGCTTCACTGCTGGAAAATGTCATTAAGCCGTTGTACTAAATCTGCTTTAAAGAATGCATTTTCCTTTTTGAATGGTTCATGTTTTGTAGTCTTGTAGAAAAATCAGAAAAACATCTGAACAATCCAGTAAAGCTGGCAATCCCAGCTGCTGTGTCCTCAGCCACCATTGGTCTCTCAGGCCTGCATCTGATTGTGGGCAGGCCCTGCAGAAGAAACACATCTGGAGATTCGGCAATAAACTAAGACTTACCTGGGTCAAGGGTGTGGAAGAGCTTTGAAGTGGGTCGTTGTTCTAGATGTTTTATCTGTTTGGGTCTCTCCCACCTCTTCTGTTAACAATTATAAGGGTTATGTGGGGGAACTTGGAGAGAATTTTTTTTTTCCCCAGGCTGGAGTGCAGTGGCACAATCTCGACTCACTGCAACCTCCGCCTTCCAGGTTCAAGCGATTCTCCTGCCTCAGCCTCCTGAGTAGCTGGGATTACAGGTGCCCACCACCACGCCCGGCTAATATTTTTTGTATTTTTAGTGGAGATGGGGTTTCACTATGTTAGCCAGGCTGGTCTCAAACTCCTAACCTCGTGATCCACCCACCTCGGCCTCCCAAAGTGCTGGGATTACAGGCATGAGCCACTGTGCCTGGCCAGGAGACTTTTTAATCAAATTTCTTGACATTATTTTAATGGTCTGAGATTCATTCAACCCTAGGTAGCAATCTAATGTTGTGAAGAATGTATGCAACAGCTTCTCTAAAACAGCTGTAAGTGCATAAAGTTTCTCGGATGTTTAGTATTCCCAAGGGTGTATTTTGAAATATGGTTTCAGAATCAACAAAATTGTTTCTTAATGTACTGTTTTGCTTGTGTAATTATGCCAGTTAGTTAATGGCAGAAACATTATAATGGAAAACAACCTTAAATATGAAGTATTTAAAACAGTTGTGAGATTTTGTTTCCCAAATGGACTTAATAAATCCTACCTGATATTATATTTCCTTTTTAGGAGAGTTTAATCCATTTGTCGTCATTATAATTATCTTATTGATCCTGACCTTTTAAATTACTTTCTTATGGTTTATCATGTCACACAGGTGGAGCCTCATATGTATTGATAGTTATACAGTGTTTGATATAATAATTCTAAAAGTAGAATGAATTTCACTTGAAAAAACCAATCTAGTGTGAATTTTGTTCAGGCTGAGCGGGTTTCTTTCCCCTCTTAATTTTAGTTTAATTGAGAGAATACATCTGTGGTTCTTAGCTTAGTGCCTGGCCTATAGTAAATGCTCAATAACCGTCAGCACTTGTGAACATTTTTATTATATTCACTAAAATATTTCAGTTCATTTGTTTTTTACCTCTAGTAGAAGCTGGTATGCTTTTGTTTGAAATAATGAAATCTCTCAGTATTTATATTTACATAGTCTTACACAATTAAAAGAAAAGTAAACTCTATGAATATATTCTAATAAAATACGTTTCCCAGGAGCTGGTTAAATAATTTAAATTCATTTAATAGTCATCTCAGAATTATAACTTTTCTCATTTATCATCCATTTTATTTAATGATGAAAGAATACAAAACCATGTAAGAGGCCAGGCGTGGTGGCTCACGCCTGTAATCCCAGCACTTTGGGAGGCTGAGGTGGGTGGATCACAAGGTCAGGAGATCAAGACCATCCTGGCTAACAGGGTGAAACCCCGTCTCTACTAAAAATACAAAAAATTAGCCAGACGTGGTGGTGGGCGCCTGTAGTCCCAGCTACTTGGGAGGCTAAGGCAGGAGAATGGCATGAACCCAGGAGGCTGAGCTTGCAGTGAGCCGAGATCGCGCCACTGCACTCCAGCCTGGGTGACAGAGCAAGTCTCCGTCTCAAAAAAAAACAAAAAACAAAAAACAAACAAACAAAACATGTAAGAGAAATCTTTGACCCAATTGGAATAAAATGGCTATTGTCTGCTTAAAGCATTTCAATGCTTTGTACTATTTTTTGAAGTCCATATAGTCAAGGTCCCAAATGTTTTATGCCCTCAAAGCACAATGAATTTACATGAAGAGTCACTAAATGGTAGGAACTGTTGTGTCTCAAGTTCAGGATACTTTCTAAGTGTATGTGTTTTAATATTTTTATTATTGTTCAACATTACTTTTTGCAGGTATGATCTACATAAAATTAAGAGAGTGTGGTTTAAGTTTGTTGATACTTAAATTTATTTTAAAAGACTGACCTCAAGAGTGCTTGTCCTGAAATGTTAAGTGATTTTAAATTCTTGATAGGAAGTCCATACAAGTATTTTTCCTGCTTCATCCTTATATCATTACTTCTTATTATCACCACACTCTTATAATGTTGAAAATCAGTCACATTTGGTCTCATTTTTGCTGCCTTAGTTAAGGCTCAGCAAGAGAATTGCTATTATTTAATAAATAGATTTGTTCATTGTCCCTAATGTGACAGCAGGAATTTGAAGCCATCTGATTTCTTAGCTGGTTCTGTTAATTCAATAATGGCGTCCTACTACCAACTGATGGCTGCTAAGTCACCAAAGCTAAGGTAGAGGTGTTGGAGAAACTTCCGTTTCAATGATACATGAAAATATGAGCATATTTGTAACCTTCTGGATAATCAATATGCTTCTATCCTTTAGGTTTATGGAGTTTAACCTTGCGAGATTACCACTTAATATGATAGCTGCAAAATAGATTGTCATATTAGGAGCCTGTGAACTATTATCTTTACTCTGCTATTAGTCTATCAATATTATGGTTAATTCTCAGGATTTCCAGATTATATAGGCTTTGCAGATTCTTTGTAGCCTGCCTTAAATTACTCATTAACACCTCCGAAGTAGGGTAGTTTGGTAGAGGGAAATAAATAACTAAAATTTATGGAATAAAATTTAAGACATAAAGTGATTTTGAAGATCTTCTAATCCAATCCCTTTAGCCCACTCCCCTGTTTTACAGGTAAGGGGACTGACAGCCAGTGAGGTTAAGTAATGTGTACAAGAGCACACAGTCACAGAACTGGCTGATTGCTGTGTGACTGGGAACCCAGATTTCCTAGTCTTGTTCAGGACTCCTTCCAGAAGTTGGAATAACAGAACTTTATTGCCCTGCATTTTACTATGGAACAGAATGAACTGTGCAAAAACAGCATGCCTTACCCACTTCTAAAGACTTTTGAAACAGGTGAGTTGTGGGGCGCAACTGTTATTAGAGCAGCTCCAAGGCAAGAACCCAAGGACAGAGCAATGACAGGGCTCTGAAAAATAGGTATAGAAATAGCACATATGTTTGAGAGTCATAATGAGGAATAAATAAGATAATGCATTTATGCACTTAGCGTAGTGTTCAACATATAGAGAGTTTTCAATAAATATTAGCTATTGCTATTTATCATAGAATTAAAATTCTTAAGTATCCTTATAGAGTTCCAGCCTGCTGTTAGTTCTGATCTTCCGCCATTTCCTTTCCCTTCCCCTCCAAACACACGTACATACTCTTCCCTCCAGCTCTATAACTCTGCAGCTCTGTAGCCCAATTCTAAACCCCAAATATCCATGTTTTTCATGCCTTTATGTCTTTATATAGAATGTACTCTCCACCTGGATTGCTACCCAGCCCATTATTCTGCTCCGCAACTCCTTACATCCCTCAAAATTTGGCTCACATATCCCTTTGGACATGGTATGATATGGTTTGGCTGTGTCCCCACCCAAATCTCAACTTGAGTTGTATCTCCCAGAATTCCCACGTGTTGCGGAAGGGTCCCAGGGAGAGGTAATTGAATCATGGGGCCCTGTCTTTCTCATGCTATTCTCATGATAGAGAATAAGTCACATGAGATCTGATGGGTTTATTAAGGGTTTCCGCTTTTACTTTTTCCTCATTTTTCTCTTGCCACCAGCATGTAAGAAGTGCCTTTCATCTCCTGCCATGATTCTGAGGCCTCCCCAGCCATGTGGAACTGGAAATCCAATTAAACCTCTTTTTCTTCCCAGTCTCAGGTATGTTTTTATCAGCAGCATGAAAATGGACTAATACAGTAAATTGGTATCAGTAAAGTGGGGTGTTGCTGAAAAGGTACCTGAAAATGTGGAAGTGACTTTGGAACCGAGTAACAGGCACAGGTTGGAACAGTTTGGAGGGCTCAGAAGAAGACAGGAAAATGTGGGAAAGCCTGGAACCTCCTAGAGACTTGTTGAATGGCTTTGACAAAAATGCTGACAATGATATGAACAATAAGGTCCAAGATGAGGTGGTCTCAGATGGAGACGAGGAACTTGCTGGGAACTGGAGCAAAGGTGATTTTTATTATGTTTTAGCAAAGAGACTGGTGGCATTTTGCCTCCGCCCTAGAGATTTGTGGAACTTTGAACTGGAGAAAGATGATTTAGGGTATCTGGCAGAAGAAATTTCTAAGCAGGAAAGCATTCAAGAGGTGACTTGGGTACTGTTAAAGGCATTCAGTTTTATAAGGGAAGCAGAGCACAAGCATTTGGAAAATTTGGAGCCTGACTATGCAATAGAAAAGAAAAACCCATTTTCTGGTGAGAAATTCAAGCCAGCTGCAGAAATTTGCATAAGTAGCAAGGAGCCTAATGTTCATCCCCAAGACCATGGGGAAAATGTCTCTAGACCATGTCAGAGACCTCATGGCAGCCCCTCCCATCACAGGCCTGGAGGCCCGGGAGGAAAAAGTGGTTTTGTGGGCTGGGCGCAGGGTCCCTGTGCTGTGTGCAGCCTAGGGACTTGGTGCCTTGTGTCCCAGCCACTCCAGCCTTGGCTGAAAGGGGCCAATGTACAGCTCGGGCTGTGGCTTCGGAGGGTGGAAGCCCCAAGCCTTGGCAGCTTTCATGTTGTATTGAGCCTAGGGGTGCGCAGAAGCCAAGAATTGAGGTTTGGGAACCTCTGCCTAGATTTCAGAAGATGTATGAAACTGCCTGGATGCCCAGGCAAAAGTTTGCTGCAGGCGTGGGGCCCTCATGGAGAACCTCTGCTAGGGCAGTGTGGAAGGGAAATGTGGCATTAGAGCTCCCACACAGAGTTCCTACTGGGACCCTGCCTAGTGGAGCTGTGAGAAGAGGGCTGCCATCCTCCAGATCCCAGAATGGTAGATCCACCCACAGCTTGAACTGTGGGCCTGGAAAAGCTGCAGACACTCAACACCAGCTCATGACAGCAGCCAGGAGGGAGGCTATACCCTTTAAAACCACAGGGGTGGAGCTGCCTAAGACCATGGGAACCCACCTCTTGCATCAGCGTGACCTGGATGTGAGACCTGGAGTCAAAGATCGTTTTGGAGCTTTAAAATTTGACTGCCCTGCTGAATTTGGGACTTGCATGGACTCTGTAACCCCTTTGTTTTGGCCAATTTCTCCCATTTGGAATGACTGTATTTACCCAATACCTGTACCCACATTGTATCTAGGAAGTAAATAGCTTGCTTTTGATTTTACAGGCTCATAGGCAGAAGGGACTTGCCTCGTCTCAGGTGAGACTTTGGACTGTGGACTTTTGGGTTAATGCTGAAATGAGTTAAGACTTTGGAGGACTGTTGGGAAGGCATGTTTGGTTTTGAAATGTGAGGACATGAGATTTAGAGGGGACAGGGGCAGAATGACATGCTTGGCTGTGTCCCTACCCAAATCTCAACTTGAATTGTATCTCCCAGAATTCCCATGTGTTGTGAGAGGGACCCCGCAGAGGTAATTGAATCATGGGGGCCAGTGTTTCTCATGGTATTCTCATGATAGTGAATAAGTCTCACGAGACCTGATGGGTTTATCAGGGGTTTCTGCTTTTGCTTCTTCCTCATTTTTTCTCTTGCCACTGCCATGTAAGAAGTGCCTTTCCCCTCCCGCGATGATTCTGAGGTCTCCTCAGCCATGTGGAACTCTTAAGTCCAATTAAGACTCTTTTTCTTCCCAGTCTCGGGTATGTTTTTATCAGCAGCATGAAAATGAACTAATACATGGTGTTTCTGAGGCTTCTCAATTAGAGAATTTGTTGTATTATTTTGTAGTTATTTATTTACAAGTCATCTGCTTCCTTAAGTGATAAGCTCTTTGAGGTCAAGTACTGTTTCTTTTAGCTCTATGTGTTTATTAGCAAATGCTTGGAGTACGATAAACATTTGATAAATGTTAAAAGAATGAATACTTGAATGAATTATTAGGCTTACTTTGTAACTCAGTTCAGCCAGCCCTCTGCTTTTCATAGCTGTGAATTTTGACAGTTGCTCATGTAGTAGACAAGAGGACAACCACGCTTACTACTTTATTCATTTTCCCTTTCGAGTGTCATAGATGTTAAACATTTCACTTGATTCATGGGTGCCATCTGGTGGAGGAAAGGCTAACTACAGATGCATGCTTCACCAAAACATGTAGAAGTTTAAGATTATTACTGCTCATTAATATGGAAGTTGTCACTGTTTCCTGGTAGTTTCCAGAAGTGTAGTCAGGAAAAACTCCTTGGCGACTGCTTTTTTCATTCCTGTACATTGGTTTCTTATTTTTATTTTGTAGAGATGGGAGTCTTGCTATATTGCCTAGGCTGGTTTCAAACTCCCTGACTCAAGCAATCCTCCCACCTTGGCCTCCCAAAGTGCTGAAATTACGGATGTGAGCCATCACACCCAGCCTTAATTTTAGGAAGTTGTTCATTCATGAATAATGTTTGAAAATATTTTTTAAAAAGATACGTGTTATTAAATATTGTTTACTTGTCAGTGTGGCAATTTATGTGATTTAAGGTAAACTGATTATTTAAAGTTTGAGATACTGAATTTTTAAATTTTTCCATGACACTGAGTTTTTTATTCATTCATTCTCCAAGCATTTATTGAGCATCTACCTAATGCCTGACATTGTAAAAAGTGCTAAAGAACCAGAAATGAAAGACAGTATGAGTCTTGGTCCAAAGAATAGTTAGGTAAGAATGTAAACCATGTAACTTTTCATAAGACAAATCATACAAACTTCATTTAGATTTTCATAAGAATTCCTTATGTGCATGGACCCCTCCATGTGCATATAAACATCATAGATATAAAGCTACCAGTTTTAGACTTGCCATTTTGATGGATTTTCTTCGAGTATATAAATCTAAAGGGAAATTCTTTATGATTTTTCATAAAAAGTAGATATTTATTCAATATTCACATTTCTGTACTGCTTACACTCTACCTATCTGAAGGATAGACTTTTTTTTTTTAAGCTACCTGGAACATTGTAATGAAGCAGGAAGTAAACAAAAAGGAACTGAGGAGTAAAAAACAATCACAAAACTCATGTACCTTTCTCCAGTAAGAAGGTTAAACATTTTCCAAGTCTTAAGGCTAGATAATTGTGCATAAAGCAGCCTCTTAGAAACAGGATTATCTGCCAATGGAGGAGAACCAAGAGCTTCTCACAGCGATCAGGGTAATGTGCTGTGGAAACCAAACTCATATGCAGGAGACATGCATGCCACAACCCTCCCTTTGTGTTCCCAAGGTAGCCCTAAATCATCAAGAAAATGCTGGATTTTCTTCTGTGCATTCTTTTTGAAAAACTTTGAGAAGTATGTTTTTTCATTTTGAAGCATTTTCATCAAAAGAGGTTAAAATAATTTTTCATCAGTTGGAGTATTAAAGTTGAGTTAAATGGGACATTCACTTACGTGGAACTCTTCATTCCCTGATGGCACTCATTAAATGAGGTATTGTGGAATTTAGCTATCATTTACAGAAGTTGTATTTGAAAGATTATACAAGATACACACATAGAAATCCAAACTTAATTTTCTTTTTAATTGAAGAACTGGAAAGGATTCTGAGAATTTACCTAGTTCTTAGGAAGGATACCATTAAAATATTGTATTAAAATGTGTTATATGTAAAATTTTGTTTTGTACTGCTCTTGAAGGAAAGATTTCAAACAGAATTGGCATTTCATTTAATTGATAGTAGAAATTCAGTGCAAAAATGGCCAGCCACCTGTCTTCTGAAGTTCTATTAATCTTCACTATTTAATTGCCTGAATGTGGACATAGATTTGTGTTAGAAAAGAAAGCTTGGTTTGTTGTGTGTGTCTCATAAGTCATGTTGACTTATTTAGTGACTTCTTTATTCTAGGGCACTTGTATCAACACAATGTGTTTTGAAGAAGAATCACAGGTACTACCTTGGGGAATATAAGGAAATTAATAATTGGGTATATTGTAGATGGCAAAGTTTATAATTTTTCTCATCTCTTTCCATAATGCTTTATGACATCTGGAACTTGCTTGTTGCAACCATAAATCTTCACGTGGATCATCCTTGTTTATGGACTATTTGGGTATAGGACATAAAGATAGGACACTGTTCCACAGCAGATTTTTTTTTCTTGCTGTTTGAGAGACACCAGCCTTCACTAAGCAGTTCATTATTTTCTAAGGTTGGAGCAGCTGTGGATCACCATAATTATGGATTTAGTATGTCCCTGCCAACCTACTGTGAATCTTAATTCAAATTTTACATGTCTCTTTGGGGCCTTGTTAATTTTCTCATTATTATGTGGTTCCTGACAAATGACAGTTTTGAGAATCTAAAGTTGCTTAAGTTAGTTTTTTATGAGGTATTGCCAATTGCTCATTGTTTTTATAATGCTTAATCACATTTTTATTTTTAATCTTACATTAAATAAAGCAGCTGCCCTTTATAATGTCTGGGTGTATTTTTACCCATCCATTTTCTCTGAGGACTGCTAAAAGACTACAATTTCTAAGACTCTCTAACTTTTTAGGTTATATGGTCAAGCAGAAAGAAAGAAAACGCCTAAGAAAAATATCTGGAGTGTTAGAATTTTTAAATCAGAGCTATTTCAAGGTGAGGACGATGATGTGCAGCTTATTTTTGTACACCTCAAATTTAACACAGTGCCCCATACATGAAGGCACATAATAAATGCAAGCTAAAAAATTAATTTTATATATAATATATATGTTATATATAACATGTTATATATTATATAATATATATGTTATATATAACATGTTATATATTATATTATATATGTTATATATAACATATATAACATATATATGTTATATATAACATATATATGTTATATATAACATATATTATATATAATGTTATATATAACATATATATTATATATAACTGATGTTACATATATAATATATAGTGGAGATATATATATTATATATAACTATATATAACTATATAACATATATTATATATAACTATATATAACATATATATAACTATATATAACATATATATTATATATA
Organism: Homo sapiens; assembly: GCF_000001405.40. Classification (NCBI taxonomy): domain Eukaryota; kingdom Metazoa; phylum Chordata; class Mammalia; order Primates; family Hominidae; genus Homo; species Homo sapiens. Next base: position 160,945,028 of record NC_000003.12, read on the forward strand.
ACTATATATAACATATATATTATATATAACTATATATAACATGTTATATATAACTATATATAACATGTTATATATAACATATATGTTATCTATCTATCTATCTATCTATCTATCTATCTATCTATCTCCACTGATTTTGTTTTAGTTTGGCCATCCATCTGTAACAGTGTTTGGCACACATTTTCTGTAAAGAGCCATGTGGTAACTATCTTAGGCTTTGCATACCATCCAGTCCCTGTCTCAGCTGCTCAACTCTACCATTATAGTGCAAAAGCAGCCATAGGCAATATATAAACAAATGGGCACAGCTATGTTCCAGCAAAACTTTATAAAGACGGATGTTTGGGCTTCAGTTTGCCATCCTGAATTTAGACCAAGGCTCATAAAGAGGTCTCATCTCATGTGCTAACTTTGATTGATTGGTGGCTGCCTTGGAATACTGTATTGAGAAGGAATCTCAGGGTCAATCTAGGTTCAGTGGTAAATAATTCATTAGTTAATGGCTGCCATAGGCATTGTTTTGATCTGTCCTATAATTTATTTTGAGGACACTGTGACTTGTGCAGATGGTTGCCTTTATTTCTTTGCATTGGGTGCCAAGAAACTCAGAGTTACTTTTTAATCATCTGTAACAAATATAGTTGACCCTTGAACAACCTGGGTTTGAACTGCACAGGTCCACGTACACACAGATTTTCTTCTGCCTCTGTCAATCCTAAGACAGCAAGACCAACTCCTCCTTTTTCTCCTCCTCCTCAGCCTACTCAACATGAAGATAACGAGGATGAGACCTTTATGATGATCCACTTACACTTAATAAATAGTAAATATGTTTTCCTTATGATTTTCTTAATAACATTTTCTTCTCTCTGGCTTACTTTGTTGTAAGAATACAATAGATAATACATATACCATACAAAATATGTATTAATCAACTATTTATGTTATTGGTAAGGCTGTCATTCAACAATAGGTTATTAGTAGTTACATTTTGGGGGAATCAAAAGTTATTTGTGGGTTTTTGACTGTGTTGGAGTTAAGGGTCAACTGTATGTATGTAACCCCATGTTGTTTAAGGGTCAACTGTAAAAGGAATAGTAAAGCACATATTTTGCATCTAACTTTATCCCTAGCTTCATCTCAATTTTACCATCTTACTTTTCTTAGCCCAGAGTTCCTAAAACTTGCCTACATAAAATATTTATGAAACCATAGACTTTACCAAAGAGCAAAGGCTTACTGGGGGTTTGCAAGGACACATCTACAAAACATTGATAATCATACCTACCTTGCAGGGTTGGTGAGAATTAAATGAAGTAATTAATATAAAATACCAAGCACAGTACCTGGTACATAGTAAATACTGCATACATGGTAGCTGTTAAATGTATGCCTTCAGAGAGCTCCGCCAACCCACATAGAAGGGTAAATCACATTACTTCTGATTTCTCCAGCCCTCCTTGCAGATAGGTGGAAAAACCCCTGAAGATGTAAAAACTCTCTCTTGATTACCCAGATTTCATCTTGTGGAACTGAGTCCTCCCTGTGGGAAATACTAGGCCACTCTATACATTTGAGTATTTTTTTTTCCTACTCCTCTGTTTGTGGGCAACTTTCTGTGTGGAATAGGACCACGTATCCACACAGGAAAATAACAAGGTGGGATTTGGAGTGGGGAGACCATTGGGCTTCTTTCCTTTGCCTTTGAAAGTGCCACTTTCTTGTCATACTGGGCAATTTCCATGCAATTCTTAAAAGTTCATTTTAATTTTATTCCACTGAGTTTTGGGGCAAGAATTTTACAAATTGAGATGAATGATTTGAAGTTAGTTGATGCTTATCAATTGATGCTATTTTAGCCCACAGTTCCCTTCATAAAATAATATCTTTTCTGACTTAAAAAATGACTGGTATAAGACACCCAGATATTTTACAATTCTACATGCTATAGCAAAGAATCAAAATGGTGTACATTCTACACTTGAGAGAAATGTGAAAGGAGAGTTGCCAACACTAAAGCAGCAGCATGAGTAAGAAAGAGAAAGAGTGAAAAATACACAAAGTGTTAACTGGCAAGTCAGGAGCTCATTAGGCCTAACCTTGTTCTTAACTCAGACTCTTCATCATAAACCCATTTTAATGAAAAGAAATTCGGAAACTAATTTTTCCCCACAACAAATAGAAAGTTAGTATTGGTTTTAGCTGGGCAAATGTAGTGATATTTCTCCCTTCCTTAATGTTCCTCAGCAGTCCCAATGGCCGGTATCTAGCACCTCAGAGCAATTTTGAAGCCTTTTCTCCTGTAAAATACAACTTCTATTCACCCATGGCTCTAATTTATCCACATTTTTGAAAATTCATATCAATAAAATATACTGTTTTTCCTGTCTGTGTTAGCTTCTTCTTGCTCCTTATCCCTTTGTCTGTGAACCTCCTCATCATTTTTTAGATCTTGGCTTTACATCACTCTCTCAGGAAACCCTCTTCTCCCCATTCCTCCTTCACCCCCAACCAGGCTATTTAGGTTCTTTGTTTTATCTCATCAAAGAATCTTGTTCATTTCTATCTCCCCACTAGACCATAAGCACCATGAGAGCAGGGACATGTCTACTTCTGCCCACTCCCCAAGAACAGCTAAAAGAGCACACCCGTCTATGTAGCAAAATAGTGGGAAGATTCATGGGTAGTGGTGACAAGCCCTCCAAGCCTGGTGATAGCTGGTTGTCCAAGATAGAATCTTAGTTCAACTTTAAATTTACCTACAGAACCACTTAATTCCCCTGTAAATTTAACTGTTAGTCTAAAGACGGACAGCTCTTTAGACACTAGGAAACAACCTTTATGTAGAGAGTAAAAAATATTATTTCCATAATTGGCCCAAAAGCAGCCATCAATTAAGAAAGCGTTCAAGCTCAACACCTAACCACCCAAAATTCTAATCGCACCACTGAACTCCTTACATCACATTGGACTAATCTATTACTTTATAGAAGCAGTAATGTTAATATAAATAACCATTTATCTCTAGCACCTAGCACAGTGTCCAGCACATAGTCGACATCCAATAAATATTAATTAAAAGGATATACTTCTAGCTTATGACTGTGACTGCCCGTCCAGCTATTTTCTTATGGAGTTGAAGTCAGACTTGGGAAAAAGATATATTTTTCTCTGTAAGGTTCATGAACTGTATGCCCATCCAAATTTTAAAATATGTCATTTTCTATTTACACAAGCAGGTGCAGTCACTGCTGAAACTATAGCTTTTCCACACAATTAGGTATCTCATTTTCCTCTTGCTAAAATAAGATACCCTTTCAAACCTTGTTTGCATAGTTATGCAACACTGCCGGTGATGCTGAGTTCCTTTCCCTTCTGCTATATTTTGCTGCAGCTTTCCAGGATTCAAAGTCCCACTTGCAGTCCTCGGCAGGAGGGGTCAGGTCAGTGTTCTTACCATGCCTGGGATGGTCAAGAGGAAATCATTGTGTTTTCACAGTGCTTTGCCACAGGTCATTTTGTGGCCTGTTTTACGCAGCTTGCTGAGATTTGCCTGATTGCCCACAAGCTGTTGGGAAAGGATTCCAGGTGCTCCCTTGCATTAGAAGTACACAAGGTCAGTTAGTTTGCTTCAGGAAAGGGCTCAGCCTTCTTGAGGCTGAGCAGACTAGCAATTTTGTATGATTTAAAAAAGCTGTGGCACTGAGGGTTGAAAGGCCATGTAGGAACGTCATTGCATATAGTCAAGGTTTTCCCAGGAATTAAAAATGTTTACTTGCCAAACTCTGTCTTGGGGGACTCTTCTTGTGGAGGGTCTTGTACAACCCTAGATGTACATCAGAATTTGTTACAAAGCTTTGTAAAAATACACATGTCTAGACCTTAGAAAATCAGAATCTCTAGGGGGTAGAATCTGGTGTTTTTCACCTGTTAGTGAGCCTGTTAAAATACGGCAAACATTTAAAAAGTAGATTCTAGAGTCCTACCCTAAAAAAAGTTGATTTACTAAATATGGAGCAGGCCCCATGAATCTGCGTTTTTAAAGAAGGCAATCCCCTCTTTCCACCCTAGGTGACTTAGAAGCAGTTGGTTGGAATACCAGCCATGAAGAAACACTGATGAAGCCCAGTGACCGAATTTTGTAGAAAAAACCGAAGCCCTGTCCTAGTGCCCTTCCCCTGTATGGAGCTAATAAGGCTTCACCATGACCCTGTTTATGAGCTTTATACCTGGATTCCTAAAATAAGACATTAGATACTGTGTGTGTATTTCTGGGAAAAGGATTTGTTGCTCTCAGAGATTTTTTAGTCGGGTTGAAAATAATACAAAAATATTTGAAAATACATTTTTATCATGAGATACAACAGGCTGTGGCTCTGTCCAAACCAGCAGTCCTTGCAAGTGGGTTCCTGTGGTATAAAATAAGGTGTGATGCTCGGCAAGTATAAAATAGTCTGACATTTATATGATTTATGGCAGAAGAGAGGCAAATGTCAGAGTGATAGGAAGAAACATTGTGGGCACGGTCCCTTTTATCTTTCTTTGTGGTCATGTAGAGTTCTCACTCATAGGACATTAAGCCTGGTTTTAAAGCACCCATTCCCCATCCTTTTCTGCCATCGTGCCTACATTGGACTAAGTGTCAGGGAGACCCACATAGATGAAAAAGCTTCTGTCCTACCTGCTAGTTGCTCATAAACTAGTGGGAAGGCAAATAGGTGACTAGATAGAGACACTTTGAAGTGGTTGAGAGCTGTAACGGAGATCTGAACATAGTACATTGTGGTGACAAGTGGGAAAGCAATTGCTTTAATTCTGAGAGACTACTTTTGCAACCAAGGTGATGATTCCTATTTGTACAGAAGTTTTAAAACTATATGTATGCAGTAGATGCTACTGAATTTGTTCTTTATTTACCCATATGTGAGATACAACAAATTAAGTTTGCTTCGTTAGGTTAGCCTCAAATAAGCTTTGATGGCAGGTCTCGAAGTGGGAGCCAGAGAGAGAAGAGTAATTTAGACCTTCAAGGAGCACAGATCTTTGTGTTTTCCTCCACACAAAGTTAAATTTCAGAGTAGAGAACATTTGTCTTTCTTTATCTTCACTTTCATACTTTACACTCCATTCCCAGGAGTCTCCTTGGGTGCCTTATTGCTTGTCAATCCACCTCCTTGTAGGTAAAAATCTGATCAACTTGCTCACACTAAGACTGAATATTTACTTAGCATACTACCCCTCCTTAAAATATTTACCTTTTGGTAGGTGAAGAGCTGGCATTAACCGAAGATTGAAGCTATAATGATAGAATTTCAGGCGTCAAAAAAGGGAAAACGATTTGGGGATGGGGATCCTTTTGGGGTTACTCACATCACGCTAAATAAGGCAGTTACCAGCTCTCAGGACAGAAAGACCAGGCCTTCTCCATACCCCAACTACACATACAAGGAGCCTTAATCTAATACAGGTTTTGAAGGCACTTCTTAAAGTCATGTCAGATGGGAGACAGAAGCCCAACTGGCATTCGTCTGGAGCTTCCCTGCCACCCTGGCCACACCTGCCTCCTGGAGGTCCACTCTAAAGAGCCTTGTAGGTAGCTGCAGGGCAGAAGCCAAATAAGGCCCAGTAGGAGATCTCTGGTGCTACTCCTATATAAATAGTGGTTGCCGGCCAAAGAACAGTTTTATCTGACCATGTTTTGGCTACCTTCTAAGCAGCTGCTCTACTGTCATAGCTTCAGAGTTCTTTTTGATTAATAACTCATGAGTGTTTTAGAGTTCACTTCTACCAGTTCCACTGGCTTCCTGAATTCCCAAGGGCATTTTCAGTTAGCATTCCACAGGGAACTTTCTGGAATACATTTGGATAGCACTAATGGAAGTTAATATTTCTCCAAGCTCTATAGCCCAAGATTCAGAAAGGGAAGGGAATTTTATCAGTAATTAACCATAATTTTCTCTGATTTATGAAACATAGTTCTCTCTGTAAACAAATATTACTTTTCATTTTTCTTCTATGGATCTCAAGTGCATAGAATGTGAAACATCTTCTTTCTGTAACTGCAGAAAAGACAGGAACTCACTCATAACAAAATTTAGCCAGATTGCTTTGGCTGAGTGCCGCTTGTTTTCTCAACAGATTGATGAGAAAGTCCGACATTAGGCTGTTTTTATGTTGCCATCCCTCAGGGGAACATAGATGTGTATTTGTGCTTTAAAACAAAAACATCATGAAACTAGTACAAACTATTCCCCCTGAATCCCTTAACCTATCCCTGGAATATGTGTAATATTGAGGGGCAAAGAATTCATCATCACTGTGGCAGTAGGGAAGTAAGGTCAACTTTTTGTTAGACTGTAAAGCAGATACATTTTTTAATCCTTTAGAGTTTGAGGGTAGGTTTTGATCGAAATAATAAGATAAGGAAAATGGGCCACATAGCTGAACAATGTTTGATAATTTGGCAAAATTATATTTTATTGCAATTACAGGGTAAGATCTAGAAAAGAGAGGTAAGTTATTTTTTATGTACAAAAACATCCATCTGCAATTAGGGAAGCCATCATACAGAAAGTGGGATTTGAGTGATATTTTCACACTCTGGCATGCTTGGTGCTACCACATGAATATAGTGTCAGATTGAATATGAATTAGATGACTGATAAAGTTATTTGAGGTTCGTCACATTAGGAATTCCAAAGGAATTGTCTGGGATAATCTGTAACTTAGTAGTCCATCACTTTAATGCTTAAATGGGAACTTTAGTCTTCATATTCAGCCGTTTAGATGATTTCAAGTCTTTCACACACTGAGTGTTATGCCCTCTGTGGTAGTCGCTTTACCACATGACTAGCATTTGCACGTCTGCAGCTTTGGCTCTCCAGAGCAATCTTAAATCTCTGTAATAGGTGTAAGATTTCATTTTTATGCTTCTGGTTTAAGCCTGGGACTTTTTCCTGATGCCATCTCTCTTGAAGGAATCACATTTGCCTTCTTGAGGCAGAATTATGAATTCAGGAGTGCAAGACGGTCATCTCAAAGACACTTTTCTTATTTGAATAACCTCTCCAGGTTAGAAGTGCCAAAGACTAAAAATGGCAAGAAATGACACTCTTGGCAGGCATGAGAGAAGAATAACTCCCTTGCCTTATGTTCTCTTCCTGGTGGGCAAGGGCACTCACTCTGACTTTATTTTAAAGTGCCTGGAGCCAAAGAGCAGCTGTCAAAAGTTAATGATATGTTACCGTAAGAAAGATGGATTCCAAGGTGAAACTAAGTAAATTAACGTGTGGTCTGTGTGCTGGCTGCTGCCAGATCAGCAAACACACATCCCCTTCTTTTCAAGGGCAGGGAAACCTTGCCTGCAATAAAATATTACTCCCTTCTCTCTTCTTTCTTGCTCTGGTGTGAATTTCGAAGGATTCCCATGATAATCTCTCCTGTATCTTGTGAATACCTTGTGATCATCCCTCGGTGACCATTTCCCTAAATTCAGCCCTTTTTCTACTCAGTATTTGCAGAATTGATTCTCATCTTACTTCCCTTGTATGTCTTCCTCAGTGCCAAAGTCTCCTCACAGGAGAGGGCCACTGATCAGATGTCCTTAAAGCCAGATCTAGCATCTTATTTAATGATTTATCAGTGTTTTAAAATTTATCAGTGTTAAATTTACTGTTGACATGAGTGCAAAGATCAGCCCTTTTGCTTTTGTCCCTTTTTTTCCAGCTTTAGAAGGCTGTGTCCATTCACAGTCAACACACATAACTGAAGCAGAAGCCCTGTGTGTTTTTTAGGCATATATGTGGTGTAAACATAAATTGAAAGGCAGTACCATCAATTATTTGTCCCATTCAGTTTAATGGAGCTTGAGGGTTTCTCTCTCTTTTCAGATTATAATTGTGTGTGTTCATGTGTATTAAATAAAATGGAGGGGGAAAGGTAATTTATAAAATTGTGAAATTTGAGGGGTATTAAAATTCTTAAACTTTTTATCTTGGCAAAGCACTCTGTAGACCATCCATAAGGCAAAAATCCCTTTTCTTCTTAAGATGCATGTCTGAGGTTTTGAAATCTTAAAATCTCAACTCTTGGTTTTTCAGTTACTTGGAAATTGGGTCTCTATATCAGGACCAACATTTACAACATACTTCATTACAAAGTTAATGATAAATCCATTTCTTGGTTTAAAAAATATCTTCTAAATAAGAATTTATTGAGTATAGAGGCACTTTCTTTTTGATTATCATTACCTAAAACTTCATAAAATTGCTTACTATTCACTAAGTCTTAGAATTGGTAATAAAATAGATTATTTGTTAAAAAGTGAAGGAACAAAAATGAAAAACTCACACAACCATGACATATGAATTATTAAGTAAAAATTATTATGTGATGAGGCATATTTTCATAGTTAAGGACATCAGAAGCCTGTTTTTATTTTAAGTCCACTAAAGGTCAAAATGAGTAACGTAACAAAATGAGTAAAGGAAATTGACCTTGACACTTTTTTTCCCAGAGAAATATACTAAAAGTGATTTGAAACATAGGTCTAGTTTACTTGTGATCTTTTTCTAATGGCGGTTCTATTAGAATTTAATTACATCACTTATTATCTCTTCTTGAAGAGAAGCTTTTTTGGCTCCCTGGAAACTTGCAAATAAGTTTAATACCTTTTCCTCACAGAGATTTTGGAGGGGTCATCGTGATGGTGGTGGATATTCCCTAAAATATGGAGAGATGAATAGTTTTCAGGCTTACTGTTAAATTTTCAAGAGTAAATTTAATATGTTGTGTAACTTTATTCAGTTTTCCCATTGCTTTTAACAGCTTTGCCCTCAGCTTTAGCTTCCAATTACGCAGCATTGAAGGCATGTTTTTCTTTCCCATCTGTTGGGAAGCTTTGCTCATGTGTTCTTTTGTTCTATTCTGGGTTTTATGCCAGCCTGGGGCTGCTTTACCTTGTAAAGAAGTGACCACAGTACGCATTGCCATCTTTGTAAAAAATTAATTTTTTTTTCTAATTTAAAAGCAATTTGTGTTTCCTGCTCCCATACTCACTGTATAACCGAGGATAAGTTTCTTAACCTCTCTGAGTCTGTTTCTTCATCTGTAAAAATCTGTTAGGGTTGTTGTAAGGATTACATACGCTAACACATTTAAAGCATTCAGCACAGTGCTGGCACATAGAAATATTGTTTTATTTTATAGAATTTGGAAAACTTTAGAGAGAAAAAATAAAAATCACCCCAATTTATATTACTCTGACATAACTAATGATATACATTAATTTAATTCACCCTTTTTTTTTTCCTCACACATGAGGTATACAAACTACTTTGTAATCTCCTTGTTTTTGAAAATGTCTCACCCTGTCACTCAGGCTGGAGTGCAATGGCGGCATCTCAGCTCACTGCAACCTCCACCTCCCGGGGCTCAAGCAGTCCACCCACCTCAGCCTCCTGAGTAGCTGGGACCACAGGTGCGTGCCATCACGCCTGGCTGTTTTTTTGTATTTTTAGTAGAGACAGGGTCTTGCCATGTTGCCCAGGCTGGTCTTGATCTCCTCAGCTCAAATGATCCGCCCACCTCAGCCTCCCAAAATCCTAGGATTACGGGAGTGAGCCACTGTGTCCGGACTTAATCTGCTTTTTATTATGAATATTTTCCTACATAATTTAGTACTCTTTTATAACACAATTTTTAATTGCTTATTCTGTTGATAGTTTCTTTTGCTGTGTGGAAACTCTGTAGTTTAATTAAGTCCCATTTGTCTATATTGTTGCTTTTGCCCTTAGGGTCTTCTTAATCAATTCTTTGTCTAGGCCAATGCTAGAAGAATATTTCCTAGGTTTTTGTTTTCCCTTTCTTTCTTCCTTCCTTCCTTCCTTCCTTCCTTCTTTCCTTCCTTCCTTCCTTCCTTCCTTCCTTCCTTCCTTTCCTTTCCTTTCCTTTCCTTTCCTTTCCCTCCCTCCCTCTCTCTTTCTTTCTCTCTTTCTTCTTTTTTTGACAGAGTATCACTCTGTCATCAGGCTGGAGTGCAATGGTGCGATCTCTGCTCACTGCAACCTCTGCCTTCCGGGTTCAAGCGATTCTCCTGCTTTAGCCTCCCGAGTAGCTGGGACTACAGGCATGCACCACCATGCCCAGCTAATTTTTGTATTTTTAGTAGAGACAGGGTTTCACCATGTTGGCCAGGATAGTCTCGATCTCTTGACCTCGTGATTACTGCCTGCCTCGGCCTCCCAAAGTGCTGTGATTACAGGTGTGAGCTACGGTGCCCAGCCTTCTTTTTTAAATTATTTTTTAAAATTGGTCTTTAAATTCTACCAGAATTATTTCCTGATTATTTTTCTGTGTTCCCTCCTATCTTAATTTCTCTCCCTAAAGGCTGTTTAGCACCTAACATAACTCATGCATTAAATAAATATATTAATTTATCTCGGGATTCATGCGTATTTTTGCATTACTTTGTAAAATGTGTTTTTCTAGTATTTCATGTGTGTTTTGTTTGCATATTAAAATTGCAGTTTCCTTTATGGTAAAGGCTTGTTTTCCCAACAGTTCAAGCCTAATATGTATTACTCAGCAGACAGTCAATAAATTAGAATTGGCTGGCTAACAAGTTTTCTTTTTTTTTTTTTTTTGAGACAGTCTCGCTCTGTCGCCCAGGTTGGAGTGCAGTGGTGCAATTTCGGCTCACTGCAAGCTCCGCCTCCTGGGTTCACGCCATTCTCCTGCCTCAGCCTCCCGAGTAGCTGGGACTACAGGTGCCCGCCACCACGTCCGGATAATTTTTTTTTTGTATTTTTAATAGAGACGGGGTTTCACCGTGTTAGCCAGGATGGTCTCCATCTCCTGACCTCATGATCCGCCCGCCTCAGCCTCCCAAAGTGCTGGGATTACAGGCGTGAGCCACCACGCTGGGCCGAGTTTTCTTTTTAAGATGAATTGTGAAACATTTAGCAGCTCTTGAAATATACTTTTGCACCACCCCACCTGAATTCTTTAATATGTATTAGTTCTTAAAGAATATACCATATAATAGTAAATAGTATTTTAGCCTAATGACCAGCATCAGCATTCTACCTACATTTCCAGAATTTAGGTTCTTAATCATTCTGCTTCTTTTCATTTATCCTTCTTACCCACTGAGTTCTTTTTATGGAGTTTACTGTAACCCTTTAATGTCTTCCAGACTAACGCTAGAATGGGTAATATAAATATATGTAAATTCTGTAAAAAGGCACATTCAGCACCTTTTATGCCCTGCCTTGTAAGTTTTTAGCTCATATTTTTACTCTAGCTGTTGCCGAAGTCATCATCTTTTCAGGTCTAACTGGAGGGAACCTGTGAACTTTTTTGCACTTTCTTCCCTAAGATTTCTCTTCAGCCATTTAGGATATGTCTGGCTAAACATAGAGCTGAAAGTCCAGGTGTAATTAACATCCTGCAAGGCAACCTTTAATTCAGGTGTACAGCTCTGATGTACATTGCACGTGATTCCTCAAAGGGTCCCTAGAAGAATCAGTCAACCCCATTGCCAAATGCAGAAATAAAGGCAAGAATGGAGAAGATCAAATGATTATGGAGAGGAAAGCATTAAATAAAGCCTCATACAGCTTTAAGTGTGAAACACATAATTTGCCATTTTGGCGTGTGAATTATGATTGGGTTTGAGCTGTTTACTTTTCTGAAATAATGGCATGAAAGAAAATTAAAGACCAAGAATAGTTCCATTTGCCAGTAGAAAACCAGACTTTTATTCTCTATCTGAAATTGTGAAAGGAAGATCTGTATGCAAGAAAGAATTAGGAACTGTCAAAACATTTTTTCCCAAGCTATCTGAAAGTACTTGATTTTTGCATAGTGTCAAAGTATTGAGCTTCTATGGTATAAAGCATTGAACCAGATGTGGGGGAACACAATAGTGTGTAAGATACAGTCCTTATTTCCACCAGTTGGAGGAGCTAAAGTACCTATACCTGTACAAATACAAAATAATTGGAAAGCTGTTGGATGCTCTTAGATGTTCAAGTTAGGTTAGGCAATACTAACAGTATATACATGGCATTTGAGCCAGACTTTGAAAGATATGAAGGATTGACTAAAACCAATAAGAGACCAGAGTATTTGGTTTTCTGTTCCTGTGTTACTTTGCTAAGGATAATGGCCTCCAGCTGCATCCATAAGCCTGCAAGGGACATGATCTCATTTTTTTATAGCTGCATAGTATTCCATGGTGAATGTGTACTACATTTTCTTAATCTAGTTTATCACTGATGGGCATTTAGGTTGATTCCATGTCTTTGCTATTGTGAATTGTGCTGCAATGAGCATATGCGAGCATGTGTCTTTATAATAAAATGATTTCTATTCCTTTGGGTATATACCCAGTAATGGGATTGCTGAGTCAAATGGTATTTCTGTCTTTAGGTCTTTGAGGAATCACCACACTGTCTTCCACAATGGCTGAACTAATTTACACTCCCACCAGCAGTGTAAAAGTCTTCCTTTTCCTCCACAACCTTGCTAGCATCTGTTATTATTTGACTTTTTTTTTTTTTTTTTTGAGACGGAGTGTCGCTCTGTCGCCCAGGCTGGAGTGCAGTGGTGCAATGGCGGCTCACTGCAAGCTCCGCCTCCCAGGTTCACCCATTCTCCTGCCTCGGCCTCCCAAGTAGCTGGGACTACAGGTGCCCGTCACCACGCCTGGCTAATTTTTTGTATTTTTAGTAGAGACGGGGTTTCACCATGTTAGCCAGGATGGTCTTGATCTCCTGACCTTGTGATCCGCCCGCCTCAGCCTCCTAAAGTGCTGGGATTACAGGCGTGAGCCACTGCGGCCGGCCTCTCGTTGTGTTTTAATTTGCATTTCTCTAATGATCAGTGATGTTGAGCTTTTTTTCATGATTGTTGGCTGCATGTATGTGTTCTTTTGAAAAGTATCTGTTCGTGTCCTTTGCCCACTTTTTTATGGGGTTGTCTTTTTCTTGTAAATTTGTTTAAATTCCTTATAGACGTTGAATATTAGACCTTTGTCAGGTGCAGAATTTTCAAAAATGTTCTCCAGTTCTGTAGGTTGTCTGTTTACTCTGATGATGGTTTCTTTTGCTGTGCAGAAGCTCTTTAGATTAATTAGATCCTATTTGTCAATTTTTGCTTTTTTTGCAATTGCTTTTGGTGTCTTCAGCATGAAATCTTTGGCCATGCCTATGTCCTGAATGGTGTTGCCTAGGTTATCTTCCAGGGTTTTTATAGTTTTGAGTTTTACATTAAAGTCTTTAATCCATCTCGAGTTAATTTTTGTATATTGTGTAAGGAAGGGGTCCAGTTTCAATCTTCTGCATATGGCTAGCCAGGAATCCCATGGTGTGCTTTCAATAATATAGAGTACATCAATATTTGTAAAATGTGAATTATGGAACTATTTCCTGTACCTCATAGGCATTTCAAGGAAAAAAATTAATGACAGATATTACACTGAGTAACAAGGTAGTGTGAGTTTAAAAACAGTTATTGTGCAGTGTGTCTCTTCATTTTCCAGTGTCAGGGAAAAAATGTTATTAAATTTTACAATTATATATGTTGCACAAATGTGCTGAGTCCATTTACATTTTATGGAATAATTTCATTTGTTCTGCACTAGCTGGCTGGCAGAGAAATTGAACAATGTTTGGTGATGTTAAAGTTGTAATTTTGTCAGCAACAGAGTTAGGAAATATAAATATAAATCTGGAACTAAAACGTGTTGTGTTACCTTTGGCTACTCTAGGGGATAAAATATAACTTTTCACCACCACTTCCCAGTGGACTTTTCCTGGGAAGTCAGTTGTCATTGTTCTGGCAAGTTTCTTTTCATCCTAAATTTTGTTATCATTTAAAGAGAAAATCATGAAGGTTATAAAGAAATCCATTTTAGGGTATCTACCCAAAGGAAAATAAGTTATTATATAAAAAAGACACGTGCATGTGCATGTGTATAGCAGCACAATTCACAATTGCAAAAATGTGGAACCAACCTAAATGCCCACCAACCAACAAGTGGATAAAGAAAATGTGTTGTATATACACCATGGTATGCTACTCAGCCATAAAACAGAATGAAATAATGGCATTTGCAGCAATTTAGATGGCGTTGGAGACCGTTGTTCTATGTGAAGTAACTCAGAAATGGAAAACCAAATATCATAAATTCTCACTTATAAGCGAGAGCTAAGCTATGAGGATGCAAAGGCATAAGAATGATATAATGGACTTTGGGGACATAAGGGGGAGGGTGGGAAGGGGATGAGGGATAAAAGACTAAATATTGGGTACAGTGTACACTGCTCCAGTGATGGGTGCACCAAAATCTCAGAAATCACCACTAAAGAACTTACTTATATAACCAAAAACCACCTGTTCCCCAAAAACTACTGAAATAAAATTTTTAAAAACCAAATACACTTTAAAGACAATTTTAAAAAATTACAATAGTAAGAACATGGAAACAATACAAAAATGTGGAATGTAGAAAGTATTGTCTGTGCGTGGTTGCTCACGCCTGTAATCTCAGCTTTTTCGGAGGCTGAGGCGGGTGCATCACCTGAGGTCAGGAGTTCAAGACCAGCCTGGCCAACATGGTAAAACCCCGTCTCTACTAATAATACAAAAAAAATTAGCCGGGCATGGTGGCAGGCACTTGTAGTCCTAGCTACTCAGGAGGCTGAGGCAGGAGAATCGTTTGAACCCAGGAGGTGGAGGTTGCAGTGAGCCGAGATCATGCCATTGCACTCCAGCCTGGGCAACAAGAGTGAAACTCAGTCTCAAAAAAATAAAAATAAAAAAATAAAGTGTCTTCCACAGTTGGAGTATATTCTTTCATACCTTCTCCTATGCCTATATGATAATGCTAAATACACTATATATATATGTGTTGCTTAATTATGCTCATATATATGTATATATATGTTGTAGGATATACTGTACCTGATATTCTGTGACTTTGATTTTTAACCTCAACAATATATTATGGTATTCTTCCTGGTCAGTACATATAGTCCTATCTCATTTTTTCCAAAGGCTATAGAGGATACTACTCTATAAATGAAAAAAACTGAACCTCTGTTGATTAGCGTGTATCATATATATATATATATCAGTATGTATGTTTAATGCATACTTATTTTAAGTTGTACAATTAATAGCTGTACAGAATTTTAAAAACTGATACATTGTAACTTTACATATTTATGAGGTACAGTTTGATGTTTCAATACATGTATATCTTATATAGTGTTCAAATCAAGGTAGTTAGCATATCCCTTACCTCATTCATTTATAATTTAGTTATGTTGGGAACATTCAAAAACCTTTATTCTAGCTATTTTGTAATATACGACACCTTACTGATAACCATAGTCACCCTACTGTGCAACAGAACACTATGGGTTTTTCTTTTTTCTATGTAGATGTGTCTTTGCCTTATTCTAAGCAAAGATTGCCCCAGATACCATCTTTTTGTTTGTTTGTTTGTTCGTTTTTTAGCAGTTTTGTGTGTGTGTGTGTGTGTGTGTGTGTGTGTGTGTGTGTGTGTGAAGTTTTATACTGGTTATGAATATAATTTTGAACAATATATGGTGGACTTCATTGATTGATTTATTAACCTTAGACACTATGTGAGTAAAGCAGGACTGCACTGCAAGGAGATGCTAAACTTTTGACATTCCTGAGAGAGAAGTTTTATAAATTTCAGAATTCCCCTGATTTATGCATGCCTCTCTGTCACTTAATTATGCTCATAAAATTCTGCTTAACTAGCAATGGGATTCTCAACTTGGAGAGAAAAGAGTATGCTACCACTGCAGCCTACCAGAAGAACATATCAGAATCTTTGGGAAAATCTTTTCAAAATATGCATATCTTCCTTCCTACCCCCATGTGGAACGTGCTTACCTGATTGAAAATCACTGCATGTAATTAGTTGTTACTAATTGGAATGTAACTATTTGGGAGTGTGTTGTACAGATAGTGTAAAAACAAAAAACAAACAGCAACAACAACAACAACAAACTTGTCAAAGTAAGAATTATATATATGTAAGCTTTAAGGCATTTAAGTGGTGAAGAGGTTTGGTTTTGTTTGTTTGTTTGTTTGTTTGTTTGTTTTGCCCCAGGTTAAGGGGCATTGTCTTAAATCTCCTCATTTTCTGTTTATCCCATTATTTCATTATCAGCCCTAGCAGAGGACTCTCCTTTATAAAATTCACTTTACAAGAGTTCTTATGTAAACATTAATGAGTAGAGACTAATAAAACAAAGTAGGGATGTGGATGCCGTAGCATGGATGGGGTCATTGCTGAGATGAGTGACTGTCTTCTGCATTGTAGACAAGGGCAAGTCAAATTTGTATCCAGCAAAATCACTGTCAGGGGCCTTCAGTTCACTATAATAGTTGAAACTCTGAGCACTAAATCTGCGAATATCTAACCAAGTCTATCATCTTTTATACCTTTAAACCTAGTAGAAAACTCTTAGAGGTCTGTGATTCTATTTGAAGATCACCTTACTGGGTCCAGTGGATACTAAAAATGACGATGACAAGGACATGCTTGTCTGGAGGGTTGGTTTCACAGTGCTTTGAGCTTTCTCTATAGCACCTGAGGGTAAGTAAAAAGTCTAAGGGGAGAATTTCTAATGGAGTTCTCTCTCTCTGACTGTTTTATCTGCAGACTGCAGCTGAATATGTAAAATCTCGACTCCCAGAGGCCCTTAAACAGCATCTTCAGGACTACGAGAAAGACAAAGAAAATAGTGTATTATCTTACCAGACCATCCTTGAACAGCAGATTTTGTCAATTGACCGAGAAATGCTAGAAAAATTGACTGTATCCTATGATGAAGCAGGTATGTTTGTTTTTAAAACACACATTTTTTTTCCTTGCAAAAAAAATTCATTATAAACCTTGATTAAACTTGGTAAAAGGTTAAGGGCAAACTAGATTCAAAGTTATGTAACATGGACTAATAGTAAGTTTCTTCTCTGCAGTTTTAGTCTCAAGATGGTCAGAAGATTCCTAAAAATGGATCTTAAATATCAAATGCCTTTAAAATTTTGCTGTTTTTTATTGGGATTTTTTTGGCCTTTTATTAACTGGGTACTCCTAAAGTGTTATTTCAACTTTGGATAGCAACTGAAAACTTTTACATCCGAGAATCCAAGAAATGTTATTCGATTCAAATATTTGTGTTAATATTAGATATTTTCTTTTCTAAAGAGGTATTTTTTTTTCTCAAACTGTTAAGCTAATCATTGCTTTCTTTTCCTTAGCAACTCAGACACTACCACATCAGAGACTTCATCTCACTGCCTGCCATAGGTTCTTCCCATCCAAGGGAGCTTATTAATGAAGTCATGGACAGAACTCCTTATAACATTATTTTAATCTATTATATGGTCTGTCAGCTAAGACCCAATTTTAATGAAATTAGTGTAGTATTACTTGGAATTATGAAAATCTTTAATAAAATTAAACTTAAGCAGCAGAAATACCCTGATTAAAATTGCTATACCTCTCCACCTCCCCCTCTCAAAAAAATTGGAGAAAAAGTACAGGAAAAAAGGTTTCTAATGGTCAAATGTTAATGGTATTAATTCTTATATTAATGCCAAGAACTTCTGCTTCTATTTTTACAAGTATTTTTTAGCATGCATCTTATTTTCTTCATCAGAATCTATGCATGCTCGATACTTTCTTACCATTTGATTTCAAGTTCAAATAGCAAACAGAAGAGCAAATAAACAAAACAAAACATTATACTACATTCACCTAACCACTTAAACAATATTTCTAGTTACTAAGCTGCCCCCATGTATATTCCACCCTCTAACCCCTTCACCTCCCTCTCAAGCAGGATCTGTATTTCCAGTTTTGCCCAGGACATCTCTGCTTTCTCTTATTCTTCTTTGCTTTTTTTTTTGTTTTCCAGACACATTGGCTTTCTTCTGCCTAGCATTTTTGTTACTTTCAATATTCTTCTCATTGGAATTCTTATTCATCTCTTCTCTCATCCTTAATGGAATAAAGTTAGGTTTTGATCAGTCCCAACCAAAATAATATTTAAATATTCATAGCATCTTATAGATCATAGAACTCATATAGTCCGCCCACTTCTTGCCCCTGTGACCATTTTATGGTGAGAAAACAAACTCATAGACTTGCCTGAAATAATGCAGTTACTTACTTGTAAAACTGGGACGCCAACTTCCTAATTACTAATCAAGCTATGCTTTTACTACACTAATGCAGGTTCTCATTTGCTCAGTAAGCAATTGTTGAATGCACGGCAATATACTAGGTTGTTGAAGGAAAGAGAAAAGCAGTGAAAACATGAAAAGGAATCTGAGATGTAGAAAATAGATCTTGCAGAAAGTCTTGCTGGAGGACTAAAACATACATGTATGAGCTTTAGAGAAAAATTTCTGAGGAATTTGGGACTAAATACACCCTGTAATATCTTCGCGTTATTAAAGTTAAGATGAAATGTGGAGCCAAGAAATAGTGGAAATGGCTGAAATTTTCCATGAAATTCTGTAGAGGGGGCATTATTTTAAACCTTGAAGGACAAATGGTGGGCATGTATTTGTGAAGAGAAGGGGGATGCATTCTAGTGGATGAAGGGGCACAAGTAGACATCAAGGTGAGCATGAACATTAGCTGCAATCACCCACCACTCAATTTTTTCCTGCTTCAGACATAATTTTCCACTCTCCTGCACTGTTGTTGAGCAGCAACAGATCCTCAGAGGTAGGCTTGCACATGGCTTTTAGGGGCAAATAGTTTGGCATAGAATTAATCTGTCAATAAGCCCTGTAGCATGAAACAGTAGAAATAAACACAAGATTGAGAGTTAGAGGATCTAAGGTCTAGGCCTTCCACCAGGTTAATACTGGTGTGATCTTCAGCAAATTAACCTCTTAGAACCTATGTTTCTTCATCTGTAAAATTGGGCTAATATAATCTCACATGATAATAATAAAATATTATCATGTTTGGGGAAGTCCTTAGAGATCATATTGCAAATGCTAGTTAATGCCACTAGTGATGAATGAGAACAGATTTGGACCTTGTCTATCCCTTAAACCAGTGTAAAGTACAGCTGACCCTTGCACAACATGGGGGTTAGGGATGCCAACTCTCTGTGCAGTCTAAAATTAGCATAAAACGTTTGATTCCCCAAAAATCTTAACTACTAATAGCCTATTGTTGACCAGAAGCCTTACTGATTACATAAACAGTCAATCAACACATATTTTGTATGTTATGTGTATTTATACTGTATTCTTAAGACTAAGCTAGAGAAAAAAATTTATGAAAATCATAAAAAAGAAAAAATATATTTACTGTATTAAATGGAAGTGGACCATCATAAAGGTCTTCATCCTCATTGTCTTTACTTTGAGTAGGCTGAACAGACTGCTGAAGAGGAGAGGAGGAGCTGGTCTTGCTGTCTCAGGGGTGTCAGAGACAGAAGAAAGTGCACATATAAATGGACCCATGCAGTTAAACCTCTGTTGTTTAAGGGTCAGCCGTATTCTAACTTAGTCTTTTCGTGGCATACAGTGTTTGGGAAGGCAGAGGGGAAGTTTTTAAAGTGATCTTCAGCAGCTTTGAAAAGTCTAGCAACATCTATTTGATAAAACACCCGCTCTGAGCTCAGTTTGCCTTTGCTCATCTCTGCATGAGGTGATGCAGGACAGTGGATGTGGGAGGGTAGGCTATGTGTATGCATGAGTGAATGAGTGTTGCTGTGTGTTGCAAAACCAAAAGTTACTACCTCCTCCTCCATAACCCATACGTTAATTATTTCAATCAAAGAAAGAGGATAAAATAAGAAAAAACATTACTATTTAGCAGAAAAATATAATAATACAAAAGAATTAGGATAGAAAATTGGTAGTAGTAGGCTGGTTGCAGCGGCTCACGCCTGTAATCCCAGCACTTTGGGAGGCCGAGGTGGGCGGATCATGAGGTCAGGAGATGGAGACCATACTGGCTAACATGGTGAAACCCCATCTCTACTAAAAATACAAAAAATTAGCCGGGCGTGGTGGTGGGCGCCTGTAGTCCCAGCTACTCGGGAGGCTGAGGCAGGAGAATGGCGTGAACCCAGGAGGCGGAGCTTGCAGTGAGCCGAGATCGCGCCACTGCACTCAAGCCTGGGCGACAGAGCCTCCATCTCAAAAAAAAAAAGAAAAAAGAAAATTGCTAGTAGTATCCAATATGTGCAGATGTAACCATCCTACACAGAAGCTTCCTGACTTCAGATGGTTTAATTTAGTACTTTTTGACTTTATGATGGTGCAAAAGTGATACACATTCAGTAAAATCTGTACTTCACATACACCCATTCTGTTTTTCATTTTCAGTATAGTATTCACTAAATTACATGAGATTCAACACTTTATTCCCTTTATTATAAAATAGACTTTGTGTTAGATGACTTTGTCCAACTACAGGCTAATGTAAGTGTTCCGAGCATATATAAGTTAGGCTAAACTAAGCTATGATGTTCAGTAGGTTAGGTGTATTAAATGAATTTTCACCTTAGGATATTTTCAATTTACAGTGGGTTTATCAGGATGTAATCTCATTCTAAGTCGAGGAGCATCTGCACTAACATGCTCATTTGCTTCAACTGTTTAGCTTCTTTCTATTCTATCTTAGTTTTGACTTCCTCACATTCTTGATTCAGCTCTCCCAGTTTTAGGAGGTAGTTAATTATTAGTTAGAAGATATCTTGGTCTCTAGAGAGGTTAATTTGTCTTTAATGCTCCTTCACTGATAAATCAGCCTGAGTGACTTAATGACAATTACTGCTATTTGTAGCGTCTAAACTTCTATTAATAAAAAAACAATTAATGAAAAAAACACTTAGACATTTTTCTAAAATCATTGCCTCAGAATTTTTTCACCCTCTCCTTTTTCTCTTTCTCTCTCTCTTCCCCTTTAATACATATATACCTTAATGCCTTGCCTATCCATGAATTCAGCTATCTAGCAACCTGGAATTCAGCAAAGAAATGGGAAGTGAGCAAAAACCATGTGTGTGCAACCCTACCGTGTCACAGAACTGTGGACAAGTCCATACAACAGAGGCTTTCAGTTCTCACCTAGAATCTATATATTTTTATTTTATATAGTTCTGACTCATTAGGTTATATTTTCCAATGTGGTATTTCCTTTTATAAAATTATCTGACTTAAAATGTTATACTTTAATTGCAGAAATGAACAGAAATATGTAGAACAGTATAATATGAGAATAATAATTGTCAGTAATCTTACTATTGTAAACACTTTGGTATATTTTCCTCACTCTAAGCATTTTAAAAATGTAGTTGATATCTGGTAGTTTTATTGTGATTTTATATCCTGCTTTTTGCATTTAACATTATTACATAAGCACTTCCTTATTTCATTAAAGCCTCTTCATGTGAAGATAATTTTAATGGCTACATCATATTCTATTTGAAAGTACCACTCACTAAATATTCTCTTATGTTGGACATTTTCATTTTTGTTTTGCTCTTATGAATAATGCTGCAAGAAATATGGGATTCATTTGTCTGCATTTTATATTACTCTAGAGGATAGACTTCAGAAAACATAAGAGTTTAGAATTGAAATGAGAAGGTGGGGAAGGGGATGATACTTGGAGCAGCATCACTGAAAACAGTAAGTAGTGAGAGCAAAGAGTAAATCCATAAAAAGCACTTAGCAGATTCCTGACATTGCACTACACTCAAAGTCACATTAGCATTCACAGACTGTGAGTTCACATTGTTGAACTTCACAATAGTGACTTGATTCACAGAGAAAAGGTTCAATAATGTTTTTTATATTCTGTATATAAAAGCAGGAATTATGTAAACCAGTGTATTAATCCAGTCAGCCTGTGATATGGTTTGGCTGTGTCCCCACTCAAATCTCATCTTGAATTGTAGCTCCCATAATCCCCATGTGTCATAGGAGGGACCAGGTGGGAGGTAATTGAATCATGGGGGTGGGTTTTTCCTGTGCTGTTTTTGTGGTAGTGAATAAATCACACAAGATCTGATGGTTTTATAAAGGGAAGTTCCCCTGCACATGCTCTTCTCGTATGCCACCATGTAAGACATGCCTTTGCTCCTCTTTCACCTTCTGCTATGATTGTGAGGCCTCCTCAGCCATGTGGAACTGTGAATCCATTAAACCTCTTTTTCTTTATAATTACCCAGTCTTGGGTATTTCTTCATAGCAGTATGAAAATGGACTAATACACCCTGCTTTAACAAAATACCATAGACTGGGTGGCTGATAAACTACAGAACTTTATTTCTCACAGTTCTGTAGGCTGTGAGGTCCAAGGTCAAGGCACCAGCAGATATGGTGTCTATAAGGGCCTGGTTCCTCATAGATGGTTGTCTTTTCACTGTAACCTTACATGGCAGGAGGGCTGAGAGATTTATCTGGGGCCTCTTTTATAAGGGCACTAATTCCATTCACGAGGGGTTCACCCCTTTGATCTAATCAGCATCCCCCACCTCATAATACCATCACCATGAGGATTAGTTTTCAACATATGAATTTTGGGAGGACACAAACATTTAGACCCCCTTTCTAACATTAGTTTAGAAAGTTTTTCATTCAAATGGTTTATATTTTGATAATTTCAAGAACTGATATGTTTTGTGGTATAGTTGAAAGAAAACTTGGAACCAAAAGATCCAGATTCTATTTCTAGTCTAGCTCTACTGCCAACCATATACGTGACCTTGAGCAAGTCACAAACCTTCCTAAAGCCCATTTTCCTATAAACTGATGGCATGAACAGGACCTCATAGATGTCTTCTAGTTCTAAAACTATGCTTTGGGTCTTATGACAATGGAACACTCAAATAGCTATAATATCTGCAAGGCTTCCTGTAGCTATGGCTTTTCTGCTTTTTCTATTTGTTTTCTTCTTTCTCCTTACACAGCCACATAATTTGTACCTAATTTCTGACCAAAAGAAGACCATCACTCAGCTTTCATAGCATCTGCTCATGAATATTCCCAGGCATATTTTTATTGGTGGGATGGGGAGTGAGACTGTATGAGTCAAGCAAAAGTAGATTTTGGAATAAGAGGTTCTAAGCTATCATTCATGGATCCTCATTAAGATAGTTTAGACCTTTTATTGTATTAGCATGTATTAATACTAAGCAAAATCCAGAGTAACAAGTAAGGTGTGGTTTATATTTGATCTATTAATGTTTTTATTTAATTGAAGTACAAGTTTTCGTACACTTCAGTAGATTGGGTTTAACACAGAGAAGTTTTCAAGGAAAGCAATGGCATAATTTGAGATGAAGAGATCAAAATAGCATTTTACACTGTCCAAAGCATCATCAACCTAAATATTTATTATGTGTCATAGTGGGCAAAAGTCAAAGGGTTAAAATACCAAGAGAGGGAATCTTTCCTCATATTTATTTTTATGCTGGAGTATTATTTATGTTTCTGTAGCTAATCTCAAATTCTGTTTTTAATTATTTTTGAGTTTGGGCATGAATAAATATTCCCTACATATTCCTTTGTTAAGGATATGGTTTGTAATGCCATGTGTTTGAGGGAATTATGAGGAGAGTAGGCCCATTTATTTGAGAGTGATATTTTCTGTCACAGGCTCAAGAACCCTAAGCCATGGGAGCGGAAGTCTGGAAACAGGAGTGAAGAGCTGCATATTTTTCCCTTTGGGAAAAGCTGAGTACACCTGCAATGGGTAGAATGCTCAATGGTAGCATCTTGTTGCAGGCCTCAAGATAGTTGCCTAAGCTGCTGCTTAGATCTCCTTCTCAGAGTTCTCAGACCAGCAAGGGCTTTCTGTTCTTACAGTTTGGCTAGAAACCTATACAGCCTTCCAATGAGCACATGCTTCTGCAATGTGGAAAATGCACTTACGCGTAGAAAGTGAACCAGATGGTGCACATGAGGGAAGAAGAGAGCTCAGCTGGCTGTTTCTTGTGTTCCTTTGGGTATCAGAGTTGGGAGCCTGCATATTCATTTATAAGTGTCAGGCAGTCACATACAGCTTTCCCAGAGGAGGTGAGAAAGGAGGAGCAGCATTAATTTCTCAGCTTTTGCTTTATGATTCCCTGATGTAGCTCTACCTGCAGGTGAAAGCTACCTGTGGTGAAGACACACCAAGCACTATAATTTTTGGAAAAATAGCTTTTTAAAAGCGTGGAGGAATGTGCTCTAAGCAGCTTAGGAAGTAGCTGGAGGGTTACCTCCTATTGAGCTGATTTTATTCTTCTTAAAATAGATGGTGCCTGAAAGTTACATCTACATTTTAATTGGGACATTAGTGTCATAGTAATCAGTAATCTCAAAAGAAAGGCCATTTACTGTCATGGGGGAAAAAATTGAACATACATCCAGCAACCAAACCCAGGAAAGAGTGTGTTGAATTATTTAGGGACTTTCCAGGTTTTCTAAGAACATAAAAAATCTAGTAAAAGGCATTTGCAGGAAGTTCTTCACTCCAACAAATAGAGTGAATTTCTCAGTATATTTCTCAAACAGCTCCTAAGGGAAGAGGTGACACTAAGGTTTCCTTACTTTATATCTTCAATCAGGACCCCATTTCTTAGCTCAAAAGATACCCTCTCCAGGGACTTGTTGACAAGAATTGGAGAATTTGGAAGGAAGACAAAAACAGAGACCCAAAAGAAACTAATAAAGGGAAGTTCAATATTGACTGTGCAACCTCTGACACCAACTTCTTATTTTCTGTAGAAAGATTTAATCTATTTTATTTTTCCATTATAAAACTAAATAAATATACTTTAGAACATTTTTTAAACGTGGAAAAAGGAAGAGAAAAAGATAATCTTTAATTCTACTACCTAAACATAATCAACATCTTTGGTGTATTTATTTCTTGCCATTTTTCTCTGCTGAGTTTTAATTATTTATGCCAAATTTTATATCTTTTTTATTTAACATTTTTAATCATATTTTATGCTGTTATAAACTACCTATAAAGGTCACTTGTAATAACTGCAGTACTCTATTGAGTGGATATACCACAGTTATTCTCACAACCTTTTAATATTTTTAATATGGTTCCTGTCTTGTATCCATGTTTCAGTTCTCTTTACCACATAGAATCCCAGAATTTGGTGGTCTGTTTCTTATCTGTGAAAAAAATGAGAATGGTAGTATGAATAACAAAAACATAAGGCTTTTGTAATGCAGACGATTACTAGCCATGTATAATAACAGTAGGAAGAGGGGAGTAAAATGGGTACTCAAAATCCACTTATAAACTGAGAACTTATTTCTGGCGATAATATTAAATTTGTTTTTGAGGCTACGTAGGTGACTAATTTATCAATCTTTTTAACCAAGCTGAATATTTTTTTTTTTTTTTTTTTTGAGATGGAGTGTCACTTTGTTGCCCAGGCTGGAGTGCAGTGGCGCAATCTTGGCTCACTGCAACCTCCGCCTCCTGGGTTCAAGCAATTCTCGTGCATCAGCCTCCCAAGTAGCTGGGACTACAGGCATGTGCAACCACGCCCAGCTAATTTCTTTACTTTTTATTTTTTTGGTAGAGATGGGGTTTCACCATGTTTGCCAGTTGGTCTCAAAGTCCTGACCTCAAGTGATTCACCCACCTTAGCCTCCCAAAGTGCTGGGATTACAGGTGTGTGCTATTGCACCTGGCCTAACCAAGCTGATTTTAATTTCAGTTATAATTTTTTTTTTTTTTTTTTTTTTGAGACGGAGTCTCGCTGTCGCCCAGGCTGGAGTGCAGTGGCGCAATCTCGGCTCACTGCAGGCTCCGCCCCCTGGGGTTCACGCCATTCTCCTGCCTCAGCCTCCCGAGTAGCTGGGACTACAGGCGCCCGCCACCTCGCCCGGCTAATTTTTTGTATTTTTAGTAGAGACGGGGTTTCACCCTGTTAGCTCAGTTATAATTCTTACACTTTCCATTTAGACTGTGGATTTTAAAAGCCAAATTATCTTTTGGTGATGGGGAGCAGTAACTAAACAAAGTGACTTTGACATCTACAAAATAGAAAACTATTGGCCATAGTTGTTTGAAAGTACCGAAACATGTAATTTACAAGCCCCAGCCTAGGTTTTTGTCTATGGTGGGACGTTGCATCTCTCTGCATGGTTTCTTCAACTGTAAAATAAAGGTATTGGATTAGATATTTTCTTAAATCTCTTCCAGTCGTAACAATGTGTGATTTTTGTCTGTTTATTTAACAGTTATTGGTTCATTCATTTATTCACTCTGTAAACACTGACTGAATGAGCATCTTTGAGCCAGACACAGTACCCACCACTAGAAATGCTCAGATGACCACGTGGCCCTTAACTCCAGGTGCACAGTGTGTGCATTTGTATGTGTGCTCATGTGGGAGGGCAGAGAGATAGCCAGTAAAAACAGACAACTAGAGTGTAGTGGAATTGGTGTTATAGGGGACGGTAGATGTGCAGAGGAGGAAGAAATTAGGTTTGGAATTGGTAAAGAGTTCTTAAATCAGAAAATCATGAGAGAACCCGTAAATCTTGTGAACTGTTCATGTTGAACTTTACTGCCAGTTGCGTTTTTAAAGACAGGCTTTGAATAATGCCTTGTTTTCTTCTTTGCTTCTGTAACTGTGGTTATATGTTGGTGCCTTATACAGACCAATTCTTGCCTTCTGCCATGGCAACACCTACCACATTCTTTTTTTTATTGAGACAGGGTCTCACCCTGTTGCCCAGGCTGGAGTGCCGTGGCATGATCTTAGCTCTCTGCAACCTTGAACTCCTGGGCTCAAGGGACTCTCCAGCCTCAGCCTCCAGAGTAGCTGATACTACAGGTTTACACCACCATGGCTAATTGTTATTTGTAAAATTTTTCTGTAGAGACGGGTTCTTACTGTGTTGTCCAGGCTGGTCTCAAACTCCTGGCCTCAAGTGATCCTCCCACCTTGGCCTGTTAAAGTCCTGGAATTACAGGAATGAGCCACCACTCACAGACTCACCACCACATTCTAACTGCAGCTCTCCAACTGATATTAATTAGTTTATTTTAGTTTATATTAATATGCTATCAGCATTGCCTGTTTGCTTATGATTCCTCCAATGTAGAAAAAATGATAATTCAGACTTAATCTTTTTTTTTATTATACTTTAAGTTTTAGGGTACATGTGCACAACGTGCAGGTTTGTTACATATGTATACATGTGCCATGTTGGTGTGCTGCACCCATTAGCTCGTCATTTAACATTAGGTATATCTCCTAATGCTATCCCTCTCCCCTCCCCCCACCCCACAACAGTCCCCAGTGTGTGATGTTCCCCTTCCTGTGTCCATGTGTTCTCATTGTTCATTTCCCACCTATGAGTGAGAACATGAGGTGTTTGGTTTTTTGTCCTTGCGATAGTTTGCTGAGAATAATGGTTTCCAGCTTCATCCATGTCCCTACAAAGGACATGAACTCATCATTTTTTATGGCTGCATAGCATTCCATGGTGTATATGTGCCACATTTTCTTAATCCAGTCTATCATCATTGGACATTTGGGTTGGTTCAAAGTCTTTGCTATTGTGAATAATGCTGCAATAAACATACATGTGCATGTGTCTTTATAGCAGCATGATTTATAATCCTTTGGGTATATACCCAGTAATGGGATGGCTGGGTCAAATGGTATTTCTAGTTCTAGATCCCTGAGGAATCGCCACACTGACTTCCACAATGGTTGAACTAGTTTACAGTCCCACCAACAGTGTAAAAGTGTTCCTATTTCTCCACATCCTCTCCAGCACCTGTTGTTTCCTGACTTTTTAATGATCGCCATTGTAACTGGTGTGAGATGGTATCTCACTGTGGTTTTGATTTGCATTTCTCTGATGGCCAGTGATGATGAGCATTTTTTCATGTGTTTTTTGGCTGCATAAATGTTCTTGTAAAAGTGGTATGATAGGAAGGTATTTTAAAAAATCACATTCCCCAACTTCATCTTACCTTTCTAATAGAACACCTCATATCCACTCTGAAAATACATTGATCTAAATTTTATGGTGGGCAAAATTTTAAAGAACTTTGCTGAGAAAACCAGAAACCACAAAGGAACACTGATATTTAGAATCAGGAAGTGCCATCTCTAGTGATTAAAACATTTGGACTGGAGCTGTATTTATCTTTTTAATCAAGTTGTCCTTGTTTGCCACAAGGGAAGTAGTGTTACTTCCTGTCTCTGAAGTAGTATTTGATTACAAGGACTAAAGGAAATGTGTATACTTCAAAGAAAATAATTGGACCAGGTGGTCATACTTTAGAGTACATTAGCTATCCAGAGACAAGATGCCAATGCCATCGGTATCTCTTCCTTTCTGTACTATCGGGATTGTGTAAACAAGATTTTATAGACCTTGTTAGAATGTTTGTAATAAATTTTAATGACATACACATTAATGGTAAGACCTTCAGTTTATAGAGAAAAATAAAATAGTTTTTAAAGTGCCAGGATTTCTAATGTATTGTGATGGTCCATTTGTAGTAGTGAGAGGTAGGTAAAATGCATCCTTGGTTGACTCTCAGACTCTGAAGATATGTAATCATAGACAGCTGGGCTGCTGTTTAATGCCATTTTGCAAATGTTATGTTCAGTCTTTGGGATCTACTAGACACTTTAAGAATTCATCTGGTAAATTGCCTTCTGAAAGGCCCTGTTTTTTTTTTTTTTTTTTTTTTTTTTTTTAACCAAGACTTGTCTTTATTTTTTTATTTTTTTTTGAGAATGATTCTATCTAGTTTTTCTTTTTTTTTCTAATTTATTTATGTATTTTTTATTATACTTTAAGTTTTAGGGTACATGTGCACATTGTGCAGGTTAGTTACATATGTATACATGTGCCATGCTGGTGCGCTGGACCCACTAACTCGTCATCTAGCATTAGGTATATCTCCCAGTGCTATCCCTCCCCCCTCCCCCCACCCCACCACAGTCCCCAGAGTGTGATATTCCCCTTCCTGTGTCCATGTGATCTCATTGTTCAATTCCCACCTATGAGTGAGAATATGCGGTGTTTGGTTTTTTGTTCTTGCGATAGTTTACTGAGAATGATGATTTCCAATTTCATCTATGTCCCTACAAAGGACATGAACTCAACATTTTTTATGGCTGCATAGTATTCCATGGTGTATATGTGCCACATTTTCTTAATCCAGTCTATCATTGTTGGACATTTGGGTTGGTTCCAAGTCTTTGCTATTGTGAATAATGCCGCAATAAACATACATGTGCATGTGTCTTTATAGCAGCATGATTTATAGTTGTGTGGGTGTATATCCAGTAATGGGATGGCTGGGTCAAATGGTATTTCTAGTTCTAGATCCCTGAGGAATCGCCACACTGACTTCCACAATGGTTGAACTAGTTTACAGTCCCACCAACAGTGTAAAAGTGTTCCTATTTCTCCACATCCTCTCCAGCACCTGTTGTTTCCTGAATTTTTAATGATTGCCATTGTAACTGGTGTGAGATGGTATCTCATTGTGGTTTTGATTTGCATTTCTCTGATGGCCAGTGATGATGAGCATTTTTTCATGTGTTTTTTGGCTGCATAAATGTCTTCTTTTGAGAAGTGTCTGTTCATGTCCTTTGCCCACTTTTTGATGGGGTTGTTTGTTTTTTTCTTGTAAATTTGTTGGAGTTCATTGTAGATTCTGGATATTAGCCCTTTGTCAGATGAGTAGGTTGCGAAAATTTTCTCCCATTTTGTAGGTTGCCTGTTCACTCTGATGGTAGTTTCTTTTGCTGTGCAGAAGCTCTTTAGTTTAATTAGATCCCATTTGTCAATTTTGGCTTTTGTTGCCATTGCTTTTGGTGTTTTAGACATGAAGTCCTTGCCCATGCCTATATCCTGAATGGTAATGCCTAGATTTTCTTCTAGGGTTTTTATGGTTTTAGGTCTAACATTTAAGTCTTTAATCCATCTTGAATTGATTTTTGTATAAGGTGTAAGGAAGGGATCCAGTTTCAGCTTTCTACGTATGGCTAGCCAGTTTTCCCAGCACCATTTATTAAATAGGGAATCCTTTCCCCATTGCTGGTTTTTCTCAGGTTTGTCAAAGATTAGATAGTTGTAGATATGCGGCGTTATTTCTGAGGGCTCTGTTCTGTTCCATTGATCTATATCTCTGTTTTGGTACCAGTACCATGCTCTTTTGGTTACTGTAGCCTTGTAGTATAGTTTGAAGTCAGGTAGTGTGATGCCTCCAGCTTTGTTCTTTTGGCTTAGGATTGACTTGGCGATGCGGGCTCTTTTTTGGTTCCATATGAACTTTAAAGTAGTTTTTTCCAATTCTGTGAAGAAAATCATCGGTAGCTTGATGGGGATGGCATTGAATCTGTAAATTGCCTTGGGCAGTATGGCCATTTTCACGATATTGAGTCTTCTGACCCATGAGCATGGAATGTTCTTCCATTTGTTTGTATCCTTTTTTATTTCCTTGAGCAGTGGTTTGTAGTTCTCCTTGAAGAGGTCCTTCACATCCCTTGTAAGTTGGATTCCTAGGTATTTTATTCTCTTTGAAGCAATTGTGAATGAGAGTTCACTCATGATTTGGCTCTCTGTTTGTCTGTTGTTAGTGTATAAGAATGCTTGTGATTTTGGTACATTGATTTTGTATCCTGAGACTTTGCTAAAGTTGCTAATCAGCTTAAGGAGATTTTGGGCTGAGACAATGGGGTTTTCTAGATATACAATCATGTCATCTGCAAACAGGGACAATTTGACTTCCTCTTTTCCTAATTGAATACCCTTTATTTCCTTCTCCTGCCTAATTGCCCTGGCCAGAACTTCCAACACTATGTTGAATAGGAGTGGTGAGAGAGGGCATCCCTGTCTTGTGGCAGTTTTCAAAGGGAATGCTTCCAGTTTTTGCCCATTCAGTATGATATTGGCTGTGGGTTTGTCATAGATAGCTCTTATTATTTTGAAATACGTCCCATCAATACCTAATTTATTGAGAGTTTTTAGCATGAAGGGTTGTTGAATTTTGTCAAAGGCTTTTTCTGCATCTATTGAGATAATCATGTGGTTTTTGTCTTTGGCTCTGTTTATATGCTGGATTACATTTATTGATTTGCATATATTGAACCAGCCTTGCATCCCAGGGATGAAGCCCACTTGATCATGGTGGATAAGCTTTTTGATGTGCCACTGGATTCGGTTTGCCAGTATTTTATTGAGGATTTTTGCATCAATGTTCATCAAGGATATTGGTCTAAAATTCTCTTTTTTGGTTGTGTCTCTGCCCGGCTTTGGTATCAGGATGATGCTGGCCTCATAAAATGAGTTAGGGAGGATTCCCTCTTTTTCTATTGATTGGAATAGTTTCAGAAGGAATGGTACCAGTTCCTCCTTGTACCTCTGGTAGAATTCGGCTGTGAATCCATCTGGTCCTGGACTCCTTTTGGTTGGTAAGCTATTGATTATTGCCACAATTTCAGGTCCTGTTATTGGTCTATTCAGAGATTCAACTTCTTCCTGGTTTAGTCTTGGGAGAGTGTATGTGTCAAGGAATTTATCCATTTCTTCTAGATTTTCTAGTTTATTTGTATAGAGGTGTTTGTAGTATTCTCTGATGGTAGTTTGTATTTCTGTGGGATTGGTGGTGATATCCCCTTTATCATTTTTTATTGCGTCCATTTGATTCTTCTCTCTTTTTTTCTTTATTAGTCTGCTAGCGGTCTATCAGTTTTGTTGATCCTTTCAAAAAACCAGCTCCTGGATTCATTAATTTTTTGAAGGGTTTTTTGTGTCTGTATTTCCTTCAGTTCCGCTCTGATTTTAGTTATTTCTTGCCTTCAGCTAGCTTTTGAATGTGTTTGCTCTTGCTTTTCTAGTTCTTTTAATTGTGATGTTAGGGTGTCAATTTTGGATCTTTCCTGCTTTCTGTTGTGGGCATTTAGTGCTATAAATTTCCCTCTACACACTGCTTTGAATGCGTCCCAGAGATTCTGGTATGTTGTGTCTTTGTTCTCGTTGGTTTCAAAGAACATCTTTATTTCTGTGAAAGACACTGTTTTTTTAAGTCACCTTCTAGTGCCCAGAGGAATTATCTTTGTGTTTCCTTAGTTGATAAGTTTGTCTCAAGGCTGTGTGGCTTAGGCCATTTCTGATGAAGCTGGTTTGATAAGGAGTTTCTTTAGTATATACACTGGAGGAGCTCCTGGATGTGCTCTTTAGTTCTTTAATCAATCCTAGGGAATTCTAAATTGACTGTGTAGAAATTGCTAGGACATACACTGTTCATTCAACACAAACATTTACTATGTGCCAAGTTCTGGCTACGTGCCGAGAGTCTAAGAAATGGGTAAAGACAGATGAGTTAGAAGTCTGCTTCCTTCGAATTTATTGCTAATCTTTGACTTCTGTATCTATGAATCTATTTTCTAGAATTTGTTTCAAAATAACACCTGTACTTAACTGACTTATTCCTTACCTGAGTCACTCTGATTTCCATTCTCCTGTCTTAGTCTGCCTCATTCAAGGAAGGAAGTAACACAAATTATATTTTTATTATTTATATCCCACTTCTTCCCTAAAAGTTTGATTTGCCATTCTTATAATAATAATGTTACAATAAAAATAGATCAAAGCCATAAATAAGGACGAAAGCAAATGTACTATCCATAAAGAATACTAAAGTATAATAATATACTTTAATTAAGCATCCAATTTCTCCTAAGCTTTCTGATAACCAGAGCAAAAAGAGAAACCTAATGACTTATAAAGTTCTCACTGTTTTAATAGATAAAATAAAAGTTTTTCAGTGGAGACAACTTCTCTTTTGGCACTAAAGATCATAAAGACTTTATCACAAGACTTCCTGTGTATGGGACATTGAACAACATTGTCTTAGTCTGGGTTCCTCAAATGTAGAGCCTGAAGCAAAGACTTGCTTACAATTGGTTTATTTAGGAATATCACCCCAAGGAACAGGAGTGAGGGGCACTGGGAATGAAAGAGGAAACAAGGAAACCTACTATGAGGACACTTATGGAGTTGGGCTCATCTGAGGACAAATGCTGCTTAAGCCCAGGTACCTTCTAAGGTAGCTTGTGAATAGCATCCCAGACCATTTAGCTACCAGTACCACTCCCACATTTGGCCAATGGTAGTTCCACAGACATTAACTTCCCTGAATTTCTGGTTTATGTAGGCCTGAAGGCTGAGTGAGTTCTGTGGGCATCCCATG